>NC_000003.12:112190422-112493452 GCF_000001405.40 Homo sapiens
TATTGAGAGTTTTTAGCATGAATGGCCGTTGAATTTTCTAAATTGCCCTCCAGAATGGCTGTGCTGACTTACATTTTAGTCTACCATATTTAAGTCTATTTTCTCATAACCTAATTAGCATTGAACAATAACAGTTTTTGCCCATCATTTCTGATTTAATTGGCAAAAAAATTGTATCTTTAGTTTTATTTCTCTAGTTTCTATTTACTAAAGAAAATACTTCTATTCTTTGATTATTAGGGATGTCAAATATCTTTTCAAACATTCATTGTAAATTTTGTTTATATATCTGTGAAATACTTTTTAATACCCTTTTTTCACTTTCTCCAGGATTTTTTGCCCTTTTTAAATTGATTTCTATAAACTTTTTAGGAATTATTGCTATCAGTACTTTGTGTGTAATACATGTTACAAATGTTATTTTCCATGTTTGCTTTTAATCTCATTTTAATATATTTCAATATATAAAGTTTTAAATTTTATGCAGTAATTTTTACTTTTTTTAAACACACACACACACACACACACACACACACACACACATATATATATATGGCTTTGTAAGTGGTTTAGAAAAGCTTTCCTCACATCAAGAATATAGATATATTCTGTATTTCATTATAACATTTGTATAGTTGACTTTGTATCCTACAACTTTACTAAATTCAATTATCAATTCTAACAAGTTTTTGATGGTTTTCTCTATATGAGATCATGTCATCAGAAAATGGAGACAGTCTCACTTCTTTCTTTCCTATGAGGATGCTTTTTATTTCTTCTCATGCCTAACTGCTGTGGTCAGGACTTCCAGTACTATGTTGAAAATAAGTGGGGAGAGAGGACGTTTCTTTTCTTCTCTCTGATTTTTCAACTTTTCCTCATTGAGGATGATGTGAGCAATGGGTTTATCATATTTGGCCTTTATTGCGTTGAGATACATTCTCTCTATGCCTAATCTATTGAGAGTTTTTATTATGAGAGGGTGCTTAATTTTGTCAAATGCCTTTTCTATATCAATTGGGAAAATCATATTATTTTATCCTTAATTTTGTTAATGTGGTGTATCACATTTATTGATTTGTGTATGTCAAACAGTCCTTGCATCTCAGAAATAAATCCCACTTTACCAATTGTGGTGAATGATTCTTTCAATGTGTTTTTGAATTCAGTTTGTTAATATTTTGTTGAGAATATTTGCAGGTATGTTCATCAGAAATATTGGTCTATAATTTTCTTGTCCTTATCTGGCTTTGATATCAGAATAATGATAGCCTCATAAAATGGGCTTGGAAGTATTCCTTCTTTGCTTTTTTGGAGGAGTTTGGCAATGTTAACTCATCATTGCATCTGGAAGTTTTTCTTTCTATATGGTGTGAGGTATGGATCTAATGTTATATTTTTTCATATGAATTTCAAATATCTCAGAATTATTTATTGAATAATCTATCATTTCTTCCTAATATGCAATGTCCCTTAATATTATATATTAGACTACCATGTGTGTTTATGTTTGCTATTGGACTCAACTCTATTTCCTTGAATTTTTTTATTCTATTCTAATTCTTCACTATTTGATTATTATGGATTTATAGCATGTCTTAATATTTAGTAGAGCAAACATCCCTCTCACTGTTTTTTTCCATTTTTTTTTTTACTGTGGTAAAATACACGTAACATAAAAATTTATTATTTTAACTATTTTAAATGGCTAAGGCTCCCTTCATTTTCACTGGTATTAAGTACATTCATACTGTTGCTTAACCATCACTACCATCCATCTCCAGAATTCTTTTCATCTTGCACAACTGAAACTCTATACCCATTAAACAATAATTCCCCATTTCAACTTCCCCAGCCCCTGGCAACTACAATTCCATCATTTCTCTATCTTTTGATTCTCTAAATACCTTATATAAATGCAATCACATAGTATTTGATTTTTGTGACTGGCTTATTTCAATTAGCACAAGTCATCAAGATTCATCTATATTGTAGTATATATCAGGATTTATCTTTTTAAGGTTAAATAAAATTCCATTGTATGTATATACCACATTTTGCTCATTCATTCATCTATTAATGGACACTTGGGTGGTGTCTACCTTTTATTGTTTCTATTCTTTTTTTGTTTTTGTTTTTTTCTTTCTTTTTGGTCTGCCTGAGTTATTTCAGAAGACTTGTCTTCAAGTGCAGAAATTATTTTTTCTGCTTGGTTTAGTCTTTATTGAAGCTCTCAATTGTGTTTTTTATTTCATTCATTGAATTCCTCAGCTCTAGAATTTCTGTCTGGTTCTTTGTTAAACTTCTCACTTGAATCATGAATTGTTTTTCTGATTTGGTGTACTGTCCATCTGTATTCTCTTGTATCCTACTGTTTTCTTAACATGATTATTTTAAAATTTTTTTCTGGTATTTTGTGTATCTGTTAGTAGAGAGTTATTGTGTTCCCCTGGAAGTATCATATTTCCTTGCTTTTTCATGTTTGATGTGTCACTACACTAATTTCTATGCATCTGGTGGAACAATTGCCTCTTTGAATTTTATGAAGTAGGTTTCATAGGGAAAGACTTATTGGCATGAGTAGGTCTTGGGGTGTCGGTTGGGTAGAATGCATTGGCTTTGGATCTAGGTGGATGCAGTAGTGTAGTCTCCATGTAGTTTGTTCCAACTGGAATCCATACTCGTGAATTTTGCAAGTGTTTCAGTGGCCTAAGCTATGAGAGCGTGTGGTGGTAATGCCATGGCTTTGCCAGGTATAGACTTGCCGGACTGCCTCTCAAGTTGGGGGCACATGCATGCACATGACATGTCAGCTAACCTGGGGTCTGGATCACTAGGGTTGGAGCCATGGGTCTGTTACTCTGGCCAGGGGCATGGGCATGCGACTATTTAGCTGGCTTGGAGGCAGGTCTGCCTAGGATTGGATGGGCTTTTTTTCTGGTCTGGCATGTGGGCACAAGACTGCTTAGCTACATTGGGGGCATATCTTTCAGCAGAGGCTTGTGGGGCTGTTTCTCAGGCCCTTAGTTCTGGTGCAGGGCATTCAGCAGGCCAGAGGCATGTCTGTGTTGAGAAGGGTAACTTGGGGCTCTTTCTTGGTCACAGGATACAGGCACAAGGCTGCTTTGCTGGCTTAGGAATATGTCTGCTGGGGGTAGCCCATGGGGTTGTGTCTCAGGCTCTGGGTATGGGGATGGCATGGGGTCATTGGGCAGGCCAGGGGTATGTCCATAAGGTTAATGGTGGGGACAGGGCTGTTTTTCAGGTCTTGGGTGGGGACACTTGTAGCTGCTCTGCTAGCCTGGGGGTGTGTTATCTACTTGCTGGCTTGTGGGCCTCTCCTGGTTGCAGGAGAGACACAGTGGTTAGGCCATTTCAACAGAGGTTTTGTCCTGAATGGGGCTGCAAGACTGTTTCTCTGGCTGGAATTGTGGGTGGTGGGGGTTGGTTTTCCTGCTATGTGGGACCAGAGCCACAGCTGATCCTAGGCCCCAGTTTCACACAACTGGGTTTGTGGCATTCAGTCATTCATGTGGGCTTGGTGGAATGAAGAGACAGCTCCAGGGCTGGAGGGGTGCAATAGCAACTGGTCCCATGAGCAGGGTACACTCCACAAATGGCTCTGGTGTCAAGATGGTGCCATGGTGCAGCAGCTTGGCTCACAGTAGATGGGTAGGGAGTGGGGCGTGCACACCTTATGATCCTAATCTGGAGTAATGCAGCTTCATGAATTCCCAGCAGCTCCCCAAATAATGTTCAGGTTTTGGAAAGACTGTGCGATACTTCTGTAGGGAGGACTGCAGGTGCTTGTGGTGGCATTGGGGGCCAGTGGGAATCTTCTGCCTATCTTTTCCCTGAAATGGGAAGTTATTTCTGACTCCAGGCCAATATGCGTGGGGGAGATGGGGCTGCAGAAGCAGGGTGACTCCATGTGACTTCCTGGGCTTTCCAATCACCACAGGTACTTCTTTACTCCCTGCCTGTGCTTTAGTTTTCTCCCCTCAACATTCCAGCCAAATCTTATTTTTTTAATTTGTTGCCTTGGTCCTTTCTTTTCAGGGGTGAAGGAAATGAGTACCAGGCACCTCTAGTGTGCCATCTTGCCTATGTCACTGTAAATTAATTGGCTTCTACATTTTAGTTATTGTGAATAATGTTGCTATGAATGTAGGTGTACAAATAACTCCTTGAGACTCCACTTTCAATTCTTTTGACTATATACCCAGAAAAGGAATTACTGGATCATATGGTAATTCTAATTTTAACTTTTTTGAGAAAGTGCCATACTGTTTCCCACAGAGGTTATATCATTTTACTTTTCCAACAACAGTGTACAAGGGTTCCAATTTCTCCACACCCTCACCGAAACAATGATATTTTCTTTTTTTTTTTTGGTGGTAGCTATCCTAATGGATGTGTGGTGGTATCTCACTGTAGTTTTGATTTGCATTTCCATAATGATGAATGATGTCAAACTCATTATATTTTCATGTTGTTATTGGCCACTTGAGTGTCTTCTTTGGAGAAATTTCTATTCAAATGTTTTGCCCATTTTGAATCAGGTTGTTTAGTTTTATGAGTTCTCTATATATTATGGGTATTAATTTGTATAAGACAAATGGTTTGCAAATATTTCCTCTCATTCTTTGGGTCGTTTTACTCTGTAATAGTGGTTTTTGATGCACACACAAAATTTCCAAATTTTCCTGAAGTGCACTTTGTCTATATTTTATTTTGCTGCACGTGCCTTAAGCATCATTTCCAAGTAATCATTGTCAAATCCAATATTTTGAAGTTTTAACCATGTTTTCTTCTAAGAGTTTTATAGTTTTAGGTCTTACATAAAGGTCATGGGTCTATTTTGAGGTATTTTTTGTATATGATGTTAGTTAAGGGTCCAACTTTATTCTTGTGCATGTAGAGATCCAGTTTCTCAAAGAAAAAGCACATAGTTGGATCATGTTTTTTGATCTGTTCTGCCAATCTCTGTCTTTGATTAGAGAGTTTAATCCCTTTACATTTAAAGTAATTACTGATAAGAAGGAACTTACTTCTGTCATTTTGCTGTATTTTTTTTGTATAGCTTTTCTAAATATCTGTAGCTTTGTTGTCCTATATTATTGTCTTTTGTGTTAAGTTGATTTTTTAAAATAGTGAAACATTTAAGTTATTTTCTTATTTATTTCTGTGTATATATTTTAGCTACTTTTTTTATGTGTTTACCATGGGCATTATAGATGAACTCCCAGAGCTATAACACTATAATTTGAATTTATACAAACTTAACTTCCATAACATTCAAAAACTCTATTCCTTTAACAACAGTTCCATCCCCATCTCCTTCCAGCTGTTGATATCACAGTATTACATCTTTATACATTGTGTGTCCAAAAACATGAAATATTTTTAATGCAATCCAAAGTTAAAATAATATTAGTTTTATACTAATAACTGTTTTTAGTAGAAATATTATTCTCGTAAATCATTTAGAAAACAAAAAGTGGAGTTACACATCATGATTACAATAATACTAGCTTTTATAATTCCCTATGTATTTACCTTTACTGAGTCTTATTTCTTTATAAGGTTCTGAGTTACTGTCTAGTGTCCTTCCATTTAACCAGCAGGACTTCCTTTTGCATTTATTTTAGGGCAGATCTAGAGGTAACAAACTCCCTAAACTTTTGTTTATCTGGAAATGTCTCAATTTTTCCTTTACATTTGAAGTACAATTTTTCTGAATGTAAGATTCTTGGCTGACACTTTTTTTTTTTTCCACTTCGAATATATCAGCTCACTGGCTTCTGGCCTCCAAGTTTTCGGGTAAGAAATCTGCTATTAATCTTATTGAGGATCCTTGTGTGTGATGGATTGCTTCTCTCTTGTTGTCTTAAAACTTCTTTTTGTCTTTTAACAGTTTGATTATAATGTGTCTAGATGTGGTTCTGTTTGTGTTCATCCTACTTGGAATTTGTTGAGATTCTTGGATGTTTACATTCATGTCTTTCATTAAATTTCAAAAGTTTTTGGCCATTATTTTCTCAAATATTGTCTTTTTTCCTTCTCTCTCTTGGACTCCCACAATATATATTGGTCTGCTTCAGGTGTCCCACAGGCCCCTTAGGCTCTGTTAACTTTTAAAAATTCTTTTTATCTTTCTGTTCCTCAGACATGTAATTTCCAGTGACCTATCCTCAAGTTTGCTGATTCTTTTTTCTGCCTACTCAAATCTGCCTTTGAATCCCCTTAGGAAATTTTTAGATTTTCGTTATTGTACTTAATTGTACTTTTTACTTTTCTGCTCCAGAATTTCTTTTTAGATTTTCTGTGTCTTTATGGATATTTCCATTTTGTTCATGTATTTTCTACCTGACTTTCCTCACATCTTCCTTGAGTTCTTTGAGCATCTTTAAAACAACTGTTTTAAAGTCTTTGTCTGGTAGACCTGCCATCTTTTTTAGGGACAGTTCTGTTGTTTTATTTTTTTCTTTTGAATGGGCAATACTTGCCAGTTTTTGTGTATGCCTTGTGATTTAAAAAAAAAAAACTGAATTTGAATTAAACAATGTGGTAATTCTGGAACTCAGACTCTCCCTTTTTCCCCAGAATTTGCTGTTTTGTTTTTGTTTTTTGGTGGTTGTAGTCTGTCTCTGAGCTGAGGATTAGTCTTAGGTCTAAGCTTAAGGCATTGTCAGGGTTTTATTTTACTTTTTTTCTGAGCCTGTGCCTTCCCCTGTGCATGCATTGTGACTTTCTAATTTCACCTGTGAAGTGGTGGTTTTTGAATGTCTTAGTCTCTAAAGTCTGGCTCCCAAAAGAGAAATAAGACAAAAATAAAGAGGTTAAAAAAAGTGTTGGCCCTTTAAATCCTTTGGAAGTCACTTCAGCCAGAGGGGGAGGGCTTACAATAATGTGAGGAGGTGCAATCACAATGGTTTCCACCTCTTTGCCTTCTCTGATTAGAAACAGCGATCAATCAGTCATCAGAGTACAGATGCAAGATATTTAGAGAACAGGGTCTTTTATTGCCAATCTGGCTCTTGCAAGTTGTAAGTTGCTCCAAGGACACATGCATAGCTGCCTGCCATGGTGCTGAGGGGTGAGGAGTAGCTATTACTGTGCTAAGAGATAAACATGACAGAAATTAACCAAAATTTATCATCCAAGCCTTCCCCTGAAAGTTGCAAACCTTCATAGAATTCAGATTTCCAAAATAGTTACATCAGACAGATTTTGCCAGTGCAATTGTTGTCTAAAAGGAGAGACAGATTTCTGAAACTTCCTACTCTGTTTTCTTCCTAGAATCCTCTAAATTCTTACCATTTTCTTAATAAATTAATTTTTGAGCAATAAATTGTACAAGTAAAATCCTTAACTCCCTGACATGGTGTGAATTTTAATTAAGGTTTATTAAATTAACTGATTATTTTATGGATGATTCATGCCTTAGATATTGATTCTCTACAACATGGGTTGCAACTACTGCCTGTCGGCCTGCTCCTGCTTAACACCTGCTTTTGTAAACAGTATTTTTTTGGGGTAGGGAACACAACCCTGCCTATTTATTTACATGTTGTTTGTAGTTGTTTTGGTATTACAATTGCAGAATTTAGTACTACTAGTAGGAACCATATGGCCTACATTATATAAAATATTTACTATATTTTCCTTTATAGAAAATGATTAATACCTACTCTACAGAAACATGTATTCAGTTGGAATTTTTTAGTTCTTGCCACATAGGTGTTATGTATTTTATATTAGGTTCATAGATAAGAATTTAGAGTTTCTAATTGTAATTGTAAATATAATAATATTTTTCTAAATTTTTCCATTGGAGAAGAATTTTATATATTACTTTTATTTCTGGACTCTATTGAATTATTTTATTAATCCTACTGCTTTTAAGCTAATTCCTTAAGATTTTAATCAGTCAACAAATAATAGCACTTTTCTCCTCTTTCCAAAATTTTCATCTTTCAATTTTCTTTCTTTTTTTTCTTGACTTGGATAAGACCTCCAGCATAGTTATTCAATGCTTGGAATGCCACTTGTCGTTCTTCTTTTGTTCCTAACTTTAATAAGAATGCTCTTAATGTTTTGCTATCTAACACAAAGTTTGCTACAAATTTTTAATAGATACTATTTATCAAGTTAGGGAGGTTCCTTCTATTATTAGTCTTCTAAGATTTTTATTAACATTCTTAATGAGGGTTAAATTTTATCAAATAGTTTTTCTTCTTCATCTCTTAATATGTGAGTTACATAGCTGTTAGGGGAGAGAAAACCTACCGAGACAAAGTATATTACACGTTTAATATGCTACCCAATTCAGTTCACTACTATTATGCTAAGAAATTTTGTATGTGTATTTACAAGTATAACAGGTTTATGCTTTTTTTTTCTTATGCTATTTCCAATTTTGGTGTCAAGTTTGTACTTACAGAATGAATTGGGATTCTTTCTATCCTTTATATGTCATAGTACCATTTATGTAACTTAGGAAAAGGAAATATAGTCAACACTAACCCTACAATTGAGTGTTCTCATAAATCATGTTTTACACGAAAAATGTTATTTAAGTGTCACAGATAATTCCCCAAACATAATAATACCCACTGTAATCTAGGATGACGAATAGATTCATCAGACTTTTGGTTTGACAGCAAAGCAGAGAAACAGGTGGTCTGTTCCTGTAGCAAAAATAAAAAGAGAAGCTGACCACCTGGGCTGCAGGAAGGAAACTGTCTATCATAGGAGTTTGTCTTCAGAAAATTATTTTAAGTGAGATTTTCCTATCTTAGAAATGGCCTGTATTAGAAGTCAAATGTAGCCTTGAAGGTCATGAATGATTATGTATCAAGTAAATATACTTGCTTTGAAAATATTTTGCCTTACCTTATTAATTCCAGCACCTTCAGTTTTACTAATAATTCCTTTTAAGCCAAAAGCCTTAAGAATTTCTGTAGCCATATTGAGCATAACATTAATTTCTTCCTTTGTTTTCACAGTGACAGCAATTTCTGGGTGATCATACTCTAAGTAGCCTAAAAAATAACAAAATATTTTTAGATTAAATAAGAACATTGTTTTAAATGTTTTATGTGGACAATAAGCTAAGTTTCTGTTCTAAACCCATGGAATACCGCCCTCAACACAGAGAAATGTATCTCTTCCTGAAGGGGCCACTATGATCAATCATAATTCACTAGTAGTGCCAGAGTTCTGCTGGATGTTTTCTTGGCAGCACTCATACTTGTGCCCAAGTCCATGGAGAAGGATAGGTAGCTTCGTTTCTAGGATTAACAGGTATACTTTTCTACCTGCACTGGACACTAGGAGGCTGCTCAGGGCTATATGTCTGGAGTTCATGACTCATTTTCTTATTCTGTGTGAATCAGAATTTTTAACTACAGATGATTTTGTGATTAAATACGGCTTCTGATTACTTCCTTTCACTCGTCTTAGGTCATCGTCCACTCAACCTGCCAGTGCATCTAGATGACTCATACATTTATGCTCTTCTGCCCATTTCATCTGGATTCCTGAAGTCCATGAAAATTTCATCTTAGAGTCTACATTTGGGCTTTTCCTTGACCATAACCTCTTATCTGGCTTGGTAACTACCTGTCATAGAAGATCTCTCAAATGACCTCATCTCCAGGTTTGCTGTGTCCTTTTGTAGCTCACCACATGGTATAAAATTTTCTTCTCCTCCTATACATGAACATTGTACTGTAGGGTTGTGACTGTGCCACTCTTAAGATTTGTCCTGCACCAGGAGCGTGACTTGGCATGACTCAGAGAATAGGCTATTGCCATGTTTGACACTGGGCCTCCCAGCAGATATAACAGGATTCTGCAAGATTGTATTCTAATTTCAACTCATGTAAGACCTAAATCCTTAAATGGCAGCTCTGTGGCAAGTAGAGGAAAAACGTAACTTCTTTTCTTGTGTCACTCAGGAAGGTACATGTATTTCTGGTTTGGAAAAAAATGGAATTTACAAGACTATAATGACATACATAATCATAGCATGCCAACTTGTCTAAAGAGAAATCAAAAGGCCTTCATTGTTGCATGAAGCAGAGAGAGAAAGTGTGAAGCGATATTACACTATTTCCATCTCAACTAGAAAATAAGATTGCATTGATTGTTGAGGTTACTCACTTCAGTATTGTTAGTGAGTAGGTTTCCTCAAAGATTAGCTCGAGTTATGAAAACCATTGCCTTTCTGAAGTGGTGATGATAAGAGATGGTCATGCTAAATAGGATGAGAGCTACTTACCTAGCTCTTTTATAGCATGTTCCATATTCCTTATCACTTGCTTTAATAACATCTAAGGAACAAAAGAAATGTTATCCCCATTGGAAAAACAGACTGTTATAAAATGTCCTTACATTTGCAACTGATGGATTTTTAACCTAAGTTAATAGTTTTAAGAGAAGTAGGATGAAGAGGTTTTCAGGGGTTCGAATTGAATTTTGTGCCGCAGCACTTTTTGCTTCAGCTAAAGTAATAGAGAAGATAAGAGGTATAACCTAGCCCAATTTTGAGACATCTGAAGGTGAGTCATGATTCTGAAAAGTGCAGGCATGGTATTAATTCCTAATATAATTTGGATGTTTGTAATATGAAACGTTATAAAACTTAATTTGTCAAAGGGAGCTAAAATTTAAGATACAAACATTAGCCCAACAGAAAATTGTAGCCATAAAACTAGTAAACTGATTTTAGTCTATGTTTTATGAACATAGGTAGGTACTTTCCCATTCGGCTTTATGAGAGCCCCCAGATTTGTGATTCCAGGATGGCTTGCAATCTTAAGGGATTAGAAATTTTGGCCAAGGTGAACGAAAGTAGAAATTAGGGATAATAAGACAATATTTTAGGGACTCAAGTCTTTTCATATTTTCTCCTGTGTGTCTCCAAATTCAAGTGCTAAATATCAGTGGTTAGAAAAGGTAATAAAACATAAGAAAATAGTTTTAAAGTTGCAGGAGGTGAAGAGAGGAAGATACTACTTTTTGTGTTCTACCACATATTGAATGTTCAGTTTCTCAATGACAAAGTTTTGGGCACATAAAATATAGCATTGAGATGTTTTAAATCGTCTTGAAAAGTAAATATTGCATTCCACATAGCTGACAAACTTATGGGCACATATCGGTTTTAATCTGTCTCAATCTAGAAAGTAAAAATAATATCTAGAATTTAGGCCTTAGAATTATCTTTCCTGCTTACTCACTATGGAACTTTGGGCACAATCATTTAACCTCTCTTGGCCTCCTTTTTCTCATCTGCATAATGACAAAATCAAACTAGGTTTCCCTCTATTTTAATTATTGTTTTCTTTACTTCTTTCTATTTGCTGAATCACTTGTTTTTATTTCCTTTACTGTTTAATGTGTAGAAAACAAGGATAGAGAGAGATGAAAGAAGCTTTTGGGCATTATGAGGAAGCCCTGTTTTCTCCACCCTGCCTTCACTTCTCACCTTCCAGTACTTCCTATTTTACACACCCATAGCCTGACAGATCTTAGAGCTTGCATTGGGAGAAAGCTAACCACTGCACTTGGGTTTTGTGATAGCCTCCACAAAGACAGAAGTGTGCCTTATAGGAGCCTTGTAACTTGCTAATATGGCACAGTTCATTTCAGAAGGAGGCATTTGAGTAATTTAAATGTAACCTAGTTTAAGTTTTTAAAGAAATGAATTAGAAAACCAGGAGTCAAAGACATCTGCATATATGAACAGAAAAAAATGATGGATGAGGGCAACTGAGGGCTGAGTGAACTCTTTTCTTAGGATTTAAGGTTTTCTTACCTGTTTAATCTGTTTAGAACTTGTAATCTGATCAATTATGGTCATTATGTCTGCTTCGCCTTGGACATAGCCTTTTAGTATTCCATACCAAAAGGTCTTCTGATGACTCATTCTTTTATCTATTATTTGCAGCAACTTTGGTGCTATGAGCTGAATTAAACAGGACTTCCATTAATATAAATTGCACAAATATCATTTTATGATATGTTGATTAGTTTAATCAAAATAGTTAATAATAAGAAATTAAGTGCCCTCAAAGGTAACTACAATAACCTGTCAAGGTTCTTTGTTATTTTTTTAGTGGTATCTTTATAACTTCATGACTATAGCTATTTCCCTATAACTAATAATTTGGGGGTACCTATGTGAAATTTATGACTTTATTCTTTACTTATTTTCCTTATAGAGAATTGGATGCTATTTTCAACTGGTTTCAATTCTTGGAAAACAATGCAATTAATCTTCTGTGCTTAGGTCATAAAATGACTAAATTACTGCCATTTTTGCATGCTAAATCTCCTATAACACCTCCTACTTGATGGTCTGGTCAGGTGAGAAACCACCACAACCATACTGCCTGTTAGACCCCAAAATTAACTTCACTTCTCTCTGTTTCTTTGCTGAGGGTTGAAGTCTCCAGGTTATCAGCTACCATTGTGCAGTCCCCTAGCTTCTGCAGAGTTCATTGATCCCTTTGTTTTTCTATCTATGTTCCACAACCTCCATACTCTACCCTGCAACTACCTGCCACTAATCTCCAAAGGGTTTACACTCATCTTTCAAGATTCAGCTCAAGTATCACCTAATAAATGAAGTCTTTTCTCATTCTGTGCATACTCCTGTTTTGCACTTATCCTACCATATAACATTTCAATATCTAGATTACTCGTGATTTTTCTTCTACAATAAGCTTTCCAGGGGAAGAGACAATATCTAATTCATCTTCATATTCCAAGGACCTGTGATTTAACATAAGACCATAGTTCAGAGTTTTCTGAATATATCAACAAACTTTTCTAAGTTGTTTTATTAGTTTCTTCATCTGAACTATTTGTTAGGCTCTGTATACCTTCCTATCAGAATTAATTCATCAGTGGAATACACTAGACTCGCCTTCCTCAGGTAAATTGTACTCTAGCACTACTTATGATCCCTTAGAATACCGAAAAAGCAGACTACTGGTTCTGTACTCTTTGACCTAGTTGATTTATGCCTCTCAGTAGCAAAAATGTTTTAAATTATTCCTTGCATGTGTAAGAAAGATCTAAATGTAAAGATTCTATTAGTTTTATCTCCATACAAACTATGTTTTATTTAACTGTATCACTCACAGTGCTTATATATGCATGTATCTTGTTTGTGTATGAATAGTGAAAAAGATAGGAAAGAGAGAGTATATCTGCATTCATATATATACTTATTTGTGGAGGAGTGAGTTTCATGTCATTGAAATAATCACACAGAAAATAACCACCCATAATATTTGTTATAGAAACATGTTATTAGACAATCAAAGGTTATTTTTGAAACCATATTTCTATAATACTATATGTATTTTTTCCTTGATTTGTATAAATGTAGGATATTTTCTTTGTCCCTATAAATAGTTTGCATGGTTGTTTTGTTAACTTCCATCTTTTATTCCCCAAATATCTATAAAAATAAACATTACATGGAGGTTAACTTACACTTGCATTAATATAGAATTTCTCATGTGCTGTCTATTTAAAGGAAAAGTTGTGATGAGTATGTCTATACTTTCACATGCTAAACAAATTCCTAATATAATTGGGATGTTTGTAATATGAAATGTTATGAAACTTAATTTGCCAAAGGAAGCTAAAATTTAAAATATAAACATTAACCCAACAGAATATGTTAACCATAAAACTAGTAAACTAATTTTACTCTATGTTTTATGAAACAATCAGTAGGAATTAGAAATTGCACGATTTACTGGTTCTTTACCTTGAAAATGCGTAGTATACGAAAAAATTGAACAACTTTTATAAAGACTATTACTTCAGTCTCATTAAAAATATACTTAATGGTGTCTATTTCAATAAGTATTACATGTAAGATGCCAATTAATGTAATTGCTAACTCGAATATGTTCCAGGCATGTGAAAAAAAGTCCTTCCTCATTGCTGCTATCTGTTGATTTAAAAGGAAATTACATTATCATGTTTGTTTCTGCTTTTACTACACCATTTTCCACAATAATTTAAACATCATGTTAGGCTTTTCTCTTATCTACTCCACATGTATGAAATATCCTCAGGAAACCAAAATCAAACAAACAAGTTCATCAAATTTATCTTGTAATAAAGGAATACTCCTAGAACTATTAATTTAGGATTGGGTTTAAAGGACAGGTATAATGAAAACAAACAAATGTATATAATGACACCAGTAAAAAGTAGCGACAATGAAAAGGCAAATTCAGACAAAAATGTAGTACGCCAGGGTGTTTTAATTTAAAACAAGTTGCCCTAAATGCCATAAAAATCCTGGGGGTTGCATCCATTTTTTATTATTTTATAATTTATATCCAAAATGATGATTCTGAGTAGTCAAAACAAAATTAGTTTATGTTTGTTGTGACACATGTGGGCAAAGTTTTTATTAAAGTAGTTCAAGATTTAAAAATATATTTATTAAAAGATTATGCTTTCTTCACTAAATTCACTTGTGTAATTTCATTCTGGGATAACGCAGAATAAGTTATTTTTAATTTCTCAAAAAAATTCGATGCCCTCTCTCACCATTCCTATTCAACATAGTGTTGGAAGTTCTGGCCAGGGCAATCAGGCAGGAGAAGGAAATAAAGGGTATTCAGTTAGGAAAAAAGGAAGTCAATTTGTCCCTGTTTGCAGATGACATGATTGTATATCTAGAAAACCCCATCGTCTCAGCCCAAAATCTCCTTAAGCTCATAAGCAACTTCAGCAAAGTCTCAGGATACAAAATCAATGTACAAAAATCACAAGCATTCTTACACACCAATAACAGTCAAACAGAGAGCCAAATCATGAGTGAACTCCCATTCACAATTGCTTCAAAGACAATAAAATACCTGGGAATCCAACTTACAAGGGACGTGAAGGACCTCTTCAAGGAGAACTACAAACCACTGCTCAACGAAATAAAAGAGGATACAAACAAATGGAAGAACATTCCATGCTCATGGGTAGGAAGAATCAATATCGTGAAAATGGCCATACTGCCCAAGGTAATTTATAGATTCAATGCCATCCCCATCAAGCTACCAACAACTTTCTTCACAGAATTGGAAAAAACTACTTTAAAGTTCATATGGAACCAAAAAAGAGCCCACATCGCCAAGTCAATCCTAAGCCAAAAGAACAAAGCTGGAAACAGCATGGTACTGGTACCAAAACAGAGATATGGATCAATGGAACAGAACAGAGACCTCAGAAATAATGCTGCATATCTACAACTATCTGATCTTTGACAAACCTGAGAAAAACAAGCAATGGGGAAAGGATTCCCTATTTAATAAATGGTGCTGGGAAAACTGGCTAGCCAAATGTAGAAAGCTGAAACTGGATCCCTTCTTTACACCTTATACAAAAATCAATTCAAGATGGATTAAAGACTTAAACATTAGACCTAAAACCATAAAACCCTAGAAGAAAACCTAGGCATTACCATTCAGGACATAGGCATGGGCAAGGACTTCATGTCTAAAACACCAAAAGCAATGGCAACAAAAGCCAAAATTGACAAATGGGATCTAATTAAACTAAAGAGCTTCTGCACAGCAAAAGAAACTACCATCAGAGTGAACAGGCAACCTACAAAATGGGAGAAAATTTTAGCAACCTACTCATCTGACAAAGGGCTAATATCCAGAATCTACAATGAACTCAAACAAATTTACAAGAAAAAAACAACCCCATCAAAAAGTGGGCAAAGGACATGAACAGACACTTCTCAAAAGAAGACATTTATGCAGCCAATAGATGCATGAAAAAATGCTCATCATCACTGGTCATCAGAGAAATGCAAATCAAAACCACAGTGAGATAACATCTCACACCAGTTAGAATGGCCATCATTAAAAAGGAAACAACAGGTGCTGGAGAGGATGTGGAGACATAGGAACAGTTTTACACTGTTGGTGGGAGTAGAAACTAGTTCAACCATTGTGGAAGAGTGTGGCAATTCCTCAAGGATCTAGAACTAGAAATACCATTTGACCCAGCCATCCCATTACTGGGTAGATACCTAAAGGATTATAAATCATGTTACTATAAAGACACATGCACACATATGTCTATTGCGGCACCATTCACAATAGCAAAGACTTGGAACCAACCCAAATGTCCATCAATGATAGACTGGATTAAGAAAATGTGGCCCATATACACCATGGAATACTACGCAGCCATAAAAAAGGATGGGTTCATGTCCTTTGTAGGGACATGGATGAAGCTGGAAACCATCATTCTGAGCAAACTATCACAAGGACAGAAAACCAAACACCACATATTCTCACTCGTAGGTGGGATGTGAACAATCAGAACACCTGGACACAGGGCAAGGAACATCACACACCGGATCCTGTCGTGGGGTCGGGGGCTGGGGGGAGGGATAAGCAGTAGGAGAAATAACTAATGTAAATGACGAGTTAATGGGTGCAGCAAACCAACATGGCACATGTTTACATATGTAATAAACCTGCACGTTGTGCACATGTACCCTAGAACTTAAAGTATAATAATAATAATAATTTGAATTTAGACATGTTAAAGTATATATTTATACTAGTAAATGATCATACTAATTTGAAATCAAATAGCTAAAATACTGAAGCATCTATTCGAAGGGAGAAAATAGTCAAAATTCCTACTATTTTGTGATAGTTGATACAGTCAGTCTTTCTGCATATTTCAAAAAAAGGTTTCTTGAAACCTAGTATAGCTAAGAAAGTGGGAGATTTCAAAGATGATTGTAGATTTCAGCTTGGGAAATTGGGTTTCCATTGAAATTCTGAAGGGATAGTAGGATAAGAGAAGACAAATTTCTTTTCAATATGCTGCTTGTAATGTTTGCACAGTACTTTGTCAGAGGGATATAGTCAGCAGCTACCTATATGATCTACGGCTCTGGATAAAATCTGAGCTATAGACATGAATTTGGGAGTCATTAGACTATGAATGACAGTTGATGTCACAAAAGTAGATGAGACAGCATGGCCTGCCCTTTATTATTTAATTCACATCTATGTCTCTTCCCTCATTTTCCACATCCTGAAAACATATTTAACATCTCTCCAATCTCCACTCTGACCAATTCATTCCTGAGCTTCAGTCATTGGAAGTAGTGTTCCTTAATGTGTCATGGTGTTGTTTCTATGTTTTCCCTTGTTCTTGTTGTTTATTATGCAATGTACTTGTAGTTATTCTCTTTTTTGTCTCCTAGACATTATTAAAAATTCAACTCAAGTATTGCTTTCCCTTGAATACCTTCCTTCTCCGACCCTACTATTCTGCATAAGAAGCTCCTTCTGTCTGTTCCCATTGTACTCTGTGTATTCCTCTATCATACTAGAGAGATATAAAAATATCTATCCAGTATAAAAATAATAAAATGAACCTTCAAGTACTCACCACCCTGCTAAGACTGAGAATATTGCCAATACCTTTTAAACTCACTTTGTGTCCCTTTGACACACACCATTTTAAAATTCATTTCTGGAAATACAAAATCAGTGCTTCAAGTATGCATATTATCTATTGAGTTACTATAAAAATCACCTTCAAAAATTAAAGTTTGGAGACGTGAGGAAGAAATTCATACACTCCTTCAGAAAATTGTCTGTTGCTGGTGTTGAAAAACAAGGCTAGGAAATCTCCCTGTCAGACATATAACACTTCCATACACACATAAATTTTAGATTACCTTAAGTAGTGCCTCTAGAATATAAAGTGTAAGAAAACAGTAGTTAGTGTGTTTTAATTCGCTGTGGTAGATTACATTTAACTGGGATATCCAAGAGATTATAAAGGGAAATATATTCATTAATATCACAAGGTATCCAACATGTTCAAATTCCTCAGTAAATACTATTGTATGGCATATACGAAAAAAGAAGTA
Organism: Homo sapiens; assembly: GCF_000001405.40. NCBI lineage: Eukaryota > Metazoa > Chordata > Mammalia > Primates > Hominidae > Homo > Homo sapiens. Next base: position 112,208,373 of record NC_000003.12, read on the forward strand.
TCTGTAAAACAAAAAGACAGTTTTATCTGATAAAAGGTTTACATTAAATGATTTTCATATATACTCATTTCTGTTCTACTTATCAACAGCTGCAGAGCCTTCTTTAATAATTCTGAAAGCAGCCACCACTAGCTAACACGTTCTGGCATCCCACTTCAGATACTGTCCTTTTAATTTCTTCCACTGATCCTCCTCTGTCTTGAGTCTAGTTTCTCCTTTTTCTTTCTCTCCCTCCTTAAATCTCATTCACTTTTTCTTTTTACTTTTAATGGAAATATTTTTGGTATAACACAGGAGAAATTCAAACTGGAATTTTTTTTAAATAAAGAGAATACTTTCTAGCTTTTGATAATTCCTATTTTCAGAGATGAATACTATTAGTTTGAATATTGTTCCAACTTTTTATGTTTATAAAATGATTATCCATAAACATAAAAGAAGTTATATGACACATTTTTCTGTAAGCTGCATTTTTCCCTTTTAACAACGTATCATGAGCATCTTCTCTTGTCAAGGTATAAAATTGGGATCAAAGCCTAGGATGCATGGTGGTGGAATATATGGATCCAAATTTTATCACAAAATTTAAATTAATGTATATGCTTTGAAAAATAGCTTCCATATTCAATATGATGGAGAGTAGAAATGTAGATAAAAAGATTTACTTTAATATTTTAATTATTCAAGTAGTATAGTAATACACTATTGTTGTTAAAATTCACATGATAATGATTAATTAATTGCCGATTGAAGACTGGGTAAGTACCAGATCATTTTCTCATTCTCAAAGGTACATCTATGCCATAGCCCAGAAGCTTTTACAATTTTGGATACCATTTGAAAAAAAAATATGATGAAATTATGAGTGCAGTAATATATAGTCTGTGCTCACATTGCCAGGGCCCTCCAAGGCCTCTGGCAGTTACTCTGTGATGGGAGCTGCAGAGTTTAAGCCTTGTTAACTTTGTGATAACCTCTCTGTCCTCTCTCCAGTCTGCTTTTCTTGATCTCTTCCAGCAGCAAAACCATGTTTGGCAAAGCATGGCACTGGAGGTTACCTTTGCTTAAATTTATGGTTAAATTTGCAGTCACTGATCTCATTCATTTTGTCACTAGCTATATTTCTTTCCCTTGAATCTAAGAAAAAAAAGAAATTCCAATTGAAAAGGAAGAAGTAAAATGGTCTCTATTTGTGGATGACATAATCCTATATATTGAAAATCCTAGAGAATGTGCAAAAATCAACTAGAGCTAATAAACAAAATAGCAAAGTTTCAGGAAACAAAATCGATATATAAAAATCAGTTGTATTTCTATACACTAGAAAGTACTGATCTGAAAATGAAATTATGAAAACAATTATATTTAAAATAGCACCAAAAACAACAAAATAGTTAGGATTAATGTTAACCTAAAACTTGCGTGCTCAAAACAACAAAACATTACCAAAATAAGTTAAAGATTTAAATAAAAGGTAAGACATTCCATGTTCATGGTTTGGAAGGCTTAATATTGATAATATGACAATGCTACCCAAAGCAATCTACAGATTAAATTAAATCCTATAAAAATCTTGACCTTTTTCTCTATTTTGCAGAAACAGGCAAGATAATCTAAAATTTATATGGAATTCTAAGGGACCTCAACTAGTTACAACAATCTTGAAAAAGAAAGTTGAAGGACTTATACTTCCTGATATCAAAATTGTATACCAAGTGTGGAAAACAATTTGGTGGTTACTCAAGAAACTAAATATAGAATTACCACACAGTCCTGCAATTTTGCCCCTGGGATATGCCCTTGAGTAGAAAGCAGGTATTCAAATAAAAACTTGCACATGAATGTTCATGGCAGCACTATTCATAATAGCCAAAAGGCAGAAACAACTCAAATGTCCATAAACTGATGAATGGGTAAATAAAATGTGGTATATATACCATGGAACGTTATTTAACCTTAAATAGGAATCACATATTGATACATGCTACAAAGAGGATGACCCTTATGCTACTAACACATTCTATTATGTGGATGAAAACATTAGGCTAAGTCAAAGAAGCGAGAAACACAAGGCTACATAGTGATGATTTCATTTATGTGAAACATTTGAAATAAGTAAATTCACAGGGACAGAAAACAGACTGGTGCTTTCCAGGAGCAGGGCAAAAAGGCAAAATGGGGAATGACTGCTTAATGAATACCCAGTTTATTTTTGGACTAATAAATAACACTAAATTATACACTTTAAAATGGTTAATGGTTAACTTATGTATATGAAATTTACCTCAATTAAAAAGAGAATACTATTCCTATCCTTTTTATTCTTTAAGTAACTTTATGTATGTACATAAGAAATTTAGGGTGGTGGCTGACCCCCACATTTCTAATAAACATTCTGTAGCTATTTATGCCCTGTGACACTCATCAGTCTCCTCTGAGGTGGCTACCACCCACTTCAAAGCTTTAAATCAATTGTAAAGACAGGAAAAAAACCCTTTATTTTTTTTAAAAATAAAAAATTAAAAGGATGCAGCTAAGGTTTATAGTGGATGTTGGCCAGATCATTTTTCTTTTATATTATGCCATAATCTCCTTTGATTTTTATAAAAACTCTAACAATATATGGTGGTACCAAAATTTGTGGTGAGTTTGAAGGCTGATTTAGTAACAGGTATAAAAAATGAATTTGTTAATACAGATTATTTTTGTTTTCTTACTTTAGGTATGTTTGTGAGCATTTTCTATGACTGTAAATAAGGCCATTTTTCAGATAATAAAATATGCAAAAATTTTTAAAAAGAAATTTCATTGTAAAATTCCTCAAAATATTTTGCAAAATATTCAGGATAGGGGGCAGTTCCAAGATAGCCGAATAGGAACAGCTCCAGTCTACAGCTCCCAACATGAGTGACACAGAAGACAGGTGATTTCTGCATTTCCAGCTGAGGTACCGGGTTCATCTCACTGGGGCTTGTTGGACAGTGGGTGCAGGACAGTGGGTGCAGTGCACCGAGCATGACCGAAGCAGGGCAAGGCATCGCCTCATCTGGGAAGTGCAAGGGGTCGGGGGATTCCCTTTCCTAGCCAAGTGAAGCTGTGACAGATGAAATCTGGAAAATCGGGTCACTCCCACCCTAATACTGCACTTTTCCAATGGTCTTAGCAAACGGCACACCAGGAGATTATATCCCGCACCTGGCTCGGAGGGTCCCACGCCCACGGAGCCTCACTCATTGCTAGCACAGCAGTCTGAGATCGAACTGCAAGGCAGCAGCAAGGCTGGGGGAGGGGCGCCCACCATTGCTGAGGCTTGAGTAGGTAAATAAAGTGGCCGGGAGGCTCAAGCTGGGTGGAGCCCACTGCAGCTCAAGGAGGCCTGCCTTCCTCTGTAGACTCCACCTCTGGGGGCAGGGCATAGCCGAACAAAAGGCAGCAGAAACCTCTGCAGACTTAAATGTCCCTGCCTGACAGCTTTGAAGAGAGTAGTGGTTCTCCCAGCACGGAGTCTGAGATCTGAGAACGGACAGACTGCCTCCTCAAGTGGATCTCTGACCCCCGAGTAGCCTAATTGGGAGGCACCCCCCAGTAAGGGCAGACTGACACCTCACAAGGCCGAGTAACCCTCTGAGATGAAACATCCGGAGGAATGATCAGGCAGCAACATTTGCTGTTCAGCAATATTCGCTGTTCTGCAGCCTCTGCTGCTGATACCCAGGCAAACAGGGTCTGGAGTGGACCTCCAGCAAACTCCAACAGACCTGCAGCTGAGGGTCCTGACTGTTAGAAGGAAAAGTAACAAACACAAAGGACATCCACACCAAAACCCCATCTGTACGTCACCATCATCAAAGACCAAAAGTAGATAAAACCACAAAGATGGGGAAAAAACAGAGCAGAAAAGCTGAAAATTCCAAAAATCAGAGCACCTCTCCCCCTCCAAAAGAACATAGCTCCTCACCAGCAACAGAACAAAGCCGGATGGAGAATGACTTTGATGAGTTGAGAGAAGAAGGTTTCAGATGATCAAACTTCTCCGAGCTAAAGGAGGAAGTTCGAACCCATGGCAAAGAAGCTATAAACCTTGAAAAAAGATTAGACAAATGGCTAACTAGAATAACCAGTGTAGAGAAGTCCTTAAAGGACCTGATGGAGGTGAAAACCATGGCACAAGAACTACATGATGAATGCACAAGCTTCAGTAGCCAATTAGATCAACTGGAAGAAAGGGTATCAGTGATTGAAGATCAAATAAATGAAATGAAGCAAGAAGAGAAGTTTAGAGAAAAAAGAGTAAAAAGAAATGAATAAAGCCTCCAAGAAATATGGGACTATGTGAAAAGACCAAATCTACATCCGATTGGTATACCTGAAAGTGACAGGGAGAATGGAATCAAGTTGGAAAACACTCTGCAGGATATTATCCAGGAGAGATTCCCCAACCTAGCAAGGCAGGCCAACATTCAAATTCAGGAAATACAGAGAATGCCACAAAGATACTCCTCAAGAAGAACAACCCCAAGACACATAATTGTCAGATCCACCAAAGTTGAAATGAAGGAAAAAATGTAAAAGGCAACCAGAGAGAAAGGTCAGGTTACCCACAAAGGGAAGCCCATCAGAATAATAGCAGATCTCTCAGCAGAAACTCTACAAGGCAGAAGACAATGGGGGCCAATATTCAACATTCTTAAAGAAAAGAATTTTCAACCCAGGATTTCATGTCCAGCCAAACTAAGCTTCATAAGTGAAGGAGAAATAAAATCCTTTACAGAAAAGCAAATGCTGAGAGACTTTGTCACCACCAGGCCTGCCCTACAAGAGCTCCTGAAGGAAGTACTAAACATGGAAAGGAACAACTGGTAGCAGCCACAGCAAAAACAAGCCAAATTGTAAAGACCATCTATGCTAGGAAGAAACTGCATCAACTAATGGGCAAAATAACCAGCTAACATCATAATGACAGGATCAAATCCACACATAACAATATTAACCTTAAATATAAATGGGCTAAATGCTCCAATTAAAAGACACAGACGGGCAAGTTGGATAAAGAGTCAAGACCCATCAGTGTTCTGTATTCAGGGGACCCATCTCATGTACAGAGACACACATAGGCTCAAAATAAAGGGATGGAGGAAGATCTACCAAGCAGATGGAAAGCAAAAAACAGCAGAGGTTGCAATCCTAGTCTCTGATAAAACAGACTTTAAACCAACGAAGATCAAAAGAGACAAAGAAGGCCATTACATAATGGTAAAGGGATCAATTCAACAAGAAGAGCTAGCTATCCTAAATATATATGCACCCAATACAGGAGCACCCAGATTCATAAAGCAAGTTCTTAGAGACCTAGAAAGAGACTTAAGACTCCCACACAATAATAATGGGAGACTTTAACACCCCACTGTCAACATTGGACAGAACAACGAGACAGAAAGTTAACAAGGATATCCAGGAATTGAACTCAGCTCTGCACCAAGCACACCTAATAGACATCTACAGAACTCTCCACCCCAAATCAACAGAATATACATTCTTATTAGCACCACATCACACTTATTCCAAAATTGACCACATAGTTGGAAGTAAAGCACTCCTCAGCAAATGTAAAAGAACAGAAATTATAACAAACTGTCTCTCAGACCACAGTGCAATCAAATTAGAACTCAGGATTAAGAAACTCACTCAAAATCGCTCAACTACATGGAAACCGAACAACCAGCTGCTGAGTGACTACTGGGTACATGACAAAATGAAGGCAGAAATAAAGATGTTCTTTGAAACCAATAAGAACAAAGACACAGCATACCAGAATCTCTGGGACACATTTAAAGCAGTGTGTAGAGGGAAATTTGTAGCACTAAATGCCCACAAAAGAAAGCAGGAAAAATCTATAATTGACACCCTAACATCACAATTAAAAGAACTAGAGAAGCAAGAGCAAACACATTCAAAAGCTAGCAGAAGGCAAGAAATAACTAAGATCAGAGCAGAACTGAAGGAGATAGAGACACGAAAAACCGTTCAAAAAATCAATGAATCCAGGAGCTGGTTTTTTTGAAAAGATCAACAAAATTGATAGACCACTAGCAAGACTAATAAAGAGGAAAAGACAAAAGAATCAAATAGATGCAATAAAAAATGATAAAGGGGATATCACCACCAATCCCCTAGAAATACAAACTACCCTCAGAGAATACTATAAACACCTCTACACAAATAAACTAGAAAATCTACAAGAAATGGATAAATTCCTGGACAATACACCCTCCCAAGACTAAACCAGGAAGAATTTGAATCTCTGAATAGACCAATAACAGGCTCTGAAATTGAGGAAACAATTAATAGCTTACCAACCAAAAGAAGTCCAGGACCAGATGGATTCACAGCCGAATTCTACCAGAGGTACAAGGAGGAGCTGCTACCATTCCTTCGGAGACTATTTCAATCAATAGAAAAAGAGGGAATCCTCCCTAACTCATTTTATGAGGCCAGCATCATCCAGATATCAAAGCCTGGCAGAGACACAACAAAAAAAGAGAATTTTAGACCAATATTCCTGATGAACATCGATGCAAAAATCCTCAATAAAATACTGGCAAACCGAATCCAGCAGCACATCAAAAAGCTTATCTACTATGATCAAGTGGGCTTCATCCCTGGGATGCAAGTCTGGTTCAACATACACAAATCAATAAATGTAATCCAGCATATAAAACGAACCAAAGGCAAAAATCACATGATTATCTCAATAGATGCAGAAAAGGCCTTCAACAAAATTCAAAGCCCTTCATGCTAAAAACTCTTAATAAATTAGGTATTGATGGGACGTATCTCAAAATAATAAGAGTTATTTATGACAAACCCACAGCCAATATCATACTGAATGGGCAAAAACTGAAAGCATTCCCTTTGAAAACTGGCACAAGACAGGGATGCCCTCTCTCACCATTCCTATTCAACATAGTGTTGGAAGTTCTGGCCAGGGCAATCAGGCAGGAGAAGGAAATAAAGGGTAGTCAATTAGGAAAAGAGGAAGTCAAATTGTCCCTGTTTGCAGATGACATGATTGTATATTTAGAAAACCCCATCGTCTCAGCCCAAAATCTCCTTAAGCTCATAAGCAACTTCAGCAAAGTCCCAGGATAAAAAATCAATGTACAAAAATCACAAGCATTCTTATACACCAATAACAGACAAACAGCCAAATCATGAGTGAACTCCCATTCACAATTGCTTCAAAGAGAATGAAATACCTAGGAATCCAACTTACAAGGGATGTGAAGGACCTCTTCAAGAAGAACTACAAACCACTGCTCAACAAAATAAATGAGGATACAAACAAATGGAAGAACATTCCATGCTCTGGGGTAGGAAGAATCAATATTGTTAAAATGGTCATACTGCCCAAGGTAATTTATAGATTCAATACTATCCCCAACAAGCTACCAATGACTTTCTTCACAGAATTGGAAAAAACTACTTTAAACTTCATATGGAACCAAAAAAGAGCCCACATTGCTAAGTCAATCATAAGCCAAAAGGACAAAGCTGGAGGCATCACGCTACCTGACTTCAAACTATACTACAAGGCTGTGGTAACCAAAACAGCATGGTACTGGTACCAAAACAGAGATATAGACGAATGGAACAGAACAGAGCCCTCAGAAATAATACCACACATCTACAACCATCTGATCTTTGACAAACCTGAGAAAAACAAGAAATGGGGAAAGGATTCCCTATTTAATAAATGGTGCTGGGAAAACTGGCTAGCCATATGTAGAAAGCTGAAATGGGATCCCTTCCTTACACCTTATACAAAAATCAATTCAAGATGGATTAAAGACTTAAATGTTAGACCTAAAACCATAAAAACCCTAGAAGAAAACCTAGGCAATACCATTCAGAACATAGGCATGGGCAAGGACTTCAGGACTAAAACACCAAAAGCAATGGCAACAAAAGCCAAAATTGACAAATGGGATCTAATTAAACTAAAGAGCTTCTGCACAGCAAAAGAAACTACCATCAGAGTGAACAGGCAACCTACAGAATGGGAGAAAATTTTTGCAATATACCCATCTGACAAAGGGCTAATATCCAGAATCTATAAAGAACTCAAACAAATTTACAAGAAAAAAACAAACAACCCCATCAAAAAGTGGGCAAATGATATGAACAGACACTTCTCAAAAGAAGACATTTATGCAGCCAAAAGACACATGAAAAAATGCTCATCATCACTCGCCATCAGAGAAATGCAAATCAAAATCACAATGAGATACCATCTCACACCAGTTAGAATGGCAATCATTAAAGTCAGGAAACAACAGGTGCTGGAGAGGATGTGGAGAAATAGGAACACATTTACACTGTTTGTGGGGCTGTAACCGAGTTCAACCATTGTGGAAGACAGTGTGGCGATTCCTCAAGGATCTAGAACTAGAAATACCATTTGACCCAGCCATCCCATTACTGGGTATATACCCAAAGGATTATAAATCATGCTGCTATAAAGACACATGCACACATATGTTTATTGTGGCACTATTCACAATAGCAAAGACTTGGAACCAACCCAAATGTCCATCAATGATAGACTGGATTAAGAAAATATGTCACATATACACCGTGGAATACTATGCAGCCATAAAAAGGGATGAGTTCATGTCCTTTGTAGGGACATGGATGAAGCTGGAAACCATCATTCTCAGCAAACTATTGCAAGGACGAAAAACCAAACACCACATGTTCTCACTCATAGGTGGGAACTGAACAATGAGAACACTTGGACACATGGTGGGGAACATCACACACTGGGGCCTGTTGTGGGGTGAGGGGAGGGGGGAAGGATAGCATTAGGAGATATACCTAATGTAAATGACGAGTTAATGAATGAAGCACACCAACGTGTCACATGTATGCATATGTAACCTGCACGTTGTGCACATGTACCCTAGCACTTATAGTATAATAACAAAAAATTCAAGATACCATTTTAAAAGAAAAAACAGGGAATTTCAAGTGAATATAATAGCATTTCTTATAAGGTTCAAAAGCACTTACTTTGATGGGCCCTCTTTTTCCTTTCTGGTATTATACACCCAATTAAGTAGTAGTTTTCTAGCAAAGGTAACTGTTTTTTGGCTTTCAGAATAATTCTTTATTGTATCAAGACTCATACATCTAGAAAAAGAGAGAAATCTTTAAACATGCTTTAAACATTTTGAGATAAGTTTAATGTTGTACTGGAAGTTTAATGTTGTACATAAGTTTAATTTTGCACAAAACAGGAAGACTATTTTGTGCCATGATGGTTGGATTAAGACATTTTCATGGGCGTGGTTCATGAAGTTAGATTGTCAGGCTCACTTGTTAAACAGAGAGTATTAAAAATTGGAGATACATGGTTGAAAATAATAGAGATTTCAAGGTTCAGGGATAGAAAACATACTATGTTTCAAATATTTGGGATTCAGACATCTGGGTTTTCATGTTAGATTCCCCATTGTCTGGTATGGCAATGGACAAATTACCTCATTAACTTGCTTGCTAATCTACAAAATAAGGATAAAAATACCAATGTTAGGCTGGGATAATTAAATGGGAAAGCATGTATAAAGCATCCAACTCATATCACACATCTTCCCATCTCTTTGTCTTCACCTTCAAAGCAGATAGTAAGGTTTAGAATGACTAAAAATGAGTTAAAATAGTAACTTAGAAAAGTCACTGGTCATAAGAGCTCAATGTCATTTTGGTAGCACTTGTCCCAAGTTTTCTGTAGCTTTCTGCTAGGTTTTTTTTTTTTTTTTTAATTGAGACAGCTCAGATCCGTGTATATGATCATGTCTTGTTTAGCCAATCTCCTTGGCTTTTCAAGGAATTTACCTGCTGCTGACCAGATACTTTCATCGTCATGATCAGAAGGAGAGTAAGGCTCTGCCCTTGGATGTGAGGCCCTACCTTATAATGTGGCTTAATGGAAGGGCATTGGAAACCCAAGTTCAAAGGTAAACCTTGCCCTTTCTATGAATTATAATGTTCTTACTTTAAAACTTGTATATATATTTTTTTTTTTACTACAGGGATACTAACGTAATTGAAAAGAATGAAGTCATTCAATTATCTGATATTCAATATAATATGCGGTAAATAAATGGAAAATGTTGAATATGTATATGACTTGATTCATTTATAATTGAAAAAATATTTATTCAACATCTGCTATTGTTGTTAAATGCCAAAGATAAACCATAAAGAAATACTGGTCTGCCCTCAAGGCTGCAGCAGACTAGTGGGATGAAACATATAAATACCAATTGCAGTAAAACGTGGTAAGTGTTGCCACAGAGATAATAAATGAGAGGGCTCCCTGGACTCAAAAAAATAAGCATTTAATATAGTCTTATTGTGATATCTATGTGTGACACTTTGCAGCACAAATTACTGAGTAATTCAGGCTCTTGAACTCCTATTTTACATCAACATGTTCACTGTTTAGACCTGATTTAGGGAAACAGTATGATCTATTTAACCGGATAGTGAGGCAGCTTGGCTTTGAATCCCAACTCTGTAATTTATGAGTCAAATGACCTTGCATAAATTATTTAATTTCTCTTTGTTTTATTTTCCTAACCTGCATCGTGAATATAACAACAGCATCTAATAAGATTCTTCTGAGGTAAAATAGGTTAATACATGTAAAGTGTTTAAAACTGTACCTGGTATGACACTCAATAAAAAGAAACTATGTGCTCAAAGTATTATTTTTTAGGCAATTATACAAGCACTTAGCATAGGTCCTGGTGCTCCTGTTTAAACCCTCCACTCTTTCTTTTCTTAGACTTGTTTTTCTTGCCACAGGTCACCCTGACACATGAGGCACTCATAGGAATAATTAGCAAATGGTAAAATCAGCTCAGCAAAGAAGCAAGAACTGAATATAAGCACATCAATAGAAAGTTCTCCAGGGGCTGGAATACCATTTTGCTAATATTAATATTCCCTACAGTGACTGGCATATATTGGTAATATATAGCTTTGCACATATTGGTTTTCAATGTATATCTCTTACATGCATGCATAAAAAATGTAATATATTCCAAAGTTTGCCTTCATAGGCATATGTTGCTTCTGCCTTTGGGGAACATTTAAAGAGAAAAAAATCAAGGCAGTGGGCTGAATTGCTCTATGTTGTTTTATTTTTATTTTTATTTTTGAGACAGAGCCTTGCTCTGTCCCCCAGGCTGGAGTGCAGTGGCACAATCTCAGCTCACTGCAACCTCTGCCTTCGGGGTTCAAGCAATTCTCCTATCTCAGCCTCCTGAGTAGCTGGGACTACAGGTGCATGCCAGCGTGCCTGGCTAATTTTTTTGTATTTTTAGTAGAGACAGGGTTTCACCATATTGGTCAGGCTGGTCTCGAACTCCTGACCTCAAGTGATCCACCCACCTCGGCCTCCTAAAGTGCTGGGATTACAAGCATGAGCCACTATGCCCGGCCTGCTATTTTTAACATCTCCTGGAAAATATATTAATGATGCTTTTTATTGTGTCATTTATTAAAAACTTCCACTGTACAATGTGCACCTTTCTTCTTTAAAATATGCACGGTATTGTTTTGAATTGATCACATTTGCCCAGCCCTCTCAACTCCCTCAACTTTACTAGGTCACCTAAAGCATTGGAAGTGCCTGGATCAAAAGGACAAACAGAGACCCTGGTACCATAGATGAAAATATTCAAGCATTATAAATCAAGGAAACAAAATTTTAAATAAGATATATTTCATCTTCCTATCATGACACATATAATGTCATAATGATTTGTATGACTAGGCTTAAAATGAAAACTCTTAGTTACTTTGAAAGTCTGTACTTGAAATGAAATGCAAATATGCCCTAATTTCTGGCTGCTTCTTTTCTAACATCTAACTTTATCCTTCAGTGTACCACAAGGTTGTACATGTGACTTAACACAAGGTTGGCACATCCTTCAGGTTTAGGGGTATGCACACCAAAGGCCGGGTTTGCTCATGAGATGATGGACCAGGACTAGAGGCCCAAATAGACTCTGGAAATAAGCTTAGGACAATTTAAGCAGGGAATTTTGGTGTCTTCAGGACTGTTGTCTAGAGCTAGAAGGTATGTCTGGGTGGACACTGTTGCAGTTGCACTGCAGTTTAACCCCCCTCTTTGCCCAATCATAGATCCAGCATTCCTCCACAGGGGATGATCTGAGGGTACCCCTCAAAACACCAACTTTGAGGAAACCACTGCTTATTTTGGAGACCTATATCTAAAGAAATCACTACAAGATTACAAATGCATGCTGAGTATTAAGAGAAGATGTTGAAGTACTACCTGTGTATTGGGGAAGATGTGCCTGGAGGGATTAAGGAAGGCTTCACCCTTACTTAGTCTGGCATTCAAATTGTCTAAAAGGAAGAGTTCTTTACCACAGCTTAACTTTTGGCAGGGGGGGACAAAGAACAAAAGAAAGTTTCAGTCAGAAGGAACAGCTTGTTCAAAATCACGGAGGTAAGAATGAATGCAGCAAATTTGGGAAACTGAAAATAGGTAGTTTGGCCTGAGGGTGGGGTATAGAGCAGACAGCTCTGCTGTAATACTATAGTATTAATATTAATAGTAGAGGGAGCCAAGTTACCAGACAAAAACAAGAAAACTCACTTGGGTAATTTCCTAAATGCTGTGGCTTAGAATAGAAGCCATCTCTTGAGAATATACTTACTTTCCCTTCTTCTCACCAAAACTTTCTGCTGCACCAACCAACACCTGGACAGCACTCTGGGACAGAATCTCATTCCTGTATTGTCTCTGGTAGCTTGCCTAAAAAAATATTAATTCAAGTCATTATATAGCATGAATAACGATGACAACTTATTACAATCTTGATGGGAAAAATGTGTGATAAAGAAGTAAAAACAATCAATCTAGTCTGTTTGTAAAAAGAATATTTCTATGGAGTTCAGATTATAAGATTACTGGATAAGGTAGGTCTTGGCTTTGAGTGGAGCCACACTGGTTCTGAAGGAAACTAGAGCTCTTCTAGACATGGAATTAGGTTTTCAAAAAATAAATGGAACTTATTGGCAAATGAGTTTGGGAACTACTGCAAGCTATATCCACATCTCAAAAGTTAATAATGAATATTAAAGGCTCTGAGAAAACCTACAGTAAAAAAAAATCCTACTATACATCTTTATTTAATTGAATTTTCTCAAATATTTCCACAACAGGGCTCTGCTGCCTCATCTGTGATAAGGATTAAAATGATTCTATCTTTGTAACTTATATAATTATTTATAGAATATTTTATAATTTATAAGGAGTATTATAATAACAGATTGCTACTATTTGGCAGAATGCAGTCACTTCTTCATTCAATACATATATATAAAGAGCCTACTGAGCTTCAGGGACTATGTCTGATGATATGGAAACCAGTATCTGACACTGTTCCTGGCATCCATATGCTGAACACTATTCAGAAACTATGTAGACCAACTTCCTTAACTGAAATATATTATGTGACCAAAGATTTCTAGGTTCTGCAGCAGGCATTCTCTCTGCATGATCAGTTTTGAATATTAAACACTGCTTCGTTTTGGGGAAATACTAGAAAGAAATAGCAATGACACTTGAGGATGTGGGATGAAAAAACTTTTCCCATAATTACAGGAATTCAATAGAGTACACTCTTCTCCTTAAATATCATTAAAATATGTTTAAAACAATATTAAATCAAAATATTCTTAGTATCCTCAAGATAAAAATTGTAGTTTGAAAAAATGAGGAAGCTGAAGATTATATGGATCTCGCGAAAGCTTAGCAACACAAATACCAAAGCAATTAGATACTAGAAGATGTTAACTGTTAAATTATCTTTCCCAATGGGAACGCAGAAACCAAATCAACAAATCAAGATGAGCATGAAAATATATCTAAAATTAAGAAGAACTTGGAAGATATTAAGTGAAATGAGGATCTAGAGAACAGAGCAGAGAAATCCAATCTACTTTGAAAAGCGAGATTTATTGATTAAGACACAATAGCACAAAATCAATGATCAAAATATAATAGTAGAACCCAAACATTTGAGGCAATAAATCAAAAAGGTACATGGAGTATACACTGCAGAAAACATAGAATATCACAAGCGAAAAAGAGGTTATTCAGTCACCATAAGTTTCCTCTTTTATAGATTGGGAGAATGGAAACTAAATAGATTAAGTCCTTAGTCACATATCATATTAGTAACAAAAACAAGACTCAAAATGAAGTTTCCTTCATTTATTTTGTGGGTTCTTGTACACCATATTTTCCTGAAATACATTAAAATTGGGAAGTGACTAAAAGACATGGCCTCATAACATTTTTAAGTTACAAGGAAATAGAAATAATTCTACAGGTATCCAAACAAGAAAGGGAGCTGTATTTAATTTCATAAATATTAATTTATTAATTGCATAAAAATCATTCCTTTGTCTTCATATAAATGTATCATTACTTGGATAAAACTCCTATTTTTAGGTCTGAAACATCTTTAAACATTTACTAATCAATTTTTTCCTACAAAAGTAGACAAGAGACACTAGCCAAACCATTGAAAAATACACTTCAAAGATATTCTCAACTGGGAATATTGTTGGAAATAATCAGTGAAAATTATAATATCAATATATTAAAGAATGAAATATGTAATAAAACATATCTATAAAAGGCTTCTTGTTTATAAGAATAATAAGCATAATCATTAAAACAAAACTTAAAGTGTGAAAGTGAAAACAGGGGAATAGGGCATGGTGGTGTCCCTCTGTAGCCCCAGCTACTCTGGGAGACTAAGGCAGGAGGACTCTTTGAGCTCAGGAATTTGAGACCAGTCTGAGCAACATAAAGAAATCTTGTCTCAAAAAATAGAAGAAGAGCACAAAGAGATTTCAGAACATTGAACTAAATTCATATTCCAGCCATGGGTACAAGGCCTAGTAAGCAATTTTTGCTTTTTAAAAAATTAACATAGAGGTAGATTGAGAAAAGGGAAATGCAAACGTGTCTACTCTAAAAGTACATCTATAGTTAACATTTTAGTTAGAAAGTTATAGAGTATTATTGACATTTATATCATTTGTAAGGTAAAATTAGATACTTTTTGAAGTTAGCTTATCAAACAAATAAACAAAGAATGATATATCTCAATACAAAAGAAACAAAGAAAGGAAAGCAGGCAGGCAAAGGAAAAGAAAAAGAAAGAAATTAAACAGCAAGAGAGGAGTGAAAGAAGATAAGAATTGAGATATCAAAATACAACAGCTATTAGATCCTATAATAAACCTCAAATACTCCAAAAAGGTTCAGATTAATTAATTGAGTGAATATTATTTGAGCACCTACTATGTACTACACATTGTGGTATTCACTGAAGACATACAGATAAATAAATCACAGTCTTTAGCCTAAAAAATATTACCTAGGTTTACTAGATTTGCCTACAAGAAAAATTAACTATACTAAAAAGCAAAATGTCAAGTGAAGCAGCAAAATGTCAAGTGAGCTGAGCTGCTGGCTAACCAGCCCCTTGCTTCCCCAGAGTGAAGACCAGCCTGGAACCCTGTCCTCAAAGTAGTAGCACCTGAGAAGAGATGCTGGCTGACCAGCCCTGCACTTCCCCCAAATCACAGATGATCCTGGTTCTCTACCCATGGTAGCATAGCCAGCTCCCTCATTCACAAGGGAGCAGACCCCACATAGGTAGACCAGCCACACAAACTTCTGCAGCCTAAGCAACTGAGGCACTCACAGGCATCAATGACATTGACTGTAGCTGAAGAAACTGTATTGAGGCTATGCTATTGTATCCACCCAGTAAAAAGCTAATGCACCCTACCCAACTGACACCCTGGGACATATCTGCAGGTGAGTCTTTCCCCATGAAAGCCACTATACAAAATTGAAAGAGGCAACTGTTTCACAAGATCTGAAGATATCAATGCAAGGATACAAAAAAAACATGAAAAAGCAATAAAATATCTCACTGTTAAAGGAACACAATAGTTCACCAGCAACTGGTCCCAAAGAAATGGAAATGTAGAAACTCCCTGAAAAGGAATTTACAATAATGATATTAAGGAAACTCAGCAGACACAATAAAATCGAAAAGCAATTCATTATGTGAATAAGAAACTCAACAAAAAGATAGATATTATAAAAAAATAACTGAACAGAAATATTGGAGCTAATTTAATGAATGAAAAAATACAATTGAGAGCTTTGATAACAAACTAGATCAAACAGAAAAAAAGAATCTCTAAACTTGAAGCCAGATATTTTCAAATAACCATGTCAGACAAAAGAGAAAGAAAAAAGAGAAAAAGAGAAAGATACATAGATAAGAAAGAAAGAAAAGAAAAAAGAGAGAAAGAGAGAAAGAAAGAAAGATAGATAGATAGAAAGAGCGAGCCAAAGAACCCAAGAGAGCTCATGGGACCCATGGGACATCATTACACAAACAAATGTTATCATTATGGGAATTTAAGAAGGAGAAGAGATGGGAAAAGGCATAGAAAACATATTTAATAAAGTAATAACAGAAAACTTCCAAGTTTTTGAAAAGATATAGACATCTAGATCCAGGAAGGTCAAATATCCCCCAAAAGATTCAACCTAAAAAATTCTTCTCTGAGGCACATTGTAGTCAAACTGTCAAAAGTCAAAGACAGAGAGAATTTTAAAAATAGAAAAAGTGTCAAGTCACATATAAAGGAATCTCCATTAGAATATCAGCATATTTCTCAGCAGAAACTTTATAGGCCAGAAAAGAATAAGATAATATGGTTGAAGTGATGAAAGACAAAAAAAACTTTCAACCAACAATACTATATCCAGAAAAGCTATCCTTCAGAAATCAAGTGTTTCCCTGACAAGTAAAACCTGAGAGAATTCACCATCACTAGACTGGACTCACAAGAAATGCTTAAAAGTCCAATATCTGGAAGCAAAAGGACAATAACTAAGATTGTAAAAACATATAAAACCCAATGGTAGAGCAGATACACAAATCTTAAAGAAAAAGGAATCAAACCTTATTATTACAGAAAAACACCAATCTTCAAAGATAAACAAACAAAAGGAAATACACACCAACCAAAAAAAAAAACACATGACACCTTTCAATAATATCCCTGAATGTAAACTAATTAAAATTTCCACTTAAAAGATACAGACTGGCTGAATTGATTAAAATATAAGACCCAACTACACACTGCCTATGCCTATTAAAAACTCACTTCACCTGTAAAGACGCCCACAGACTGAAAGTGAAGGGATGAAAAAAGATATTTCTGGCAAACAGAACCCAAAAATGATCAGGAGTAGTTATATAGCTATACTTATAACTGATAAAATAGACTTTAAGTAAAACACTGTAAGAGAAACAAAGAAGTTTACTATATAATGATAAAGGGATCAAATCAGCAAAAGGACATATAAATACCAAAAACCAGAGCACTCAGACACATAAGGCAAAAATTATTAGATCTGAAGGGAGAGAAAGACTCCAATACGATAATAGTTGGGTCTTTAAAACCCCAGTCATAGCATTGGAAGGACTATCTACACAGAAAATCAACAAAGAAACTTT
Organism: Homo sapiens; assembly: GCF_000001405.40. Classification (NCBI taxonomy): domain Eukaryota; kingdom Metazoa; phylum Chordata; class Mammalia; order Primates; family Hominidae; genus Homo; species Homo sapiens. The sequence continues at coordinate 112,226,036 of NC_000003.12, forward strand.
GGATTTAAACTGCACTATAGACAGAACATTTCATTCAAGAACAGCAGAATACATGTTCTTCTCATCAGCACACAGATCATTCTCCAGGATAGAGCATATGGTAGGCCACAAAACAAGCCCCCCAAATTTTTAAAAAATTAAAATCATATCAAGTATCTTTTCTGACCACAATGGAGTAAAACTGGAAATCAGTAACAAGAAGAACATTGGAAACTGTACAACCACATGGAAATTAATCATGTTCCTCAACCACTGATAGATCAAGAAAAAAAATTAAGAAGGTAATTCTTTATTTTGAAACAAAAGTAGAAACACAACATATCAAAACCTATGGGATATAGCAAAAGCTGCACTAAGAGGGAAATTTATAGTAATAAACTTTTACATCAAAAAAATAGACAGAGGGCCAGGTGTGGTGGCTTATGCCTGTAATCCCAGCACTTTCGGAGGCTGAGGTGTGCAGATCACTTGAGGTCAGGAGTTTGAGACCAGCCTGGCCAACATGGTGAAACCCCATATCTACTAAAATTACAAAAATTAGCCAGGTGTGGTGGCAAGCACCTTTAATCACAGCTACTCAGGAGGCTGATGTAGGAGAATTGCTTGAATCCAGGAGGTAGAGTTTGCAGTGAGCCAAGATTGCACCACTGCAATCCAGCCTGGGCGATAGAGTAAGACTCCATCCCCCCCCATCCCCCCACACACAAAAGTTCAAAAAACAACTTAATTATGCACCTTAAGGAACTAAAAAAGTAAGAACAAACCAAACCCAAAATTAAGTCAAGGAAAGAAGTAATAAAAATCAGAACTAAAATAAGTGAAATTGACACCAAAAATAATATAAAAGATCAGAAAAACAAAATGTTGTTTTTTAAATAAGAAAAAATTAACAAACCATTAGACTAAGAAAATAAGGAGAGAAGATACAAATAAATTAAATCAGAAGTGAAAAACGAGACACAACAACTGAGACCACAGAAATTCAAGCTATCATTACAGACTATTATGAACAACTATACTCCAACAAATTGGAAAACCTGGGGGGAATGGATAAATTCCTGGACACATAAACCTACTGAGATTGAGCCAGGAAGACATAGGAAGTCCGAATAGACCAATGAAGACTTACAAGATTGCAGCAGTAATATAAAGTCTCCCAAGAAAAAAACATTTTTGAAAGGGAAGGAATTCTTCCAAACTCATTTTATGAGGCTAGCATTACCCTAATACCAACAGCAAACAACACAACAAAAAAAGAAAACTATAGGCTAATATCCCTCATGAACACAGATGCAAAAATCCTCAACAAAATACTAGCAAACAAAGTCTAACAGCACATCAAAAAGATTATACACTATGATCAAGTGGGATTTATCCCAGGAATGCAAGGATATTTAAATATACACAAATCAACACACGTAAGACATCACATTAACAGAAAGACCAAAGCCATTTGATCATCTGAATAGACGCAAAAAACATTTGATAAAATTCAGCATTGTTTCATGATAAAAACTCCCAATAAAGTAGATATACAAGGAATGTACCTAAATACAATAAAACCATATATGACAAATCCACAGCCAAAATCATACGGAATGAGGACAAGTTAAAATCTTATATTTAGGAAAGCTAAAGACTCCACAAAACAACTCCTAGAACTGTTAAACCAATTTAATGAAGTTGCAGGATACAATATTAACAAACAAACAAAATTAGTAGCATTTCTACAGACTAACAGCTAACTATGTGAAAAGAAATCAAAGCATAAATCCCATTTACAATAGCTACCAAAAATACATAAGAATACATTTAACCATGAAAATGAAAGACCTCTACAATGAAAACTATAAAAGACTAATGAAGGAATTGAAGAGAACACAAAAAATGGGAAGACATCCCATGTTCATATATTGGAAGAACAAATCTTGTTAAAATGACCATACTCCCTAAGAATCCTGTGGATTCAACGCAATCCCTAGCAAAATACCAGTGATAGAGAAAACATTCCTAAAATTTGTATGGAACCTCAAAAGACCTCAAGTAGCCAAAGCAATTTTGAGCACAAGGAACAAAGCTGGAGACATTATAATACCCTAGTTCAAAATACACTACAACCAACAAGCTATAGCAACCAACACAGTATAGTACTTGCATAAAAACAGGCACACAGACCAAGAGAACAGAATAGAAAACCCAGGAATATATTACCTATTTATAGCCAACTGATTTTCGACAAAGCCATGAGGAACGTACACTGGGGAAAGAACAGTCTCTTCAATAAATAGTGTTGGGATTAATAGTCATATGCAGATGAATGAAACTAAACCCTTGTCTCTCCTTTATATGAAAATAAACTCAAAATAGATTAAAGACTCACAACTATGAAACCACTAGAAGAAAACGGAGGAGAAACACTTCAAGTCATTGGACTGGGCAAGGATTTCATGGCTACAGTCTCAAAAGCACAGGAAACAAAAGGAAAAATAGACATATGAGATTATATCAAACTAAAATACTACTGCACAGCAAAGGAAGCAATCAATAGAATAATGAGGCAACCTGCAGAACAAAAAGAAATATTTGCAAACTATTCTTCTACTAAGGCATTAATATCCAGAATAGACAAAGAACTCAAACCACCCAACAGCAAAAAACAAACAAACAAATAGTATGATTTAAAAATGAGCAAAGGATCTGAATAGACATTTCTCAAAGACACAAACGGTCAACAAGCACATAAAAAAATTTAACATCACTAGTGAATAGGGAAATGAAAGTCAAAACCATAATGAGATATTATCTTTCCCTGGCTAGAATACAATGTTTATATATGGGGAATGTTTATTGCAGCACAATTCACAATAGCCAAGATAAACAATCAACTAAGTGTCCATCAATAGATGAATGGATACAGAAAATGTCGTATATTTACACAACAGAATACTATTGAGCCATAAAAATGAATAAAATGCTTTCATTTGTGGCAACATGGATAAGACTAGAAGACATTATGTTAAGTGAAAGAAGTCAGGCACAGAAAAAGAAATACTGCTTGTTCTCACTCATATATGGAAGCTATAAAAGTTGACCTCATAGAAGTAGAGTAGAATAGTGGCTCCAAGAGGCTGGGAAGGGTAGGGGGACAGGGGAGCTAGCAGGAATAGGTTGGTTAACAGATACAAAGTTGCAGTTAGATAGGAAGAATAAATTCTAGTGTTCTACAGCACTGCAGGGTGATTATAGTAAACACTAATCTATTGTATTTTTTCATATAGTTAGAAGACAAGATTTTGAACATTCTCAACCGAAAGAAACAATAAAGGTTTGAAGTGATCTATATGCTTATCACCCTTATTTGATCATGACACATGTATACTTGTATTAGAATATTACATTGTGCCTCATAAATATGTATAATTATATGTCAATTAAAACAACAGCAATAAAAATTACCCTCTTGACCCTAAATTTACCTTTCATATTAGAATAAAATATTAGTTTGAAAAGGTAAAATTTAATAACACAATGTACAAAAAGAGATTATCAAGCAAAAGGGTGTATAGATTTTTTTAAGGCTGAGAAAATTGTGTGCGTGTATGTGTGTGTGTATAAAGAATTAGTGGCAATAGGGGTGGGGAATAAGGTGGTGGTGGTGGCAGTGGCAGATTCTTTGATCATGAGTCCAGCTAGAAGGGATATTACAAAAATTGGTGAGCAAGTACATTACTTAGATAGAGAAACAAAACTATCCAGAAAAGTTGTGTGAGCAATGAGAAGGATCAAAATGTGCTGTTAGTTGATATTTCCACAATTTAGTGTTTAATATTCTGTTTTTATTTTCTAGCTCATTGAAAAATTTTTGATTTGGGGAATTTCTGCAGGAAAAGATAGAAATGCAATTTATATTTCCTAAATTATATAGCAGATTATATATACTTTTGGTTAGTCTACCTCATTTTTGACAGTTACAGACAAATGTTTGTAAAATACTCCTTTGTGCTTTCTAAGGAAGCAATTGTTGTGGCTTAAAGAAGCCATGGTTGGCTGTTCAGGTTCACCTATGGTTATCTCAGGACTAGCCCTACTTCATTGTTTCCAGATCCTCTTCTACTCTGAAATCCTGGTCTAGATGTTTCTCTATCCTGTTCCATTGTTTTATATTGACTGACAATTTTTTCCTCTCATTCCTGCTGACTCGGTATATTTAGAAAGCCTGCCTTTGTTTTTGCCTCAGAAGCTGTTCATAGGCAGTTCCCAGGGGAACCCAGGATGACTAGCTTGTCCATTTACATTACAGAACCATGGCCTTGGAGCATCAGATTTAGGAAACATGGAAGAGCTAGCAGGAATATTTGCTACCTCTGTGTTAACTTAGTCATTACTCTGTGGATAGCAATACCTAATTTGGTAGGACAAGTGGAAAATCTGCTGGTGGAATAAAGCACCATGTGGGCATTAGCTTCATCCTCATGGCACGGCCTCAATTGCTTAAAGAAGTTATTTATGTCCTTAAAATAGTTGCCTTTGAAACTCAACTTGTCTGCTAAGACTACTGTTGAAGAGAGAACAATCATACCCTACAGATCTCCCACTTCCCTAGTTAGACTGAGCAGGTAGAGTGATTGGAATCCTACATGGCTGGAATAGCTGAGAAGTGTTCAACAGCTTCACAGGCAGTGAGGAAGGGCCAATATGAACACCCTAAGAGGACAATTCATGGCAAATAGATCTTGATTATTTCAACCTGGAGAGAAAATGAAAACTAGCCTATTAGCAATTTCCAACAGTTTGTATGCTGCTGTGCTACAGCATTTCTCTAATTTTTAGCTAATATTTGAATGAAAACATAATACTCTCTTCAGTCAGCTATTAGAGGATTTGGCTGTATCATTACATGAAAAACTGGCTTGGATCCAGAGATGGGCAATATCACAGAACTGATTGCCTAACACATCTGAAGTTTAACCCCAGTTGCAATTTCTACAATTGGGATCTGTCAAATTCCCAATTCTTCATAAATAAATCACTCTTTACTTAAGTTAATGTGAGTGAATTTCTTTCTTTCCTTCTTTCTCTGTCTTTCGTCTCTCTCTCTCTCTTTTTCTCCCTTTCTTTCTTTCTTTCTCTTTCTTTCTTTTTCTTTCTTTCCTCTCTCTCTTTCTTTTTCTTTCCAATCAAGCAGATTCCTAAGACAATGTCAAACTTCCCTTTGCCTTTGTAAACAATCTATTAAGTGAGCATGATCAAGATGTCTTTATAAAGGAGGAATTTTTCAACATAATTTTTGGCCAAACATAATTTCAAAAGAGAATAATACAGTACTATTTGTGCTGACAAGAGACGCCTGTTGGCCAGCTCCATTGCTTCAGTGTTAAAGATCTCATCTATTTCCTTGTTACAGTGTGGACATTTCACCTTCTGATGTTCTGTTGTTTCTTCTTCGTTCAACTAAATAAAACATAAATAAAAGAACAAAAAATACATGAATATTAACATATTGTTTAGCAAAATCCACAAGCAATTTTTGTACCAGTTTGCATTGAAAAATGGTAGCAAATCTGGTAGATAAGAAAAATGTTCAGATCCTCATCATTTGCTCAAATGTCCTAATCATTTGCTCAGTTATAGAAGGTAAAATAATTGTCAGTTTTGCGGGGAGGAGTTATATCATATCTTTACTTTTACACGGCATTATTAACAGTTTAAAAAGCTATCACATATATGATCATGCTTTACACTAGCAGTTTTCAAAGTGTGGTCTCCCAGCAGCATCAGAATCACCTGGGAATTGTTAGAAACGTGCATTCTCAGATCCCACCTTAGACCTAGTGAATCATAATTGGAGGAGTGGGCGTCAATCTGTGTTTCTAAAACCCCATTTGAAAATTTTGCTGCAGCTAAAGCTTGACAACCACTGCTTTAAAATGATACTTAATGTAAAATAGAAAGTGAACACACGTAAAGGAAATGGGAGTATGAATAATTTACAGATGAGAAACTGAAGCTTAGAGAAAATTGATGATATGCTCAAAATTACAAAGCTATTAAGTGAGAAAGCTAGGCTATAAAGCCAGATTTTCTGATTCCAAGGTTGGTGTTCTATCTTTAATACTATAATATCCCTCATGTTTGCATCACAAAAAGGAGAATGTAGTCATTTGATCCTCTGCCTTCTAAAACAGATCAAGTACCAGAGTGGTGGCCCCAACACTGGCTTCTGCATTAGAATTAGCTGGGTAGTGGACTTAAAATATTCCTGGATCCCTGCTCAGACCACCTGCATAAAAATCTTCAGAGAGTAGGTGAAAACTCAATCAATATTTTGAGTAAACTATCTGGATAATTCTGATGCAGACAAGTCAGCAAAAGTTCACAATCAGGTATTGGAAGCTACTAGAGAAATCTTTGGATATGACATGGTACTTGTTCCATCCAGAAATCCTGGCAGTATTCCTGCAGGCACAAGTGTCAGTTCTAAATTCCTATCTGGAGCTTTAAGCACTGGTTCAGTGGATATGAAATGGATTTTTTCAGAATTCTACTTCATAGAGACTAATTATCTCACCTAAGCACTCCCAGAAGTTGGCCCCTCATATTGTGTTTTGCAAAAAAAACAAAAACAAAAACATTGTAAAAACCATTGAAAACTGGACATGATGTAGGACACGGAAAAGTGCAGCAGCTGTGAAGACCCCAGGACAACTTTTATTATTTCCCTTTAGGGAAACCATGACTGATTAGTGTGCTGAGTGTTCTTAAAAGAATGAGTCTGACTGCAGATATCTTAAAGCATATCTCAGAAGCAGAAGGTGACATCTCCCACAGCTAAACTTTGGCTTTGAATTCTATTTTATATTGAAAATATTTTTAACCATAAATTAAGGTCTAGCAAATGCTTAGATACACAATAGCCTAAATAAATAAACAAAGACCCCTGACCCCTCCCAATTTGGTCAAAAACTAGCCATTTTCTAAGGTTCACTTTCATACACACACACACACACACACACACATATATATATATATATATTATATTTTTTTTTTTTTTAAGAAAGGGTATCTCTTTGCTGCCCAGGCTGGAGTGCAGTGGCACAATCACGGTTCACCACAGCCTCAACCTCCCAGGCTTGAGTGATCTTCCTACCTCAGTCTCCCGAGTAGCGGGGACTACAGATGCACACCACCACCCAACTAATTTTTTGTATATTTTATAGACACATGGTTTTGGCATGTTGCCAGGTTCGTCTCAAACTGCTTGGCTCAAGCAATTCACCTGCCTTGGCTTCCCAAAGTGTTAAGATTACAGGCATGAGCCACTGTGCTGACCTATGATGTCTTTTAAAGGGAGCTCCAATACACAGCCTCCTCTTTTGAATTTAAACATATATATTTTAAACATACACATAAAACATATATTTTATTTTCAAATTTTTGGTATTTCTTGATTCTTTTTTTCATTATACTTTAAGTTCTAGGGTACATGTGCACAATGTGCAAGTTAGTTACATATGTATACATGTGCCATGTTGGTGTGCTGCACCCATTAACTCGTCATTTACATTAGGTATCTCTCGTAATGCTATCCCTCCCCCAACCCCCACCCCACAGCAGTCCCCAGTGTGTGATGTTACCCTTCCTGTGTCCATGTGTTCTCATTGTTCAATTCCCACCTATGAGTGAGAACATGCAGTGTTTGGTTTTTTGTGCTTGTGATAGTTGGCTGAGAATGATGGTTTCCAGCTTCATCCATGTCCCTACAAAGGACATGAACTCATCATTTTTTATGGCTGCATAGTATTCCATGGTGTATATGTGCCACGTTTTCTTAATCCAGTCTATCATTGTTGGACATTTGGGTTGGTTCCAAGTCTTTGCTATTGTGAATAGTGCCACAGTAAACATACGTGTGCATGTGTCTTTATAGCAGCATGTTTTATAATCCTTTGGGTATATACCCAGTAATGGGATGGCTGGGTCAAATGGTATTTCTAGTTCTAGATCCCTGAGGAATTGCCGCACTGTCTTCCACAATGGTTGAACTAGTTTAGAGTCCCACCAACAGTGTAAAAGTGCTCCTATTTCTCCACATCCCTCTCCAGCACCTGTTGTTTCCTGACTTTTTAATGATCGCCATCCTAAGTGGTATGAGATGGTATCTCGTTGTGGTTTTGATTTGCATTTCTCTGATGACCAGTAATGATGAGCATTTTTTCATGTATCTGTTGGCTGCATAAATGTCTTCTTTTGAGAAGTGTCTGTTCATATCATTTGCCCACTTTTTGATGGGGTTGTTTTTACTTGTAAATCTCTTTGAGTTCATTGTAGATTCTGGATATTAGCCCTTTGTCAGATGCGTAGATTGCAAAAATTTTCTCCTATTCTGTAGGCTGCCTGTTCACTCTGATGGTAGTTTCTTTTGCTGTGCAGAAGCTCTTTAGTTTAATTAGATCCCATTTGTCAATTTTGGCTTTTGTTGCCATTGCTTTTGGTGTTTTAGACATGAAGTCCTTGCCCATGCCTATGTCCTGAATGGTATTGCCTAGGTTTCCTTCTAGGGTTCTTATGGTTTTAGGTCTAACATTTAAGTCTTTAATCCATCTTGAATTAATTTTTGTGTAAGGCATAAGGAAGGTATCCAGTTTCAGCTTTCTACATATGGCTAGCCAGTTTTCCCAGCACCGTTTGTTAAATAGGGAATCCTTTCTCCATTTCTTGTTTTTGTCAAGTTTGTCAAAGATCAGATAGTTGTAGATGTGTGGTATTATTTCTGAGGACTCTGTTCTGTTCCATTGTCTAGATCTCTGTTTTGGTACAAGTACCATGCTGTTTTGGTTAGTGTAGCCTTGTAGTATAGGTTGAAGTCAGGTAGCATGATGCCTCCAGCTTTGTTCTTTTGGCTTATGTTTGACTTAGCAATGTGGGCTCTTTTTTGGTTCCACATGAACTTCAAAGTAGATTTTTCCAATTCTGTGAAGAAAGTCATTGGTAGCTTGATGGGGATGGCATTGAATCTATAAATTACCTTGGGCAGTATGGCCATTTTCACGATATTGATTCTTCCTATCCATGAGCATGGAATGTTCTTCCATTTGTTTGTATCCTCTTTTATTTCGTTGAGCAGTGGTTTGTAGTTCTTGAAGAGGTCCTTCACATCCCTTGTAAGTTGGATTCCTGGGTATTTTATTCTCTTTGAAGCAATTGTGAATGGGAGTTCACTCATGATTTGGCCCTCTGTTTGTTTGTTATTGGTGTATAAGAATGCTTGTGATTTTTGCACATTGATTTTGTATCCTGAGACTTTGCTGAAGTTGCTTATGAGCTTAAGGAGATTTTGGGCTGAGACGATGGGGTTTTCTAAATATACAATCATGTCATCTGCAAACAGGGACAATTTGACTTCCTCTTTTCCTAATTGACTACCCTTTATTTCCTTCTCCTGCCTGATTGCCCTGGCCAGACCTTCCAACACTATGTTGAATAGGAGTGGTGAGAGAGGGCATCTCTGTCTTGTGCCAGTTTTCAAAGGGAATGCTTCCAGTTTTTGCCCATTCAGTATGATATTGGCTGTGGGTTTGTCATAGATAGCTCTTATTATTTTGAAATACGTCCCATCAATACTATTAAGAGTTTTTAGCATGAAGGGCTGTTGCATTTTGTCAAAGGCCTTTTCTGCATCTATTGAGGTAATCATGTGGTTTTTGCCTTTGGTTCTGTTTATATGCTGGATTACATTTATTGATTTGTGTATGTTGAACCAGACTTGCATCCCAGGGATGAAGCCCACTTGATCATGGTGGATAAGCTTTTTGATGTGCCACTGGATTTGGTTTGCCAGTATTTTATTGAGGATTTTTGCATCAATGTTCATCAGGAATATTGGTCTAAAATTCTTGTTTTTTGTTGTGTCTCTGCCAGGCTTTGGTATCAGGATGATGCTGGCCTCATAAAATGAGTTAGGGAGGATTCTCTCTTTTTCTATTGATTGGAATAGTTTCAGAAGGAATGGTACCAGCTCCTCCTTGTACCTCTGGTAGAATTCGGCTGTGAATCCATCTGGTCCTGGACTTTTTTTGGTTGGTAAGCTATTAATTATTGCTTCCATTTCAGAGCCTGTTATTGGTCTATTAAGAGATTTAACTTCTTCCTGGTTTAGTCTTGGGAGGGTGCATGTGTCGAGGAATTTATCCATTTCTTCTAGATTTTCTAGTTTATTTGTGTAGAGGTGTTTATGGTATTCTCTGATGGTAGTTTGTATTTCTGTGGGAGTGGTGGTGACATCCCCTTTATCATTTTTTATTGCATCTATTTGGTTCTTCTCTCTTTTCTTCTTTATTAGTCTTGCTGGTGGTCTATCAATTTGGTTGATCTTTTCAAAAAACCAGCTCCTGGATTCATTGATTTTTTGAAGGGATTTTATGTCTCTATTTCCTTCAGTTCTGCTCTGATCTTAGTTATTTCTTGCCTTCTGCTAGCTTTTGAATGTGTTTGCTTTTGCTTCTCTAGTTCTTTTCATTGTGATGTTAGGGTGTCAATTTTAGATCTTTCCTGCTTTCTCTTGTGGGCATTTAGTGCCATAAATTTCCCTCTACACACTGCTTTGAATGTGTCCCAGAGATCCTGGTATGTTGTGTCTTTGTTCTCATTGGTTTCAAAGAACATCTTTATTTCTGCCTTCATTTTGTTATGTACCCAGTAGTCATTCAGGAGCAGGTTGTTTAGTTTCCATGTAGTTGAGCGATTTTGAGTGAGTTTCTTAATCCTGAGTTCTAGTTTGATTGCACTGTGGTCTGAGAGATTGTTGTGATTTCTCTTCTTTTACATTTGCTGAGGAGTGCTTTACTTCCAACTATGTGGTCAGTTTTGGAATAAGTGCAGTGTGGTGCTGAGAAGAATGTATATTCTGTTGGTTTGGGGTGGAGAGTTCTGTAGATGTCTGTTAGGTCCGCTTGGTGCAGAGCTGAGCTCATTTCCTGGATATCCTTGTTAACTTTCTGTCTCATTGATCTGTCTAATGTTGACAGTGGGGTGTTAATTTCTCCCATTATTATTGTGTGGGAGTCTAAGTCTCTTTGTAGGTCTCTAAGGAGTTGCTTTATGAATCTAGGTGCTCCTGTATTGGGTGCATATATATTTAGGAGAGTTAGCTCTTTTTGTTGAACTGATCCCTTTACCATTATGTAATGGCCTTCTTTGTCTCTTTTGATCTTCGTTGGTTTAAAGCCTGTTTTATCAGAGACAAGGATTGTAACTCCTGCCTTTTTTGTTTTCTGTTTGCTTGGTAGATCTTCCTCCATCCCTTTATTTTGAGCCTATGTGCACGTGAGATGGGTTTCCTGAATACAGCACACTGATGGGTCTTGACTTTTCATCCAATTTGCCAGTCTGTGTCTTTTAATTGGAGCATTTAGCCCATTTACATTTAAGGTTAATATTGTTATGTGTGAATTTGATCCTGTCATTATGATGTTAGCTGGTTATTTTGCTCGTTAGTTGATGCAGTTTCTTCCTAGCATCGATGGTCTTTACAATTTGGCATGTTTCTGCAGTGGCTGGTACCGGTTGTTCCTTTCCAGGTTTAGTGCTTCCTTCAGGAGCTCTTGTAGGGCAGGCCTGGTGGTGACAAAATCTCTCAGCATTTGCTTGTCTGTAAAGGATTTTATTTCTCCTTTGCTTATGAAGCTTAGTTTGGCTGGATATCAAATTCTGGGTTGAAAATTCTTTTCTCTGAGAATGTTGAATATTGGCCCCCACTCTGTTCTGGCTTGTAGAATTTCTGCCGTGAGATCAGCTGTTAGTCTGATGGTCTTCCCTTTGTGGGTAACCCAACTTTTCTCTCTGGCTGCCCTTAACATTTTTTCTTTCATTTCAACTTCGGTGAATCTGACAATTATGTGTCTTGGAGTTGCTCTTCTCGAGAAGTATCTTTGTGGCATTCTCTGTATTTCCTGAATTTGAATGTTGGCCTGCCTTGCTAGATTGAGGAAGTTCTCCTAGATAATATCCTGCAGAGTGTTTTCCAACTTGGTTCCATTCTCCTCGTCACTTTCAGGTATACCAATCAGACGTAGATTTGGTCTTTTCACATAGTCCCATATTTCTTGGAGACTTTGTTCATTTCTTTTTATTCTGTTTTCTCTAAACTTCTCTTCTCACTTCATTTCATTCATTTGATCTTCCATCACTGATACCCTTTCTTCCAGTTGATTGAATCGGCTACTGAAGCTTGTGCATTCGTCACGTAGTTCTCGTGCCATGGTTTTCAGCTCCATCAGGTCCTTTAAGGACTTCTCTGCAATGGTTATTCTAGTTAGCCATTCGTCTAATCTTTTTTCAAGTTTTTTAACTTCTCTGCGATGGGTTCGAACTTCCTCCTTTAGCTTGGAGATGTTTGATCATCTGAAGCCTTCTTCTCTCAACTCGTCATATTCATTCTCTGTCCAGCTTTTTTCTGTTGCTGGTGAGGAGCTGCGTTCCTTTGGAGGAGGAGAGGTGCTCTGATTTTTAGAATTTTCAGTTTTTCTGTTCTGTTTTTTCCCCATCTTTGTGGTTTTATCTACCTTTGGTCTTTGATGATGGTGATGTACAGATGGGGTTTTGGTGTGGATGTCCTTTGTGTTTGTTGTTTTTCCTTCTAACAGGCAGGACCCTCAGCTGCAAGTCTGCTGGAGTTTGCTGGAGGTCCACTCCAGACCCTGTTTGCCTGGGTATCAGCAGCAGAGGCTGCAGAACAGCGAATATTGCTGAACAGGCAATGTTGCTGTCTGATTGTTCCTCTGGAGGTTTCCTCTCAGAGGGGTACCCGGCCATGTGAGGGGTCAGTCTGCCCCTACTGGGGGGTGCCTCCCGGTTAGGCTATTCAGGGGTCAGGGACCCACTTGAGGAGGCAGTCTGTCTGTTCTCAGATCTCAAACTCCATGCTGGGAGAAACACTACTCTCTTCAAAGCTGTCAGATAGGGACATTTAAGCCTGCAGAGGTTTCTGCTGCCTTTTGTTCAGCTATGCCCTGCCCCCAGAGGTGGAGTCTACAGAGGCAGGCAGGCCTCCTTGAGCTGCAGTGGGCTCCACCCAGTTCGAGCTTCCTGGTGGCTTTGTTTACTTACTCAAGCCTCAGCAATGGTAGGCGCCCCTCCCCAGCCTCACTGCCACCTTGCAGTTTGATCTCAGACTGCTATGCTAGCAATGAGCTAGCTCCGTGGGTGTGGGACCCTCCGAGCCAGGTGCGGGATATAATCTCCTGGTGTGCTGTTTGCTAAGACCATTGGAAAAGCACAGTATTAGGGTGGGAGTGACCCAATTTTCGAGGTGCCATCTGTCACAGCTTTGCTTGGCTACGAAACGGAATTCCCTGACCCCTTGCGCTTCCTGCGTGAGGCGATGCCTCGCCCTGGTTCAACTCACACTGGGTGCACTGCACCCACTGTCCTGCATCCACTGTCTGACAAGCCCCAGTGAGATGAACCTGGTACCTCAGTTGGAAATGCAGAAATCACCCGTCTTCTGCATCACTCATGCTGGGAGCTGTACACTGGAGCTGTTCCTATTTGGCCATCTTGGAACCATGCCCCCAAAACATATATTTTAAACATATATATTCAAAGGGGTTATGACTTCTACTTTGCCCCACAGTGATCATGAAGTTCCTTAACACTCCCCCTTACTACTTTGTTAAATAGAGTTATTAACATGACTTCTCTATCAATTACAAATATTAAAACTTGTGAATTAATATTTATGATCTGATTTATACTTCAGTATAATCAAATCTGCATTAAAGCAATAAAAAAGATATTACTTGCTTACCATGTATGGGTTTTCAAGTGTAATTGCTTTCTCAATCATGTTCCAATCAGCATTAGCAAGATCTTTGTCAAATTTAAGGGCAGAGGCTGCAGACTTGGTTAGCTCTTGAAAGTGTTGAAATGTGCAACAAACCGATTTATATTTTGTTGATGTGGCATCACGAAGACCTTTGATACAAACACACATTTGATAAATAGTAGAAACACCACAATTTTGATATGGGTTAGAAAGCTTACTTTTGTTTTTAACTTATTGTCACTAATCTTTAAATAAAATTTCAACATAAACTGTTTAATAATGGGAATACTAAAGAGTTAAACATTTTCTGCTTTCATATTTCTTCTCACAAAAGGTGAGGCATGTAATAGTAATAGCTAATGTTTATTGAGTGCTTACTATATTCTGCAAAAGTGCATTTCAGCACTTTTCATGCATTAAGTTTTTGGTTATTTGGCCACCTTTTGAGGTGAGTCCTTTTTCCCAGTTTGATATATGAGGAAACAAAGAAACAGAGGTATAATGGTTAGTTTCATTTGTCAACTTAACTGGGCCACAGGGTGCCCATATATTCAGTTAAACATTCTGGGTGTGTCTGTGAGTGTTTTTGGATGAGGGTGACATTTAAATTGGTAGACTGAGTAAAGTACATTGTCTTTCCCAATGTGGGTGGGCCTCATCCAATCTGTTGGAGGCCTCAATAAAACAAAAGTCTGAACAAGAGAGAATTTGTTGTCTCTGCCTTATGGTCTTTGAGCAGGGACTTCAGTCTTCTCCTACCTTCAGACTTTAGCTGGAACTTGTACCATTGGCTCTTGGTTCTCAGGCCTTTGGAATGCATACTTTGGGACTTAGCTTCCATAACCTCATGAGCCAGTTAAGCACATATGATAAATTATCTGCATTATCTTTTAAGATTCCAATCTCTTGAGCTATCTTTTTGTTCTAGAATACATCCAGTTTCTAGCTTCCTAAGAAATTTAGCACCTGTTGTGTTTTCTGAAGATCATTACGTTAAGTGAAATAAGCCACACACAGAAAGACAAACATCACATATTCTCACTTATTTGTGGGATCTAAAAATAAAAACAATTTAACTCATGGACATAGAGGGTAGAATGATGGTTAACAGAGACTGAGAAAGGTGGTGGGGGGATGGGGGCAGGTGGGGATGGTTAACAGGCACAAAAATATAGAAAGAATAAATAAGACTTACTATTTGACAACACAATAAGGTGACTATAGTCAATAATACCTTTACATTTTAAGAATAATTTAAAGAGTCATATTTTAAATTTTAAACATTTTTAAAGTTTTACATTTTAAGAATAATTTAAAGAGCAATTGAATTATTTGTAATTCAAAGGGTAAATGCCTGAAGGGATGGATATCCTATTCCCTATGATGTGCTTATTTCACTTTGCATGCCTGTACCAAAACATCTCGGGTACCCCACAAACATATACACCTACTATGTACCAACAAACATTTTAAAAATAAAAAAGAAGAAAATAGCCACAAAAAAAGAGAAATATCTAGGAATAGAGCTAACGAAGGAGGTGAAAGATCTCTACAAGGCGAACTATAAAACACTGTGAAAGTAATCAGAGATGACACAAATAAATGGAAAAACATTCCATGCTCATGGATTGAAAGAATCAATATCATTAAAATGGCCACATTATCCAAAGCAATATGCAGATTCAACACAATTTCTATTGAACTACTAATGTCATTTTTCACAGGATTAGAGAAAAACAGTTCTAAAATTTACATAGAACCAAAAGAGAGCCCAAATAGCCAATGCAATCCTAAGCAAACAGAACGAAGCCAGAAGCATCACACTACTTGACTTCAAACTATACTACTAGTCTACAGTAACCAAAATAACATGGTATTGGTACAAAAACAGATACATAGCTCAATGGGACAGAATAGAGAACCCAGAAGAAAAGCTGCATGCTTACAGTCATCTGATGTTTGACAAAGCTGACAAAAACAGACAATGGGGGATGGATTCCCTATTCAGTAAATGGTGCTGCGATAACTGGCTAGCTGTATGCAGAACAATGAAACTGGACCTCTACCTTTCACTATATACAAAAATTTACTCAAGATGGATTAAATATTTAAATGTAAGACCTCAATTATAAAAGTCCTAGAAGAAAACCCAGGAAATAAATGTTTCCACACCAGCCTTGAGAAATAATTTTTGGCTAAGTCCCCAAAAAAATTGTAACAAAACAAAAATTGACAAGCAACACCTAATTAAACTAGAGAGTTTCTGCAAAGCAAAAGAAACTATTAATAGAGTAAACAGACAACCTATAAAATGGGAGAATAGATTAGCAAACTATACATCTAACAAAGGTCTTATATCCAGAATCTACAAGGAACTTAAAGCAACAGGCAAAAAACAATCCCATTTAAAAATTGGCAAAGGTTAAGTGTCCATCAACAGATGAATGGATAAAGAAAATATACATATACACAATGGCATACCATTAAGCTATTAAAAAGAATGAGATCCTGTCATTTGCAACAGCATGGATGGAACTGGAGGTCATGTTAAGTGAAATAAGCCAGGCACAGAAAGAAAAACTTTGCATGTTCTCACTTATTTGTGGGAGCTAAAAATTAAAACAATTAAACTTATGGAGATAGAGAGTAGAATGATGATTAACCAGAGCCTGTGAAGAGTAGTGGGGAGGTAAGGGGAAATTTGGGTGGTTAATGCATTCAAAAAATAGAAAGAATGAAAAAGATCTGGCATTTGATAGCACGATAGGGTGACTATAGTCAAGAATAATTAATTGTGCATTTAAAAATAACTAAAAGAGCACAATTGGATTGTTTGTAACACAAAGGATAAACACCTGAGGTGATGGATACTCCATTTACCCTAATTGATTATTACACATTCTATACCCGTATCAAAATATCTCATGCACCCCATAAATATATACAACTACTATGTATCCACAAAAATTAAAACGAAAAAAAAGTCTTAATGGGCAAAGAACATGAACAGACACTTCTCAAAAGAAGGCATACAAGTGGCCAACAAACACATGAAAAAATGCTCATCATCACTAATCATAAAAGAAATGCAAATCAAAATCACAATGAGATACCATCTCACACCAGTTAGAATGGTTATTATTAAAAAGTCAAAAAATAACAGATGCTGGCAAGGCTGTGGGGAAAAGGGAACACATATACTGTTGGTGAGAAAGGAGAATGTAAATTAGTTCAGCCACTGTGGAAAGCAGTTTGGAGATTTCTCAAATAACTATAAACAGAACTACCATTCAAGCTAGCCACCCCAAGATAGCCAAAGGAAAATATATCATTCTACAAAAAAGATACATTCACTTGTATGTTCATCACAGCATTATTCACAATAGCAAAGAGATGGAATCAACCTAAGTGTCCATCAATGGTGGAATGGATAAAGAAAATGTGGTACAGATACACCATTGAATACTATGCAGCCATAAAAAAGAACAAGATTATGCCCTTTGCCGCAACATGGATAAAGCCAGAGACCACTATCCTAAGTGAATTAATGCAGGAGCAGAAAATCCAATATCTTTTGTGGGAACTAAACATTGAGTACACATGAACATAGAGATGGGAATAGTGGATACCAGGGAGTACTAGAGTGGGGAAAGAGAAATGGGATGTGAGTTGAAAAGCTACCTTTTGGGTACTGTGGTCACTACCTTGGTGATGAGATCTGTACCTCAAACCTCAGCATCACACAATATACCCATGTAACCAACCTGCACATGTCAAATAAAATTTGAAAAAAATTAGGCACCACTGACTTGTATTTATATAATTTATATGGATTCTTTTTTTTTTTTTTTGAGACAGGGTCTTGCTCTCTTGCCCAGGGTGGAGTGCAGTGGTGTGATCTTGCCTCACTGCAGCATCAGCCTCCTGGGTTCCAGCGATCCTCCCCAATCAGCCTTCCAAATAGCTAGGACAACAGGTGTGCACTGCCACGCCTGGCTAATTTTTAAACTTTTTGTAGAGACGGGGGTCTCACTATGTTGCCTAGGCTGTATATGGATTCTTTCTTTATTATTAGCACTTCTTTACCATACTTAGAATGTTTTTCTCTCCACAGGAATAGTAACTGTTAGGGCTTACCTAGTATAGTAACTGCCACTGGCAAAATAAATCTATTGACAACAAGGGTTATTAGGCATACTAACACTCCATGAAATAATATCTAGAATTGAAAAAAATACAAAGTAAGTATTCATGACAATTTCATATAATATAGCCTATATTTACCAATATAAATTAAGCTATTTTCCAATATAAATTAAGCTAGGTTGTACTGTGTTAATAGATGCTCATGGCAGGGGAGGAATTAATCTAAGATGAAAGCACTCTGGGTATTCTCTATCTTCCTGCATGTAATTCATCCATGTTTTGTTACCAAACCGAAATTAGGACACAAGTTTTGACAAGTAAATCAATACTTATACAGACATTGGGAAGGAATATTTATCTTTGAATTCCACTGTTGCACTTCCTGGTAGCTGAGAATACACTTATACTTTATCAATCCTTATCCACTATACAAACCTGGCTGTGCATGGCCACACCGTTCTCTATTCAACATTACCAGCATATCTGCATCAAACAATTCTCCTCACCTGGGAAAGGAGAACAACTCAAGGCCCTTGATATGTTTTCTCCACCTCACACTTTGCCTCACTGGTACCCTTTCATTGTCAGGAAGAAGGAGTAATAAATGTCTTTGGTGCCACTTGATATCTTTATCTACTTGTATCTCAAGTCAGTCTTGATAGACAAATGAACTAACACTTTTCAATCTGAGGCTACACATTTTTGGGGATTTATGGAATTCCAACTTCCAGAATTTATGTTTCACCCTAGCTAGTCTTCTGTTCTGTATCCACAGATGGAATTAGGGATAGAGCATGAAACCACACTAGAGGCTCCCAAAGTTGCACATTAGAATCATAAGGGAAACTTTAAGATATTGGTACTCAGGAGGTCCCCACTGAATATTCTGATCTAATTCGTCAAGGGTGCAGCCCAAGCATTGGTAATAAGGAAATCTGAGGTATAATGTACATACATTGAAATGTACTCAAGTACCATTTTGTCAGTTTTGACAGTGTATATCTACTCATATAACTCTCAATCCTATCAAGATGCAAAATATCTCACATCCCCAAAATTTCTCTAATGCTCCTTCCTAATAAGTCATTCACCAATGAGAGGCAGCTAGTATTTTGATTTCTACTTCTGTAGATAAGAATTGCCAATTCTAAAATCTTCGTATAAATTAAATAGCATATGACATGTCTCACTGTGATTTTAATTTGCATTTCCTTAGAGTAGTAATGTTGAATACTTCTAACATGCATATTAGTACACATCTTTCTTTTTGAAGAAGTGTCTGTTCAAATATGTTGTACGTTTTTAAAAAAATTGGGTTACCATTGTATTTTCTTCAAAAAATTTTACAGTTTTTGATTTTATATTTAAGTCTATGGTCCATCTCAAATCAGTTTTAGGTATGGTGTGAGGTAAAAATAGAGTTTTTCTTTTTTTTTTTCTAAGTGAATCCAGTAGTTCAGCACCATTTATTGAAAAAAATATTTTTTCTCTCATTGAACTGTTTCAGAATCTGTGTCAAAAACCAATTCACCATATATGTGAGTCTTTTTTGAATTCCTTATTATACTCCATCTTTTTTTATTCTTATGCCAGCATGCTACTGAATTACTGTATTTTTATAATAAGTCCTGATATCAGATAGTATAAGTCCTTAAATTTCGTTCTTCCTTTTCAAAATTATTAGGGCTATCCTCAGTTTTCTGTATTTCTATATGGAGTTTAGATTTTGGGTATCTATTTCTAAAATCTTCTGGGATTGGAATTGCAATGAGTATAGTGACATCCTAATAATTCCAAGTCTTCAAATCCATATTGGAATATATATTTTACATAGGTTTTTAAAAATGTGTCTCAACAATGCCATGTTGTTTTCAGTGCACGAGTCTTGCATATTTTGGAAAGAAGCCTCTAACTTGGCTCTCAGAGGTATCCATCTCTTGATACTTAGTCATCTTTTTTTTTTGTAAGTCAGGTGTTCATTTATTAAATACAAGTTTTGAACTAACTCTGCCAGGCAAGTTTGACAAGAAGCAACCTTCCTGAAATGTTTCAAAATACGGTCATGTTGATTATATTTTATTTCAAGCAACCTTTTTGTTCTTCATTTTCTGTTTCTGGGTTTATTTCCTGGTGAGCAGTTAGAGCATGTGCATTATTTCCTCACATGACATCAAGAGTGCAGCATCAGCCTCTGGCTTGTAAAGGCACCCAGTAGGCTTATGTTCTGTACAATCGCTGCTTAGCAACCAGCATCAAGTAAAGTAATTAAGCTTTTGTAGAGTGTGGTACCAAATAGCAACTGGCACCTTCACCTGCACCATTAAAAAACCTTTAAAGTTTCCTTCAGTTTTGAGATATCCATTAAAAACTATATTAAAAAAACAAAACCCAGACTTCTTGATAAAATGTACTTAAACGATTTTCCAAGTTTAGTATTAGCCTCTTGGTAAGTTATGAGCAATACCAGAGCTGAGTAAGAGTCGTCATTTTCCTATCATACTCCAGCAAAGCCAATAAATAAAACTAGGTATGTTAGAAAGTCTGCCCTACTAGATTTAGAGCTGCTTCTAAGTTCCAGACAAAACACCTTTTTAAGCTTCCAAGTGTATATGCACACAGTGTTGTACCAAGATGATAACTTTTTAAAATCTAATTTTTTAGATGTCCTTAAATTACTTCACAGAAAGAAAAAAGGCACAGAGGACACTTGGTTTCCTCACCAGTGGTGGCCTTAAGCTACACACTTGCCTGTGCTAAGAGTTTAAAGATATTCAGCAGCATTAATGGTGCCATAGCCCTTCATAGAAAGTTTCAGGAAAAGAGCTTAAAAAGCAGAAGAAAAGCTTGCCAAAAAGGCTTACAATCTGAAGGTTAAATGCAGAAGAATACAGACAGAGACTAGAGGCAGCACCAAGGTTGTTAACCAGGAAGCTGCTGAGAATAGCTGCTTTCTGAGGTTTCTTCCCCATTTTCCTCCAGTTTTCTCCTGAAAACTCTGGTCTTTTCCCCTCTTGTTTTTAAAATGAAAACATCCTGTTAGATTGGGTTTGGAGGATAAATGCAAATAGGCAGAAGCTTATTTTATACAGAGTTCATTCTCAGAGAGGAAAAGGAGAATAATAAATATTGAATGAAGCTAATTTTAGAAAATAAGCAAATCCTGTCAACGCATGCTTTAGAGGCCCAGGGAGCACACTGAATGAATCTTACATTCTGGCATTTGCAAAAGTGTCCTCAACTTCCTTTTTCATTTATAAGCACAGCAATAGGCAACATCTATTTTATATCTAGGGTGGAAAGCCCTCTTAGATTTGAGGCTTTCCAGCTGATACCATCAAAAAAACATCAAGGACTGCTTATAGCAATTTGTGTTGAAATATAAAACTATTTTATTTGATCTTTCAACCATAGTTAATAACGTGCTCCAAATGAAGCAGTGACACCCATTTCTCAATCTTATCATTTTTCTTGTCACTTATGACATCTCTGGGCTTAGAAAGATGGTGATATAAAGACAACCCATAGGGGAGTGTCCCTACTCAGCATATTAAGCTGCACAATTGAGTAGTGAGCTCAAGCTCAACTTATGAAAGTGGCGTCCATCCACCTACTAACTACACCAGGCTAAGTGGATATTTAAAATGTCTTGTGGACAAGGTTGTGCTCAAATTCCTACTTTGTTAATTGAATGCCTAACTCTGTGATAGAAGCAGCTCTTAGAAGTCAGGTCACAAGCCCAAATATTAACCATATACATTTTATAATATCAGAACTTTGTCAAGAATGAGTATGTTAGCAAACATGGCCACATACTGCATACATCTCACTCTGGAAGAGAAAATGTAAAGTGGTACTCAGTTTACTCTTGAGTGTGTGTGTGTGTGTGTGTGTGTGTGTATCTCACACGCTGAAATATACTGTTGATATTACTTAGTCATCTTAAATATGGACTAGACGTATTGACTCACTTCTAATAAATAGAATATGAAGAAGTAATGGGAAGTGACTTTCAAAATTAGGTTATAAAAAGACCGTGGCTTCCGTCTTGAGGGTTTGCTCTCTCTAGCTCTCTTGCTTATTCATTCTGAGAGAAGCCAGCTACCATATTGCAAGCTGACCTATGGAGAGGTCCAAATGACAAAGAGGCTTCTGGCCAAGAGTCAACAAGAAACTAAAGCCCTTAGTTCACTGCCTTCAAACAACTGAATCTTGTCAACAAAACCACACAATCAGCTTAGAAG
The DNA here is from genome assembly GCF_000001405.40 of Homo sapiens. Taxonomy (NCBI): domain Eukaryota; kingdom Metazoa; phylum Chordata; class Mammalia; order Primates; family Hominidae; genus Homo; species Homo sapiens. The sequence continues at coordinate 112,248,245 of NC_000003.12, forward strand.
CAGATTCTCTAGCCCCAGTTGAGCCTTTTGATGGCTGCACTCCCAATTTATGCTTAAATGCAAGTTTATGAGAGAAACAATCAGAGGCACTCAGTTAATTTATACTCATATTCTTGACTCACAGAAACTGAGATAATAAATGTTTCTTGTTTCAAGCCACTGAATTTTGGGACAATTTTTTTACATAGCCATAGATAATGATAACTGATACATATGTATTTCATTATTTTTGTTACTATGACATGTTTTTGATGCCATTATTATGTTCTTTATTTCATTTTTCTGTTAGTTGCTAGTATATAAAAATATAATTTAGTTTTGTATACTGAACATGAATTTCATGATTTCGCTAAATTCACTTATTAGTTCTACTGGTTATTTAGTATCTACCAGTTTGTGTGCCTTTTTTCTCCCTATTGCCTGAGGTAGGACATTGAGCATAATGTTCCACAAAAATGAAGAAAGCAGATATATTTGCCCTTATTTGAAACTTAAGGGAAAGTATTCAGTATTCAACCATTAAGTGTCACTTATCATTAAGCTTTTAAGTTTTTCTTTTTAAATAAATCCCCTCTATCCGATTAAAGTAGTTTTCTTCAAACTCTATTTCACAAAAAGTTTTCTATGTATAAAATCATATCTTCTGCACACAAAGATAGTTTTACTTAATCTCTTCTTATTTAGGTGCCTTTTATTTCTTTCTCTTGCCTGATTGCTCTGGCTAGGACTCTCAGAACTGTGTTGAACAGGAATGGTGAAAATGGGCATCCTTGTTTTGTTCCAGCTCTCAAGGGGAATGCTTCCAGCTTTTGCTGATTCTGTATGATGTTGGTTGTGGGCTTGTCATAGAGGGCTCTTCTTATTTTGAGGTATCTTCCTTCAATGTCTAGATTTTTAAGGGTTTTGAACATGAAGTAATGTTGGATTTTATCAAAAGCCTTTTCTGCATCTATTGAAGTAATCACATGATTCCAGTTTTTAGTTCTGTTTATGTGATGAATCACATTTACTTATTTGTATGTATTGAATCTACCTGGCATCCAAAGGATAAAGCCTACTAGATCATGGGTAGATTAGCTTTTTGATTTGTTGCTGGATTGGGTATGTCAGTATTTTGTTGAGGATTTTTGCATCTATATTCTTCAAGGATATTGGCCCGAAGTTTTATTTTTCTGTTGTGTCTCTGCTAGCTCTGCCAGGTTTTGCTATTAGGATGATGCTGGCCTCATAGTGTAAGTTAGAGAGGAGTCTATTCTAAATTTTTTGGAATAGTTTTAGTAGAAGTGGTACCAGCTCTTTAAAGTACAATTCATCTATGAATTTGTTTGGGCTTTTTCTAGTTGGTAGGTTATTAGATGCAGAATCAATTTTGGAACTCGTTATTGGTCTGTTCAGGGTTTCAATTTATTCCTGGTTTAATCTTGGGAGTTTGTTGTTTCCAATAATTTATCTATTTCTTGTAGGTTTTCTAGTTTGTGTGCAGAGGTGTTCACAGCATTTTCTGAGGGATTCTTGTATTTCTGTGGGGTTGGTGGTAATGTCCTCTAAGTCATTTCTGATTGTGTTTATTTGGATAATCTCTTTTATTCTTTATTAGTCTAGCTAGCAACCTATCAATCTTATTTATTGTTTCAGATAACCAACTTCTGGTTTCATCGATGTTTTCTATGTTTTTTTTTAAATTATACTTTAAGTTTTAGGGTACATGTGCACAACGTGCAGGTTAGTTACATATGTATACATGTGACATGTTGGTGTGCTGCACCCATTAACTCGTCATTTAGCATTAGGTATATCTCCTAATGCTATCCCTCCCCCTCCCCCCACCCCACAACAGTCCCCAGTGTGTGATGTTCCCCTTCCTGTGTCCATGTGTTCTCATTGTTCAATTCCCACCTATGAGTGAGAACATGCGGTGTTTGGTTTTTTGTCCTTGCGACAGTTTGCTGAGAATGATGGTTTCCAGCTTCATCCATGTCCCTACAAAGGACGTGAACTCATCATTTTTTATGGCTGCATAGTATTCCATGGTGTATATGTGCCACATTTTCTTAATCCAGTCTATCATTGTTGGACATTTGGGTTGGTTCCAAGTCTTTGCTATTGTGAATAGTGCCACAATAAACATACCTGTGCATGTGTCTTTATAGCAGCATGTTTTATAATCCTTTGGGTATATACCTAGTAATGGGATGGCTGGGTCAAATGGTATTTCTAGTTCTAGGTCCCTGAGGAATCACCACACTGACTTCCACAATGGTTGAACTAGTTTACAGTCCCACCAACAGTGTAAAAGTGTTCCTATTTCTCCACATCCTCTCCAGCACCTGTTGTGTCTATGGTTTTTCACAACTCAAAAAAGAATGTAGACATATAGATGGCCAACACACACGTGAAACATGTGAAAATCGCTATCACCAGAGAAGTGCAAATCAAAACCACAATGAGATGCCACCTCACACCACTCAGACTGGTTATTACTAAAAAGTCAAGAAATAACCGGTGCTGGCAAGTTTGCAGAGAAAAAGGGACAGTTATATACTGCTGGTGGGAATGTAAATTAAGGCAGCCACAGTGGAAAGCAGTTTGGTGACTTCTCAAAGAACTTGGAACTACCATTCGACCCAGCAATCCCATTATTGGGTATTTATCTAAGAGAATATAAATTGTTCTACCATAAAGACATATGCATGTGTATGTTCATCACAGCACTATTCACAAGAGTAAATACATGAAATCAAGCAAAATGCCCATCAATTGTAGACTGGATAAAGAAAATGTGGTACAGATACACCATGGAATACTATGCAGTCATAAAAAGAACAAGATTGGGAAACTGACCAAGATGGCTGGCTAGAAGCAGCTAGTATGCACCTCTATCATGGAGAGAAATAGAAGGGGTGAGTAAATACAGTGTTTTCAGCTGAAACATCCAGGTACACACACTGGGATTCATAAAGCAAAAAACTTGACCCACAGAGAACAAGGAAAATCAAGGCAGGATGACCACCCACCTAGGAGTGACACAGAGTCAGGGGAGCCTCCCCTACACAGGGAAGTGGTGTGTGAGTGACTGATTCCGGGCACCCATTCTTCTCCCATGGATCTTTGCAACCCTCAGGTCAGGAAATCCCCTCATGAACCGACTCCATCAAGGCCTTCAGTCTAACATGGAGTCTTAGCAGAGCAGCCATCCAAGCACACGTGGAGCCCTAGGTGCTTCAGATACTTGGGGTTCCCAGCAAAAGTGGCTGCAACTTCAGCAAAGTCAGAGATTAGACTCCTGAACGTACTCTAGGAAAGGAGGTGATCCAGGAGGCCTGAGTAGCAATGGTCTACAGGCATCACTCCCATGGCATCTCCTGGGATAAGACCCACTGCTTGAAACTTCAGTCATCCACCAGTAGCAGCATTACACCTCCCTGAGACCAAGCTCTGAGAGGGAGGTGCAAGCCACCATCTTTGCTGTTTCATAGCCTTAGCCATTGTTGCCTTTAGTGCAGCTGCCCTGTGGAAGAGTAGCCAGCTTGCTTTTTTACACAGGTCCATGATCCTGCTTCTCCTCTCTGGGCAGGTGAGTGAATGAGTGATTCTGGGTATCCATGCTTCTCCCATGGATCTTTGCAACTCTTGGGTCAGCCCCCTGAATCATCTCCTTTCCTAGAGGTATGGACAGGGATCTAACCCCCAACCTTGCTCAAATTGCTGCCACTTTTGCTGGGAAGCCCAGGTATCTAAATTGCCCAGGGCTCCATATGAGTGGCTGCTCTGCTAATATTCCATGTAGCTCTGCATGTCAGACTGTAGACTGGGCTCTCCAGTCACCCTAGCCAGTGTTTTCTGGGTTGCAGTGGTTCCCAGCCTCCCTGGGATGGAGGTCCCTGTGGGAGGGATGGGCCACCATCTTTGCTGTTACACAGCCTTAGCCATTGTTGCCTTTGAGCTCTAGGGATTCTGAGGTGACTAGGGACTGGAAAAGTCCCCCAGAACAGTGCAGCTGCTCTATGGATAAACAGCCAGACTGCATTTTCACATGGGTCCGAGGTCCTAGTTCTCTTCCCCAGGCAGAATTTCCTGACCACAGTCTATGACCACCCCCACCAGTGTTTTCTGGTCAGCAGCAGTTTCCAACCTCCCTGGGATGGGGCTACCAGAGGGAGAGGTAGGCCACCATCTTTGCTGTTTCTCAACTTAAGCATGGTGGCCTTTAGGCTTTGGAGAGTGTGAAGCAACTGGAGGTTTAAGCAGACCCCCAGAACAGCACAATTGCTCTATGAAAAAGCAGACAGAATGCCTTTTTATGCAGGTTCCTGATTTTGATCCTTCTCACTGGGTGGGATATCCTGATTGGGGTCTCCAGCCACCCCTGCTGGTGTTTTCTGGTCAGCAGCAATTTCAGAACTCTCTGGGACAGAGCTCTCAGAAGGTGGAGTAGACTGCCATCTTTGCTGTTTAGTAGCCTTAGCCATTGTTGCCTTCAGGCTTTAGAGAGTCAAGGTGACCAGGGACTGGAGTGAACTGCCAGCAAAGCACTGCTGCCCTTGGGAAAATAGGTCAGACTGCTTTTTTAAGTGGGTCCATGATCCCATTCCTCCACAGTAGGCGAGATCTACCAAGTGGAGACTCCAGCCACCTCCTGCTGGTGTGTTCAGGCTGGCAAAATGTCTGTACCTCCCTGGGTTGGAGTTCCCAAAGGGAGGGGGAGGAGCAGGCCACCATTTTTCTGTTTCACAGCCATCACTAATGATACCTTCAGGTCCTGGAAAATCTGAGGAGACTAGGGACTGGTGATGACTGCCAGCATACCACAGCATCCTTACGAAAAAGTAACCAGACTGTTATGTGGGCCCTTAAACCTATGTCTCCTCACTAAGCTTGGGCCCACAGCACAGATCCCGCATTCTGGACAATTGCACTGAATGATTACTCACCTGCATCTCTCTGGGGTAGAACCCCCAGCAGACAGGCAAAAGACCTTCATCCACAACCACTGCTAAGGTCATTTCCACTGTTGCCGCCAAGTTGGGGAAGGCAACAGTGAGATCACACAAGAGCTGTGGTAGGCAGCCTTGGAGTGCCAATTTGTGATCTACAGCCAGCACTCAAGTAGGAAAGGAGCCCACATGTTCAGGGCATTGACAGAGAGCATGGCTGCAACTGTAAGGAAATGTAGGGGAGCCATGTGACCAAGCAAGAGCCCACCAACTGACCACAATACCTAACCACCACCTACTGGTTCACACCCCAAAGTTTCAACACCAAAAATACCTCCTCACTAACATATCTGCCCTGTGAAACCAAAGACAAGAAGTCATTTGCAAATAAAGACTCTGCAGAAAGCCTTGGCCCAATGAAAACATTCAGAAAAGAAGTCTACTGACTGCACACAATCTGCACCACAGCTAAAGGGACACCCAAACACAGAGATGAGAAAGAACCAATGCAAGAACTCTGTCAACTCAAATGGCCAGAGTGTCTTATATCCTCCAAATGACCACACTAGTTCTCCGACATGGGTTCTTAACCAGGGTGAGTTGGCTGAGACAACAGAAATAGAATTCAGAATGTGGATAGTAATGAATATCATCAAGATTCAGAAGAATGGCAAAACCAATCCGAGGAAGCTAAGAATCACAATAAAATGATACACAGATCTGATCTGAGAGAGCTGAAAAGCACACTACAAAAATTCCACAAGGTTATTGCCAGTATTAACAGCAGAATAAACCAAGATGAGGAAAGAATCTTGGAACTTGAAGGCTTGATCCATGAAATAAGACAGTCAGATAAAAATGAAAAAAGAATGAAAAAGTTTAAACAAAACTTCTGAAAAATATGGGATTATGTAAAGGGGTAAAACTACAAATTATTGGCATCCCTGCAAGGAATGAGGAGAAAGCAAACAACTTAAAACACATATTTCAGAAAATTGTTCATGAAACTTCTCCAAACTTGCTAGAGAGGCCAACAGTCAAATTCAGGAAATACAGAGAACCCTTGCAAGATTCTATACAAGAAGATCATCCCCAAGACACACAATCATCAGATTTTACAATGTCAAAATGAAGAAAAGAAAATTAAAGGCAGCTAGAGAGAAAGGGCAGGTCGCCTACAAAAGGAACCCCATCAGGCTAACAGTGGATCTCTCAGTAGAAATCCTACAAGCCAGAAGTGACTGGGGGCTTATATTCAACATTCTTAGACAAAAAATCGTCAACCAATAATTTCATATCCAGCCAAACTAAGCTTCCTAAGTGAACATGAAATAAATTTTTTTTATTTCAGATAAGCAAATACTGAAGGAGTTGGTTACCAACAGACTTGCCTTGCAAGAGATCTGGAAAAAAGCACTAAATATAGAAAGGAAAGATCACTGACAGCCAACACAAAAACACACATAAATACATAGACTAGTGACACAATAAAGCAACTATACAAACAAACTGACATAATAACCAGCTAACAACACAATGGCAAGATCAAATCCACACATATCAATAATAACCTTGACTATAAATGGGTTAAATGCCCCATTTAAAAGACAGAGAGCAGCAAGCTGGATAAAGAACCAAGAGCCAATGGTGTGCTGTCTTCGAGAGACCCCTTTCATCTGCAGTGACACTCATAGGCTCAAAATAAAATATTTTCCAAGCAAATGGAAAACAAAAAAAAAGCAGGAGTTAAACAATCCTATTTGCAGACAAAACAGACTTAAAACAACAAAGTTTTTAAAAACACAAAGAAGGGCATTACACAATGGTAAAGGGTTCAATTCAATAAGAAGACCTAACTATACTAAATATTAATGCACCTAACAGAGGAGCACTGAGATTCATAAACCAAGTTCTTAGAGACCTACAAAGAGACTTATACTCCCACACAAGAATAGTGGGAGACTTTCACACTCCACGGACAGTAGCAAACGTATCATTAAGGCAGAAAATGAACAAAGATATTCAGGATCTGAACTCAGCATTGGACCAAATGGACCTTATGGACCTCTATAGAATTCTCCATCAAAAAACAACAGAATATACATTCTTCTCATCACCACATGGCAAAAAGTCTAAAATCAACCACACAATCAAACGTAAAACAATCCTCAGCAAATGCAATAGAAAAAAATCATACTGAACACACTCTAAGATCACAGCACAATAAAAACAGAAATTAAGGCTAAAAAACTACTCAAAACCATCCAATTACATGGAAATTAAACAACCTGCTTCTTAATGAGTTTTGGGTAAATAATAAAATAAAGGCAGAAATCAAGAAGTTCTTCAAAACTAATATGAACAAAAAGACAACATACCAGAATTTCTGGGACACAGCTAAGGCAATGTCAAGAGAGAAATTTATATCATGAAACGCCCAAATCAAAAAGAAAGATCTCAAGTTAACAACCTAAAATCACAACTAAAAGAACTAGAGAAGCAAGAGCAAACCAGTCCCAAAGCTAACAGAAGATAAGAAATAACCAAAATCAGAGCTGAACCGAGGAGATCAAAACACACACAAAAAATCATTCAAAAGATCAATGGATGCGGTGGTTCTTTTTATTTATGAAAAAATTAATAAGACAGATAAGCTTCTAGCTAGACTAATAAAGAAGAGAACATTCAAATAAGCCCAATTAAAAATGACAAAGTGTATGCTACCACTGACCCCACAAAAATACAAATAACCATCAGAGACTACTATGAACACCCCTATGCACACAAACTAGAAAACCTAGAAGAGATGGATAAGTTCCTAGACACATACATCTTTCCAAGCCTCAACCAGGAAGAAAGTGTTTCCCTGAACAGGCCAGTAGTGAGTTCCCAAATTGAATCAGTAACAAATAGACCAACCAAAAAAAGCCATGGACCAGACAAATTTGCAGGCTAATTCTACCAGATACACAAAGAAGAGTTGGTACCATTTCTACTTAAACTATTCCAAAAAATGGAGAAGGAAAAACTCCTCCCCAAATCATTCTATGAGGCTAGCATCATCCTAATATCAAAACCTGGCAGAGAAACAACAAAAAAGAAAACTTAAGGCCAATATGCTTGATGAACATTGATGCAAAAATCCTCAACAAAATACTAGTAAACCAAAATCCAGCAGCACATGGAAAAGCTAAGCCACCACAATCAAGTAGGCTTGATTGGGATGCAAGGTTGGTTCAATATATGCAAATAAATAAATGTTATTGATCAGAACAGAAGTTAAGACAAACTATATGATGATCTCCATAGATGCAGAAAAGACTGATAAAATTCAACATCTCTTCCTGTTAAAAACTCTCAATCTACTAGGTATCGAAGGACCATACCTCAAAATAATAAGAGCCCTTTATGACAAACCCACAGCCAATATCATACTGAGTAGGCAAAGGCTAGATGCATTCTTCTTGAATACTGGCACAAGACAAGGATGCCCTCTCTCACCAGTCCTACTCATTATAGTACCGGAAGTCCTGGCCAGGTCAATCAGGCAAGAGAAAGAAATAAAGTGCATCCAAATAGGAAAAGAAGTCAAATTATCCTTATTTGCAGATGACATGATTCTGTATCTAGAAAACCCCATAGTTGGCCCAAATCTCCATCAACTGGTAAACAGCTTCAGCAAAATTTCAGGATACAAAATCATCATACAAAATTCATCAGCATTCTTATGCACCACCACCAACCAAGCCAAGAGCCAAATCAAGAATTCAATCCCATTCATAATTGCCCAAATAATACCTAAGAATATAGCTAACCAGTGGGGTAAAAAATCTCTACAATGAGAATTACAAAATTCTGCCCAATGAAATCAGAGATGACACAAATGAATGGAAAATAATCCATGTTCATGGATAGGAAGAATCAATATCATTAAAATGGACATACTGCCCCAAAGAATTTACAAATTGAATGCTATTCTTATCAAACTAACAATGACATTCACAGAACTAGAAAAATCTATTTTAAAATTCGTATGGAACCAAAAAGAGCCCAAATAGCCAGGGTAATACTAAGCAGAAAGAACAAAGTTGGAGGCATCACATTACCTGACTTCAAAATGTCCAACAGGGCTACAGTAATCAAAACTGCATGGGTACTGGTACAAAAACAGACATTTATACCAACAGAGTAGAAGAGAGGGCCCAGAAATAAGGCTGCACACCTACAACCATCTTATCTTGGACAAGGCTGTCAAAAAGAAGCAATAGGGAAAGGACTCCCTATTCAATAAATGGTTTTGGGATAACTAGCTAGCCATATACAGAAGGTAGAAACTGGACCCCTTCGTTACACTACATAAGAAAATCAACTCAAGATAGATTAAAGACTTAAATGTAAGACTCAAAGCTATAAAAACCCTGGAAGACGACCTAGGCAATACCATGCTGGACATAGATAGTGGCAAAGATTTCATGACAAAGATGCCAACAGCAATCACAACAAAAGCAAAACTTGATAAAATTGATCTAATTAAACGTAAGAGTTTCTGCACAGCAAAAGAAACTATCAACAGAGTAAATATAAAACCTACAGAATGGGAGAAAATATTTGCCAACTATGCATCTGACAAAGGTCTAATATCCAGCATTTATAAGGAACTTAAACAAATTTACAAGAAAACAACCCCATTAAAAGTAGGTAAAGGACATGAGCAGACAGTTTTCAAAAGAAGACGTACATGCAGCTAACAAGCATATTTTAAAAAGCTCAGTATCATTGATCATTAGAGTAATGCAAATCAAAACCATTATGAGATACCATCTCACACCAGTCAGAATAGCTATTATTAAAAAGTCAAAAAATAACAAATGCTGGCGAGGTTGCAGAGAAAACTGAACACTTATACAGTTAGTGGGAGTGTAAGGTAGTTCAATCATTGTGGAAAGCAGTGTGGCAATTCTTCAAAGAGCTAAAATCAGAATTACCATTTGACCCAGCAATCCCATTCCTGTGTATATGCCCAAAAGAATATAAATTGTTCTACCATAAAGACACATGCATGCCTATGCTCATTGCAGCACTATTCACAAATAGCAAAGATATAGAATTAACCTAAATGCCCACCATGGCAGATTGGATAAAGAAAATGTACATATACACCACAGAATATGTATTAGTCCAGTCTCACATTGCTATCAAGAACTACCTGAGATTTGGGTGGGTTTTTTTGTTTGTTTGTTTGTTTGGGTTTTTTTGTTTTTGTTTTTGTTTTTGAGATGGAGTCTCACTCTGTCGCCCAGGCTGGAGTGCAACAGTGCAATCTCAGCTCACGGCAACCTCCACCTTTAGGGTTCAAGAGATTCTCATGTCTCGGTCTCCTGAGTATCTGGGACTACAGGTGCGCACCACCACACAGGCTATTTGTATTTTTATTTTTAGTTTTACAGGTATTTGTATTTTTAGTAGAGACAGGGTTTCATCATGTTGGCTGGGCTGGTCTCAAACTCCTGACCTCAAGTGATCCACCCACTTCAGCCTCCTAAAGTGCTGAGATTACAGGCATGAGCCACCATACCCAGCCAGACTGGGTAATTTATAAAGAAGAAAGGTTTAATTGGCTCATGATTCTGCAGAGTGTACAGGAAGCATGGCTGGGGAGGACTCAGGAAACTTACAATCACGGCAGAAGGCAAAGGGGAAAAGCAGGCAAAATCTTCACATGGCAGAGCAGGAGAGAGAGGGAGTCAAAGGGGAAGTGCTACACATTTTTAAACAACCAGATCTCATGAGAACTCACTCACTATCATGAGAACAGTAAGGGGGAAATCCACCCCCATGATCCAGTCACGAGGTCCCTCCCCTAACATTGGGAATTACAATTCAACATGAGATTTGGGTGGGGACACAAAGCCAAACCACATTAGAATATTATGCAGCCACATAAAAGAATGAGATCATGTCCTGCAGGAAAATGGACAGAGCTGGAGGCCATTATCTTTAGTAAACTAACGCAGGAACAGAAAACCAAATACTGCATGTTCTTACTTATAAGTGGGAGCTAAATGATGAGAACATATGGACACAAAGAAGGGAACAACAGATAGTGGGGACTACTTGAAGGTGGAGGATAGGAGAAGGGAGAGGATTGGAAAAAAAATAACTATTGGGAACTAGGCTTGGTACCTGGGTGATAAAATATTCTCTACAACAAACCACTGTGACATGAGTTTACCTATCTAAAAAAAAAAAAAAAAGCAAAAAACATAAACCAAGACCATGTCCTCGTGTCCTTTGCAGCAACATGGATGGAGGTGGAGATCATTATCTTAAGTGAACTAACACAAGAACAGAAAGCCAAATACCATGTATCACACTTATAAGTGGGAGCTAAACATTGAGTACACATGGACACAAGGAAGAAAACAACAGACACTGGGCTTACTTGAGGGTGGAGGTTGGGAGGAGGGTGAGAATGGAAAAAATATCTATCGGGTACTATGTTTATTTCCTGGGTGAAATGATCTGTACACCAAACTTCCATGCCATGCAATTTACCCATACAACAAACCTGCACATGTATCCCTGAACCTAAAATAAAGTTTTACAAAAAGAAAAAGTAGACATTTTTACATTGCTCCAAATCTTAAAGGGAAAACAGTCTTTCACTATTAATTATGTTGTTACCTACAGACTTTTTACAGATGTTCTCTATCAACATTAGAAAATTCCCTTCTATTCTTATGTTTTGAAGTTTTTATCATGAATGGATTTTACATTTTGTAAAATGCTTTTTCTGCATCAATTGATATAATTTCCATAAATATCAATTGGATCCTATTTGTCAATGATGATTTCAATTCTTTCATGTCTTTGCTGATTTTCTGTCTAGTTGTTCTATAATTTGTTGAGTTATATAGAGGAGTATTAAAGTGTCCAATTATAATTTATCTATTTCTCCCTTTAGGTTTATCAGTTTTTGCTTCATATATTTTCTCACTCTTGTAGAACATATCAACTTAGAACTTATTTTTTTTCTTCTGCACAGTCCAATCTGCCATGAAGCTCATAACGAAAATTTTTAGTTTGGATATTTCTTATTTCTAGAATTTTTCTTTAGTTTTTTTATGGTTTCAATTCTTCACTGAAATATCCCATATCTTCATTTCCTATGTCCATTTTTTTCTTTAGATTCTTGAGTATATTTTTTAAAGTATTGCTGGTTCCAACATCTGTGTCACCTTTGGGTCGTTTCTATTGAATAATTTTTTCCCTTAGTAATAGACCACATTTTCCTGCTTCTTCACATGCATAGTAATATTAGATTTTAGGCTACATATTGTGGATGTCACATTCTTGAGAGTCTTGATTACATTGTCTTCCTGTAAAGAGTTTCTGAGTTTTGTGTCAGGCAGTTAATTTGCTGGCAGGTCACATTATCCTACTAAGGCGTGATTCTAGTCTTTCTTCAAATGGGTCTAAAATACACATTTCTTTAGGGCATAATTCTTATTTCTAAGACATGGTCTTTCTGGATTCACAACTTAACCTATGTGGTTTTCAGTGAGGTTTATACACCATGGCTAGTCAGAACTTAAGTATCTGCCAGAGCTGTGTGGCCTTTACAATATCCATTCAGCCAAAAGCTCCCAAGCAGCTCTTTTCTGCTGCTCCTCCTGCAAAATCTCTGCTTGTTTTGATTAGTATTGAAGTAATGATCCAAGGAAATTTAAATTTCTGGTGCTCCTTTTTCTACACAATTCTTCCCTCCATGATACCCTGCCTCCCCAAATTCTAGCTACTTAAGTAGCCCTAAACTCTCATATAGGTATTTTCTGCCCAGTAAGTTTACTGCATCCTGTTTGGCCTTCACTTCTCTCTGCAACATTTTTGAAGAAAGATCAGAGTGAATGTGAACTCTCCTTATGTGTTCCATTTCTCTGAAGGATCTAACCAGGCAATGTCCCTTATCCAATACCCCAAATCAGTTGCTTCATATATTTTAAACATTTTTGTAGTTGTTTACTATGGAAAGTAAGTCTGATATCCACTATTCATCATAGTAAAGACTAGAATTCCACAGACATTGATATTTTTCAAAAAGTTCCTAAATCAATCTAAAGTGCATTGCATTCTAGGTAAAAGACCACTCAATTAGTTAAATAGTTTAAAATTAATAAGAGCTAACACATATAACAGGCTAATAATACAATATACGAGGCTTATTTAATCTTCACTGCAATTTTGTGAGGTAATTACCAATACTGTACAATTACACAGATGGGAATCTAGGGCACTGTGACTTTCCCAATATAACATAACTTATGAGTAGTAGAGACAGAATTAAAAAGGCAATATGTCTTTGATGTTAGTATTTTTAACCCTTTACTATAATGCCTCTGGGTAAGTATTAACTGTAGGGTTCAGCTAGATTAAATTGAGAAAAGGAGTTCTACTTTCTTCTCAAGGAGTTACTTCTAGTGAGGATATTTACTAAATGATTTTACTTACTAAAATTTTATTTTAAAACACTACGGCAAAGTATATCATCACTTATAATTTCATCATCAGAGCTTGTATTTATTGTACAATTGCTATATGCTAAACAATGTGCCAAGTGTTTTATGTACATTTTTTGTTTCTCATAATAATGCTTTGTGAAAGTAGTGTGCTAGGCTGGCTCTTACTAGCTCATGAGAGCTAATCGTTCAATTTCAGGAAGTTTATGAGCTGACTGATGTTCTGTTGGTGGAAGTGATTACACAACAGAAATGGGCAAATACTACAAATTAGGACTTCCTCTCACCTCAACACTTAAGTTACTTGTTAAATATTTACCAGCAAACCATTGATACTATTAAGTCTGTTTTGGAGTGAGGAAACTGATACTTGAGGTGAGGTGGAAATTAAAAACTTGCTGATGTCCACGCAGCAAATAGCATCTAAGCTGAAAATTTCAGAACCTAGATCTGTGCACAAGGTTAGCCGTCACACTGATCAGGTGTATGGTGATGACACTGATCTTGAATATTTGGGCTTGTAGAAATAGATAGAAGGGAGAGGTCATGCAATATCAGATAATTTTGATTTTAAAGGCAGTTTAAAGATTAGTTTTTTAAATATTTGGACTGAGTATTATTTAAGTAGATACATAATGATTATCTTGCCACTTCTCTTTTTACATTTGGAATTTTTGTTAAAAAAAAAAACCCAGATGATAAAAGCATCAGATGCTCTGTGATATCTGCACAGAAATTTTCTTACAGAGATCCTTGTAATTATCTTGCCCAGACACATGGTAGAAGGAGAGTTATGCCCTGTATTTTCTGCTAAGCAGAGTTTGAGGGTACTGTTTAGAGTGTTTTACCTGACAATTAAAATGTTTTGGCTCATAGCATTACTAAATGAGCCTCAGAAAGTTACAGAAGGTAATAGGGCCAATCATAAGAAAGTTTTCACTTCTCTTGAGTGCAATAAATAATTAAAACATTATTGAGTGCACCTTTTATGCCAGGTACTATTTTAAATGATTGATAAGTTTTAATTACTTTGATCTTTGTAATAAACCTATTTCAGGGGAGAAGGAAAGTTGCCAGTTGTTCCTCCTCTCCCCGATCTTGCCATCATAGCTAAATCACTCCTACATCCCAAGTGAAGTTGAGCTACCTCACTACAAAAAAACATATATTTTAAATACACAGTAATAGTTTTATACAATATTCAGATAAGAAAATACAGCTTTCTTTACTTGAGATTTTTCTTTGTCAGATCCAAAATAAAGATCAGAGTAGGCAAGCAGAAGGGCCATGTTTATATTAGGCATCCCCTTCATTTCACTACAGACCATTATGAATATCCAGCGCCAACTGAACTCATGACCAACTCGAGACAAAACAGGGCTTATTAAAAGAAGGGTCAGAAATCTAAAAGACAAAACAATTTTTACAAAGTTATTCTTTCATATGAGTTTCTTTCCATTTCATGCTACTCTATTCTAATCTACTCCCTGTAGAATTCCTAACTCTCAAACAAATGAGACATCTTTCACACACTGTTGACATGACACCAAAGAAAGGCAGCAGGTATTCCATAGAGAGACATGCCAAGAGAATGGTATTATTCTTTCTTTCTTTCTACTAGGTGAGTAGCATAGTAAATTTACATCATCCTTGAGTGGTGCTCCTTCAGGAGGAAAAAGAAAAGTTCGAGATGTGTTGTACATAAATTCTGAATCCCCACCCCAAATAAAAACAAATTTAATGAATAAGAAGTGAGAAAATGTTCTCTGTTTCTTTTTGTTTATAGATTTTAATCTTGCTGAATTGGTCCAATATTGGCCAGATTTTTTTTTCCTTCAGTCATATATCATTCCTATGTTTTACACTAATTTTATCTGATAATTTGGGAAATAATTTTATTTTACTTGGCACTAGATGCCTTGACTTCAGCAATTCAACTAGATGGAAGTAGAATGTTAATCATTTGAGTAATGGAGATTAAAGACCTATGAGACTCTAGTTATGGTGGTTTTTCTCACTCTATGCTATCTCCTTTTCAGCTACATAAACAGACTTTTTCTACCTCTTAACAGTGGAAAAAGAAACTACAAAAATGATTTGAGAAAAAAAGATGTTTACAAAGAGGGCTTCCCTATGATATTTAAAAAGCAATTTCTAACTATAGTTTTTAATTAATAGAAAATTGTTTGTTATATAATATTGAGCAAAAACAAGATTTTTATTTATAATAGGTACTTAACTTCATGAAATGTCATTACAAAAACATTGGACAAAATATGTCAAATGTTGAGTTTTTTTCTAATTAAAAAAACTTATAGAGTTTGCATTGCTTTGAAATTTAGTTAAAAGCCAAAAAAAAATTACAAAGCATTTATTTGCTGATGATCCTTGGAAAGTTTGAGTCAATTTTTCAATCTAAGGTACGAAATCTTTGTGTTATTTAAAAGATGACCTTCAAACTTACTCAATTATCTATAAATAGAAAAATTTTAATGATGTTCTTACCTTAAAACAATCAATGTTAAGTAGATATTTAATGAATAGTATATATCAACAAATTCTATATACAAATATGTATGTGCAGGAATTAGAAGTCCAAAGAAAGTAAACACCATGAGAAAAGCAATACGTGATAGAAAAGTCCAGAATCTGCATCATTCAGAAAAAATTAAAAATATTTATAATTAATTAATTTGACATCTTTATTACAAGGTTTATCTATGTGAATCATTGTGCTAATGATTACCAAAAAATGAATAAAACATTTACAAACAACTTTGACTTGTAGCTGAAAATGATGAAAAGTTATTAAATTATTTTACACAAAAGAAATGACCTGGATAAAGAGGAATTGAAAATATGAGATGGGTGAAGGTCAGTAAAAGATCATAGAATCAATAAATTTTAGTCTCAGTATGGTTGCAGAATCGTGAGAATTTAGGTACTAGAGGGCATATAGTGAAAAGATGGGAGATGGTACACCTTCTATGTTAAAGAGTTAACATGGACCTGTTACAGGTTGTTTTGAGATGTTAGTAGGATTTAACACTATTGTCTTAGATTTTCACTGTCTTCAAGAGTAGAAGTTGGTACATACCATATTTTAGATAGTAAGATTCTTGCAATTGAGTTTATGAAGTAGTTACTTGTACAACTGTGGGAGTGGGTGGTTAAAGAGGAGTGGTGGACATACTTATACAAGGAGAGAAGATCCAGGAATTGAAAGATGAGGGAGTAGAAGGATTAACTGTATGAATATTGACATCACTAAGAATGGTGATAGAGTAATATTGGAGAGTCACAGTGAGACAGGAACTAAAATCTTCACAAAATGGAGAATGTGACTTAGAGTTCTATAGATAATCACAATCAAGAGGCAGATGGCATATTCTGATGGCACGAGCTTCAAAATTGGATTCTTTTAAGGAAGTAGGAGATAGAATGATTTAGAAATCACTTCGAGGTTCAGAGAGATCACCTACTTCAATTGTAGGCTCAATAGTACTAGGAACGCAGGCAAGAAAGACATCACAACTTATAAGGAATGAAGAATAAAGATAAGTAATATATTTGAAGATCCAGCTTACAGTTGGAGCAAGAAGGGGAGGAAAACCTTCAGAATCATTCCCCATATATATAACTAATACTTGTGTAGCATTTTAAATTCTTCCCTCAGCTGTGGTCCATTTAATTTTGCCTAAGTGCAAGTACAATTTACTTCCATTGTAATTGGCATGGAATTTTATTGAAGTGCTCCAGAATCCTATAAGACCCTATATCTTTTAAGCTTCTTATATCAGAATTAATTCTATCTTCTATAACGTTGTCCCAAAACTCTAAAAACCATGGTTTACTTTCAGGGCCTTTGTTAACACATATGTTTTCATTATGTGGTTCAGGTCAAGTTTCCACCCTATGTATTGAAGCATTATGGAAAGTGCTCTTCCTTTTGGCTGATAACTACTCACCCCTTAGCTGAATTCCCTTGAGCAAGGCACAATTTGCACTTTTCCACCCATAGTCTTGCTTACATTTAGTGTGGTCATACTTTCTTTTATAACACTGCTAATCCTCTTCAAATGCCCCAGCTTACTCTTCTGATTTGCTTTACACAGCACCTCATTGTCCTTAAAATACTCATCTTTAGATTTTTTTTGCCTTAAGTTCAACTTAATTAAACTTAATTTTAAAATATTGCATTAAAATATTAAAATATTACTTCTCAATTACTGCACTTTTGGCACCCTCTTACTAGTGGGTACAAGATTTTATATGGGAAATTATTGAGGAGATAATCAGAGATTTGAGGAATGAGTGGGGAAAGAGAACCAACATGAACTCAAGGTAAGGTTACGAATTTGCTTTAAATTGGAGGATTCAAAGACACAGGCAAGAAAAAATAAAATCTAGGAAAGGTTTTTAGTTGGGTAGTTTTCAAGTCTTTGAAAATCTTACTTCGACCATGTAGATGTAGATATTGTTACTATTATAATATTATAGCTTCCAGTGTATGAAATAAAGTCAAAATATGCTATCCACTTACTCAAGAAGAAGTGTTTCTTCAATTGCTGCTTTAAAACTTGTAGAATTTAAAAGAAGTCCCACAATGGCCAGAGTAAATATTCCTGACATTCCAACTAACTCACCTATTTTTAAAAAGAAATAAATATAAAGTATTAATTTAACATCAACAGCAGCACAAATTTTACCCGAGTTAAAAGTATCAGATGTTGTGACAGTACCATGACTTTTATAGAGAGGCAACTTCACTTGATTTCAGCTGAAAAATATTGCAAATTATTACCACCACCCCATGTCCTTTTTCTTCCTCCAACTTATATCCAATTGTATTATAAAGCCTACTATGGGCATCTTTGCACTGCTTCGCATACCCCATTGAGGCTAGAGCACACTTTAGAGGTCTGGTTATTTCAGATGGGTTCTGGAGGGTTGAAATGAAAATCAGCTGATGATTTCGTGAACTTGCCCACAACTTCTTAGCAGACATAGTTCTAGTTAATAAGTAAAAATTGAAATATTTGTTTTTAATACTAAAGAATATTGTGGATATGCTACTTTTATCATATATTAAATTGTCATTCATACTTCGACTATTTCTGTGCCCTTTGTGTTTCTTTGACTTACTTTGTATTCTTGTGTTATAACAGTTGTATTTTAATTACTGTAGACCTATTAAAACATTTAATTATCTGGTAAAGAAAGTTCTCCACTTAAAAAAATTGTCTTGTCTATTCTCACACATTAATTTCTCTAGCTGAACTTTTGAAATTGTCATGAAATTTTAGATAGGCACGGTGGCTCATACCTATAATTCCAGCACTTTGGGAGGCTGACGGATGACTGCTTGAGACCGGGGGTTCAGGGCTGGCCTAGGCAACATAATGTGACCCTGTCTCTACAAACAATTTTAAAAATTGGCTTGGCTTGCTGGCACATGCCTGTAGTACCAGCTACTTAGGAGGCTGAGGTGGGAGAATTGCTTAAACCCAGGAGGTTGAGGCTGCAGTGAGCCATGATCATGCCACTGTACTCCAGAGCCTGGGCAACAGAGCAAGACTCTGTTTCTAAGAGAGAGACAGGGCCGGGCGTGGTGGCTCACGCCTGTAATCCCAGCACTTTGGGAGGCCAAGGCGGGTGGATCATGAGGTCAGGAGATTGAGACCCTCCTGGCTAACATGGTGAAACCCCATCTCTACTAAAAATATAAAAAATTAGCCGGGCGTCGTGGCGGGCACCTGTAGTCCCAGTTACTTGGGAGGCTGAGGCAGGAGAATGGCGAGAACCCGAAAGGTGGAGTTTGCAGTGAGCAGAGATTGGGCCACTGCACTCCAGCCTGGGTGACAGAGCAAGACTCCGTCTCAAAAAAAAAAAAAAAAAAAAAAGAGAGAGAGAGAGAAGGAAATTTTAAAACCAAAAAAATTTCTATCATTGTTTGATTTGGATTGTAATAAAGTTTAATTTAGTGAAATTAATGCCATTATTACATTATTGAGTTTTCCCTTCTAAAGATGGAAAATTACAAGTTGTCTATTTTTTATTTTAGTCCTGGCTGAAAATGGTAACAAAGGCAGAGTCATTGTTGAATCATGAAAGAAGAAGAAATCATGGACATAGGTTCTTTGAAACAATCAAGCCCTGGATTAGGTATTATAACTTGTTAGGTGATGGTGAAGTCAGGAAAATATTTATAATGACTATCTTGAAGGTACTAATAATATAAACATGAAGCCAGGTCACAGGGAAAGTCTTTTTACATTAAATTTATATTTACTCTGTATCTTGTTTTAATGAAATTCTGTCTTGGCAGGTTTCTTCCTAAAATGTTTATTGAGACATCTCGACTCTAAAAGTTTAAAATTATTTCCTTAAGTATAACCTTTAATCTTGAAACTAGGGTTACTTATTAAAAATAATGTTAGAGGAAATTATATTTGTTGGATTTTCTTTTAGGAATCTAAGTATACACATGAATACTAGCACATGAGGAACCCACCTGAATTAACTGATCATTCTCTCACTGTCTGTTAATTCATTAGCTTGATTCTGTAACCCTCGGTATATTATAATTGAATTTAATCCACTGATTAATTCATTAGAAAGCCTCAAGATCCTCTGGTCTGCCTTTTCCTCTTCAGAGGGAAAAATAATAAATTCCCATTACTCTAGCACTTCTGAAGAATAGTTTTTCTATGCTTCAATTTATTCAAATTTTATATTTCTTAATAACTTTTATAATTTTCTATGTTTAGGTCCAAACTATTTGTTAAGTTTATTCATTGATATTTTATAACTTTTTACCAATACAAAAAGAATCAAATTTTCATATTTTCTAGCTAGTTATTGCTGGCTGATAAAAATACCGTCAATTGTTTTGGATAACTTTATCTTATATCAAGCCATTAAAGGGTCTTGCTGACTTTGTTTACCAATTAATTCTGTTGAATTTTCTATATGATATAAAATGTCGTGATTAATCTAACCATTTTTTCTTTTAAAATATGTATAAATGTTCCCCCTTATTGTATTAGCTAGAGCCTTCAGAATTATTTTAAATCATGGATGTGAGAATATACACCATTGTCTTATTCCTAAATGTAACAGAGACATAGTACAGGTGAGGTAACTAGGTGTTATCTTGCATGTCAATTCCAAATCATGTGAAGGGCTGTCTGAAGAGCTGAGTTAAATGTGATTCTGAGGCTGTGTCAGGAAACAGCAGTATGGCTAATTATCAATAGCTACCATATTTTTGTGAGGAGGTGATTGTGGGACATGGATTAATAACATTGATAGATACTCTAACATTTAGCTTTACTTGATATGTAACTTCTATTTTGATTGCCTTTTTGATCTAACAGTTACCAAGACAAAATATCTAATTTACAGGTAGAAACTGCCCCCGCTCCGCCTTTTTGTTAGAGAGACGGCTTCTCTCTTTGTTGCCCGGGCTGGAGTGCGATCATAGCTCACTGCAGCCTCAAATTCCTGGGCTCAAGTGATCCTCCCGCCTCAGGCTCCTGAGGAGCTGGGACTACAGGCATGTGCCACCACATCTAGCTAGTTTTAAAAATTCTTGTAGACATGGGATCTCACTATCTTACCCAGACTGGTCTCGAAATCCTGGGCTCAGTTGATCCTCCTGCCTCAGCCCTCCAAGGTGCTAGGATTATAGGCATAAGCCACCACGCCTGGTAGGAACCCTCTTTTTGTAGTCCATATTTAATTTAATTGCATCATGTTTGAACAATGTTTGAAATTTTATTGAAATGTTCTTCGAGTTAATTTCTGCGAATTGTCTACAGGTATATGTAAAGGATATGCATTCTGTTTTGGGAGGTAAAACTCTATATATCTTATAAACCAACCTTATAAGATATTTAAATATTTTTATAACCATAATCATTTTTTGTTCAATTAGTCATGAAATTCTCTGGGAAAGGCATAATAATTTATCTTTCTGTAATGATAGTTTTGTCAAATTTTTCTTTCTTTTATAATAGTGTTTGCTAATATTGGTACATTGTTTCTGTTGTATAGATATTCATATGTTTAATATCTTTTGATAGATTATTTTAATAAAAATATTCTGTCTAGATCAGTTGAATGTTTTTACTAACTTTTGCCTGGTATGCATTTTTCATATATTTTTATTTTGAAGTTTTCTATGTGATTTTATTTTAGGCATAGGCCCCTCACTTACAAATATAAAAGATGAGATACAGAATTGAAAAGATGAGACTTATATGATTGACATCATCACCAAAAACAGTTGACATCCAAAATTGAATCAGTTTTGAACTTAGAATTCCAAACAAGAAACTTGCTATAATATATGAACAAATTCCACCCACGATCTCTTCAGCTACAAGAAAGGGGCGTAAATAAGAAATAGTTAATAGAACTTGCCGTTAATTTTAATTGATATTCCTTGTTAATTTTCCTTTTTGTCATTATCTTTAAAATTAGCTAACTGCCACAATGAACATGAGAGTGCAGATATCCCTGGGACATATTGATTTCAATTCCTTTGGATATATACCCAGAAGTAGGATTACTGGACCATATGGTAGAGTTCTACTTTTAGTTTTTTGAGGAACTTCCACACAGTTTTCCATAATAGCTTTACTAATTTACATTCCCACCAACAGTGTACAAGAGTTTCCTTTTCTCTGCAATCTTACTAACACTTCTCTTTTATCTTTTTGATAAAAGCCATTCTAACAGATGTGAAGTGATATCTCATTGTGGTTTTCATTTGCATTTCCCTAATGTTTAGTGATGCTGAACATTTTTTAATGTACCTGTTGACTGCTGAGTGCTGTAGCTCATGCCTATAATCCCAGCACTTACAATCCCTCGGGAGGCCGAGGTGGGCAGATCACTTGAGGCCAGGAGTTTGAGACCAGCCTGGCCAACATGGCGAAATCCCATCTCTATTAAAAATACAAAAATTAGCTGGGTGTGGTGGCACATGCCTGTAATCCCGGCTACCTGGGAGGCTGAGGCATGAGAATAGCTTGAATCTGGGAGGCAGAGGTTGTAGTGAGCCGAGATCACACCACTGCACTCCAGCCTGGGCAAGAGAGCAAGACTCTGTCTCAAAAAAAAAGGGTACCAGTTGACCATTTGTATGTCTTCTTTTAATGTCTGTCTGTTCTTAGCCTATTTTTTAATCGGGTTATTTATGTCCAATATATGGAGTCAACCTCAGTGTCCATCAGTGAATGAATAAAGAAAATATGGTAAACATATACAATGAAATAGTATTTGTCCTCAAAAAAGAAGGAAGTCTTGTTATTTACAACAAGATGGATGAACCTAGAGGACATTATGCTAAGTGAAATAAGATAGGCACAGAAAGGAAAATACCGCATGATCTTACTTATATGTAGAAACTAAAAAAGTTGAACTTACAGAAATAGAGAGTAGAATAATTATTACCAGAGGCTGGGGATGTAGGGAGGAAGAGAATAGGGAATTGTTGATTAACAGGTGCAAAGTTTCCAAGAGAAAGCAGTAATAAGTTTTCAGATCTATTCCACAGCAAAGTGACTGTAGTCAATGATAATGTATTGGTATTTCAAAATAACTAAGAGAGTAAATTTCAAATCTCTCATCATAAAAAATTATAGTTAAATGAGGTGACGTTAATTAGTTTGATTTAATCATTCTACATTGTATATATATATATATATCAAAGCCTCACATTGTACCCCATAAATGTATACATTATGATTTGTCCATTAAAACTAATATTAATAAAAATAGCTCATTGTCTTTGGGGTAGATGGACAATATTTTCTTGTTTCTGTGTTGAAAGAGTTTATTTTCAACTGCTAAAAGCCACGCTTAAGTTTGTAAAATTTGGTCAGTTTAGTTTAAGAGCTCCTTTCGGTCTCCATTAAGGAATTTATTCAGTGCCTTTAATGTGTCAAACATGTAATAGATTTTAGAGATATATGAAGGAACAAGTAGGAAGTCCCTAAACTCATGGAAGTGATACTCTAGATCTAATGTAATACACACAGGAAATACAGAAAGAGGAGTGTCTCTAGGCCTCAGTTGGGTGAATCTCCTGCATTATGTTGGCCTGCCAAAGTGACTGATCGCTTCCTTATTTTTGAGCATTTCATATGTTTTAGCTTTTCACCCTGATAAACAATGTTGCAATGTATATTTCTGTACATACATTTTTTTTGTGCTTCTCTGTACTTTTAGGTTCCAAAAGTAAAATTCATGCACCAAAAGATATTTGCTTCTTTGGTGTTGTTACTTTTATATTTTGCCTAATTGCTTTCCACAGAGCAATGTCATGATGCCCTTCCCAGGAAAACAGGGAGCCCAAGGCCATCAGAGGCTCTTTGCTGGAACTACACATGCCTCTAGGCCACATGAGCTCTAGGCACAGAGCTGGTCATGGCAATAATTTTGAGTCCAGCATCTCCTGTCACTGAAATATAGGATGGAGGCTAACTCTAGTTGCAGAAACATACAGGAATCTGGAGTTCGAAGACCCCAGTTTGAAAGTTGCTTTTTCCTTTAAGAAAGGAAAATACATTTTAATAAGTAACATGTTTGCTGACTAGATTTGTTAAGCCAGGAAAAGTCTCAAAGCAAAGCCATTACTGCTTATACTGTTTTAAAATTTCTAGCACTCAAATTGGAAAGAGTAAGAACTCTGAGTGAAATAATCTTTCTTAATTTTTCCCTATTATAAAATATGTGCTAACTTCACAGATTAGTAACACTGTTTAAATAATTACAGAAGTTATAAAAACAATGGTTACTCTGAAAAGTATTGATTCACAATTGTCAAATGAAATAGCAGTAAAGCTTATTATCTTTATTTCTTAAGGAAAATTTGTATTTCAAAGGTGTTGAAGTTCAGAGAAAGTCCTAATGTCTAAAAAAGTAAATTCATCGTTCTCTTTCTCCTACAGCAGAGTTTTTACTGTTGAAGTCATTACTATTATTATTTTAATAGTGATTACTTACAGTTTTTATTCCTCTGAAATACAAAAAAATAAAGTTCCATTCTATTCATTATTATCAAAATTACAAGGCAAGCTCTATGGAGGCAAGGGGATTTTGCTTATTGTGCTTATGGTTAAATGCTCAGGTCCTAGAATAGAAATTCTCACATAGTACATATTAATAAATAATTGTTGAATCAGTAAATGAATGAACTTCCACATCAGAACCTTTATTCTTCCTTTTCCTTTCCCTTCTCCCAACGAGTACCAAAAAAGTTCCCCTGATTAGCCTGCAGATGTCATTTCTGATATAAGTTTCCCTGAAAATCCGTGGTCAGTATATAATATCTTAAATAAAGCCTGGTAGAACACTGAACCAGGTTTAGTAGGTGAACACGGATCCTCCTGAATGGCATGCACAATTGTACTTCTTTCAGGTTTTTTAGTTCCCCCAAGGGTGGCCCTTGAGTTTTTAAAAAGCTTCTGAATATAGAAATTTCTTTGTTGCTCACCTTAGTCAACTTCAGGAAGGTCATAGCTATAGGAGGTTTTATGGTGAGCGCTCTCTGAGTGCCATATTGTGTCACCTCCCTTTGCACCCTGGGTTTTAGTAGAGGTTGTGTTTATGGTTATTTGGCTTTCACACACATCACAGATGGTGAATTGGAAGTACCTAAAGATGATGTACCTTTCTGTGCTAAACTGAGATTCCAGGTTCACCACAGATGCTCCAAGCTTCCATGGGCTAGGTAAACTAACACCATACAGAGAGCTTCACCCATCTGTTGTCCATAAGCCTCAAAGGCTGAAAGCAAATACCTCCTATGCCCAAGTGGGGTAACTGTCCACAACCTGGATCAGCTCCTTTGAGGGAGGGGTGAGGGGGTGGTGGTCCTCAGGATGATTCTTCTTGGGAAAGAATATTCTTCACTTCGGAGTTTTAGGATAAGGCAGGAATAGGAAAGAATAGAGGTATACAGGGTCCCTGGTTGCACAACAATGAAGCACTCTCTAGGGACAGGGAAAACAATTACAGCTAAAATCTCCTCTTCTTGAGTAGTAGGAGAGGAATTTAAGATATTCTTCATTGCTGAGGGGAGGCGGGGAGTAGAAGAATCCCACTGCAGCAGAGTGGATTGTTTGATACCATACAGATCAATGGATTAGAATATGTTGTGGAGGCACCTCCTAAGCACACCTTTTCCACAGGAATGGGGGCAGTGGTGGAATGAGACAATGCTACATAAGACCTTAGAACAAAGAAGACACCCAGTGCATAGAATAGTAGGTCGTCAGTTTATCAAGGAGACTGTAATAATTGCTTTTCCAAAACCAGCGCAAGTGCACCACAATAAAAAGGTAAATAAATTCTCAGTAATATTATGAAAATGCTTTGATTTCATAGACATCCTGAAAGGATCCTATGAACCCCCTTCCTCCACTAGCCAGGGATTCAGAGACTAAACATTGAAAATGACTTTTCTAGGAGGAAGATACAGGGTTTTGACCAGAGAGGAGCACATAAGATGCTTCTAGGGATGGTGGTAACATGAAATTTCTTCTCCTGATTAATAGTTATATAGCTGTATACATTACAATCACTATTATAATATACATATATCATTTATTTTATATACACACATAAACATGATAAAGGGGAAAAAAAGTACTTATGGTTTAGGGCTATCTGAAAGCGGTAAATGAAACAGCTCATGGGCACTTTGCAATCCCTCTGCTTACAAGCACTATTCTCTGGCCCTGTAGATGGCTAATAACTCATACTTCCTCCCTTATTTGACACCTTTTTATGTTGCCTGCATGAGATATAGTTCCAGGGCAAAGGGAAGAGAAGCCGCCTCCTCTCACTACTAGTGGATGCACTATTTGGCTTATCTTCTAAGCTCATCTTCAGCACATAAAAAAGAATATCCCTCATTCTGGTGGTCTGGCATTCTGGTTCAGCCCAGGCCTGTGAAATGTTGCTCCCATAAGCATCTTCATGAAGAGTCTCAACCCAGTCTCACAACAAATATGTAACTAACATTAAGTAATGTGTAATAGTGCTTTGTAAAGAGTAAGTCACTAAACCAATACTCACTATTATATTCCTACAAATATAACTTATGGTAGGATATTACAAAATACACATCAGCTTTCAGAAAATACAGGATTCTGATGTTGAGAAAAATTTTTTAAAAATATACTTACCTAAGGTATGGTTTCTTTTACTTTGTAGTCTTTGGTCAAAATCCATAATACTAGTAAATGTAATTAATGATATAACAGAGGTCATCAGACTTTCTCCATTAATTAAACTGATGAGGCTTCTAGAAAGCCCTACATATGTTGAGGGGGAAAGATGTTTTTTAAAGTGAGAAAAACATTAAAAATTAAATGTTAAAGAATACAATTTTCTTAGCAACTATAAGGATGGTCTTAGCTATGGATTTACTGTAAGTTAAGTTTAGACAATCATAATTGGCACTAAATTAATTATGGCCCATTATGTTTATGTAAGTGAGATAATCAAAGTTCTCATTCCTTGCTTCAAAGCACAGAGGAAAACATGAAATTTATTATTATTTTTAATTCAGTGAGTTGTTCTATATAAATACATGCATGATAAATCAGATATATTTAAGGCAAGACAGAAAATGATGATTGAGGAATAAAGTAAATTTACAAACCAAAGCTTTATAACATGACATCCAAATAAAGTATTAAGGCAGTTATTCACATAATCTAGCTAGGCTTAGAAATTATCTGACTTTCTCATTCATTCTTCCCAATGGTTTTAGAAATCAATCTCCATGAATGGAGAGTTCCTGATACTACTCACTTCCATCCAAATTTTCCTCTATTTATGATGGCATTCTAAGTTTAAATGTCTGTTGTCCTTTTCCTCTGCCATTAAATGTGCATGTAGTGGTAAGACTACAACTTTGACCATCTATAGTGATTTTCTAAAAGCCATAGGAGGAAATGTTATTATGCAGTGAAAGTCCTTTCTGTGAATCAACCACTCTATAACTGCAATCACAACCTAACTACAATCAGTATGCTGATAGAAGAGAAGAAACACCAAGGCTGTTCCTGTGTGGCTCAATTGCCTTGGCCATTCCATACTTCACATCTGCCTGTATCTATGCCCTTCGCTGTAAGACTTGGCAGTGTTTCTCACCAAAAAGATCTAGTTTGTTTTTTTATGAGACTCGATGAGAGCAGAAAATTTCTGCCTCCTCCCTGACTCCTGCCACCGCCATGGCAGCATTCCTCTGTAGGAATATAAGAGATACAAGAAGGAAACGTAGATCTTCCCAAATGAGGCCATCCTGGATCACTTAGCCCCCTCAGTGTCCACCAGCTGATTACAGATTCCTTAGTGAACCTAGCAAGATCAGTAGAACCCAGCCCATATCATCAGAACTGCTGGATTCATGAGAAATAATAAATAATTGTTGTTTAAGCCACCACATTTGGAGTTGTTTATTACTCAGCAAAACCTAACTGATATTATTGTATAATTATCCCATTTTAGAAAATGGAAGTATGGAAAAATGTAAATATTCAGAAATACGTAGTAGATGTAAGGGCATAGGAGGAGTCAAAGGACATGAAAAGCTCAAGCCAATGTGGATGTACTTATGTATTCTGACAGTCCTGGGCAAATTTTTCAAGTATATATATATATGAAAAAATATATATATATGCATATACACACGTACACACACATACACATATATACATATATCTAAATCTTATAAATCTTGCTTTGTCAACTCAGGAACAATGCTGCCAAGAAGAAATTACTTTTAAAAATTTCTTCTGGAA
The DNA here is from genome assembly GCF_000001405.40 of Homo sapiens. NCBI lineage: Eukaryota > Metazoa > Chordata > Mammalia > Primates > Hominidae > Homo > Homo sapiens. Next base: position 112,276,520 of record NC_000003.12, read on the forward strand.
AGATACAGGGAGGAGAGAAACAAAATTCTGAAAGTAATGGCAAGATGGACAAAATTTATGAAAATAACCTTGCAAGGTACTCTTCGTAAATTAAGTTCAATAGCAGCAGGATAGAAAATCAGTGGAATACTAGATTACAAAATAACAAAGTTAGACAAGAGTGAAATCAGCTCTCAGGTATCATAAGAGTCTCTCAAATATAGCGGAGAAAAGGGCTGGCACTGACAGTCACAAGGAGGCAGGGATGTGTGCTGAGAGTATGGGGAGGAAGACAAGAATCCAGGGTTGGATGGTGGATGTTGGCATCTTCTTCTAAAGTGTTATCTCACTCTCTTAATGTCCTTTGTCTTGAAGGCTCAGCTCTCATTTATTCATATATTTACACTTGATGTGTCTCCCCTACTCTATATTTCTACCTGCCTCAGATAGCTATTTCCCCTTTAATTGGCTAGAAAGTGAAATTAAAATTGAAAAGAGTATGCGTGTGTGTGTGCAAATGTGTGCATGGGTTGCCATATTAATATTCTATTTTAAAGCAATTTTTCTAGTTCTCATTATTAAAAAGTGATGAAAGGGGACAATAAAGTTATTGTTTTTCTTGCATGAGGCTTTTTATTTTTGTTTTTCTGGGCTAAATTGAGTTGGTATTTTACTTTTAAATATAGATAGATTTTTCTTAAGATACTATACACTCAAAACACTGTGTGATTGTTGAGTTTACCATTTTTTGACTTTTTAGGCTTTCAGTCTTGATGATGACAATGACTCCAAAAGCAAAATATTTTTAAAATGGCGTTGTCCTAATGATTCTTTACAAAGGAAAAGAAATATTGGGCAACAGAAATGTCACCACAGTGTATATGCAATATTGTAACGTCCCAGAACTGTTCTGTTGGCTCAAGGTAGAAGTATGTATAAAGTCAAGGGTTCTAAACTAATCCCCTCCCCTATTCCACAATTGCGTATAATACTTTTTTTGACACTAAGTAAGCCCATCACTGGCATTTCTTCTGCCCTAAGCATGACCTCCAGAATCTCTGCTTAATCCTCAACCCCCAATCCCTCACTACCTGACTTCTCACAGTGAAAAGCTACCAAAAGCAAAAGATCTTAAAATACAAGTTCATTATGAAATATGATATTATAAATATAGAAAAAGAGAACAATATACCTACCAAGGTCTCTTATAGCAGCTGCGGTTAGCATGGGATCTGAACTCACAAGGATAGCTGAAAATAATAACCATTGGGTAGGCTTCAAAAGTAATTGATTTACAGATGCCAGATGCCAAAGAACTAAGATATAATTAACCAAAAAGCCGGGAATTGAAATTAAAAGTATCTGCAAAGAAATTTTACAATTAGAAAAATCAGACTGCTTTTGTAGTCCATTTTAAGAAGAAAATAATCAGGATTATTGGAGATACAGAATCAACCAACACCAACAGTACCCACCAGCAGACACAGGAGTGGGGCCATCTAGCTCACGCTGCTTCAGCTGACTTCCACTTGACCAAAGATGCAGGACCCCTTTTTTGTCTGTTCTTTTTTATTTCATCTTTTTGTCATTTGTCTGAACTCCATGTGTCTGGATTTGGCTTAAAAGTATAAATTATTCTAACAAATTATTTGCTTCTAATGCAGTTTAGGTAATGGCCTGTATTTACAAAACTGTTTTGATTACTTTGAAAGAAACGTACACCCTACTTATGATTTGGAGTGTTTTTTCTTGAGGTCTTTCCCTGATACCGTTCAAATCTCACATATTAAAAAACTTATGGTTTTTGAATTAAAGTTTAGCTGCTTGTGTTTTCTTCTCTGCTTTTATTCTCTTAGATATGAATGTAGGAAGCTCTAAAACATAGGTATTTAAAACATGACTTTTCTTAGCAATTTCCTTTTACTGGAGCTAATACACTTTCTCATAGCACTCTTGTAGCATTTCCGAGTTAAAATTATATCTGGTATGAAGTTATGCAAGTCAGATTTTCAGAATTACTGTTTTCTTTCTAATTTTTCCCCTGGGTCTTTGATATGCTAGGCAATTGCCAAGATATGGCTTATTCACTAAATGATGAAGCTGAATTTATTACTCCCATACCCTTTTCTTTCTTCTTTGTTCCCTATTTTGGAAAAAAATATTTTAAAAATTTGAACATAGATAATATGTGGTTCATGAATGAATGATATTACCAAAAAAGAATGCTTACCTGCCAAAATAACTTTTGAAGCATGTACGTATCCATGTCAAATGCAGTAGTAAAGAAAACTACTGGTGTAAATATACGAAAAAATAAGTCTGGACTCATCCATTGTATGGCGTTTGCGTATCTTTGGACCTAATATTATACAAATATATCATCTTCTCATTTATTCATCACTATTAGAATAGAATACATGCTAGGTGCTCCTAAATCTAACAGTAGAGAAAGACAATTTTTAAAAGATATATCACACAAAGGAGTAAGTGATCGTATCAAATTCTAGAAACTACAAATAATTGGCCATGGCTTATGTAGAAGATATGTGTGGAAGAATAGAACGGATAGAGACTGGAAAGTTAATGTAATTCATGCAATAACTAATAAACAATGTTTAACATGAGATATTTAGTGGAAATGTGTAACTCCTATTCTAGGTATCCATTCAATATTCACTTACTAGGGAAACACTGAGTACCTACTGTGTTAGGTAATATCTTTGCATTTGGGAGATAATTCTCCATGTGTCTCTTGTGTTTCTCCACGGTTTATGCATACAGGCATTGGTTGTTTTTCTTCCAGACTATCTTTTCATGAATGTTGGTATGGCTTAGAAGCAGAGCAAGTGTTGTCCTCCAGAGCAAATGACAGGTTTACTTTACTGTCCAGTGTAATAAAGATAGTATCTCCCTCAGAGACATTTATTACATTTAAAGAACAGATATAGGAAGTACATTGACATGGGTACTAAAGAATATGCAGCAGATTTTCAGGCAATCAAGACGAAGAAAGAAGTTTCAGGTAGGTGGATAATCATGCACAAAATTCACAAAGGAGTAAGTGATTGTACCAAATTCTAAAAACTACAAATAATTGGCTATGGCTTATATAGAAGATGTGTGTGGAAGAATAGGCAAGAGAGCAGATGAGCTTACTACCCATTATAGAAGATTCGGGTTCTCTAAGCTTACATTTCTTCTCCTGTGGCCAGATATATAACCCAATGTAGGTGCAGATTTCACCTGGCCTTCTTTGCTTCTTTGGGATTATGGTTCAGGAAACAGGCACAAGAAAATGTTAACTCTGGTTATTGCTATTGCTGTGGATAATAAAACCCTTTTTCTCTGGTCCAGGAGTCCCATCTCTTTTGCTGGGATCATGAAACTGGCAGGCTAGCTTATTAGCTGGCAAGTAGAGAAAAATCTTAGCCCCTTCATGGGTCTTAACATTGGTCTCTTCCTTTGCAGGAGTTGCTGACAAATAGTAAAGCTTATAGAAGTACTTCAAATTGCATCTGTGTCAAAATCATATGATTACAAAACCTGTTTATGACATGTAAAGGAGTAAACTGCTTCTGGTTCTTACATGAATACATGTTTTGTATAATATTTTTAACATCATTGACTGAATTTGTTTGGGAAAGTCAATCATTTCAGACAAGTTCTCCCATCCATTCTGATTGACTAGGGCAGATATTGGCAAATTATGGCCCCTTGGCCAAATCTGCACACTTAAGAGACTAGTTTCTCATCTAACAGAAACCCTTTAAAACAGTCTTCATTGAGGAAATAGATTAGTTCAATATTATAATATTTTTGCTACTCAAGTCCTGTACCAGCAGTACAAAGTCTCCCTGAGCTCCTATGTCATTAGCCATTTTTTTCCCAAGCTTTTAAAATCTGTTTAACATTCCTTGGCCACTAATACTTTTATGTATGTACTCAGTAGCTGTATGTACTCAGTAGCTGTATGTACTCAGCTTTTGCAGATCTCAGCTAGATCTCAGCTTTTGCAGGCCTGGCTCCTTTTTCTACATACCTGACGTGATGCTAGCCACATCACAATCATCTATCAACTGGCAGAACAGTGAGGGGATGAATAACTTTTGCAAATTTTAAATGCCATCTCTGCATTTATATAATTCTCAAATAAATAGTGTAAAATACTCATTTACAATACACACCTGTGAAGATGTAAAGCTTAATACTTCAAAACTGCATCCAAGTAAAAATAATATCACAGGGACAGGAATTGGAAAGTCTTCCAAGTGCCGGTTCAAAAATGCTGCAAAAAATATGTTGTTACTGAAAGGCAATGAGATATCTCATTTATAGAACTTTAATGTGACATGATTTCTTAAAATTGTGAACAATGTCTTACAGTTTCACTACTTTTCATGAGTTTAAAATCCTCCCTCACACTTATCAGCACACAGAATCAGTGTAACTGTTAATCTACCGGGTTACTGTTTTACCTCTCCTATGATGTATCTCATTCTCATCTCCTTAGAAACTTAACAAACATTACTAGCAATTATTGGCTCTTGGGTTACTATTGAAATATTTATAGTAGTTTTGTACACATTATAAATCAGAGATTAGTTTCTTTAGCAATCCTGCAATAAAAGATTAGTAAGTAAACTTTAATGAAATCTGGTTCAGGAACAATGAGAAACTAGACCAACTTAAAAAACTAGTTGTGGAATAGTGGGTTTTGCTGCAACTGGTTCATTTTCCTCCTGTTTTCACTAATTCTGGCACAATCCGACACCATCGCCCTTCTTGTAAGGCTGAGCCTGAGAATGCAAAGCAGAGAGGCAGGACCAAAATCGAGGTGAATCTGGGAACCTGATAATGGGTCTCCGGGTGCAGTCTCTGAAACTGGAGGATATTGGGAGAAAAGGCTCTCCGATGTGGAGATAATGGGGAAGCTCTTGGCATGGTTGGCTGCAGGTATGTGATCCTGGAGGAGCGGGAGTCAAATAGGATACACCGATTTTTAATTCAAGGAACACATTTCTGAAACACTTTGCCACAGTGAAGGAAATAAGGAATTGTACTCTCAGAGATTTTGGGAAAAGATGCATGGGTCTTAGAAGATAATTACTCAAAATATGCAGGGAAGGAATAAAAGTGAAGGGTGTTTTTCTTACAGAACATAATTTGTCATATTTATTTGATCAAGACGTTGAAGATTTATATCATAAGGATCTAGTCTGAAGCATTAAGAAGAATAAGACATCGGTTTGAAAAGAGTAATATGAATTTTGCTAAAATTGAAGCAAGAACAAACATCAAATTTATGTTGACACTTGGGTGGAAGAATGGTGACTTAATTGATGCTTTATGAAAAGTTTATATATGTTTGGAGACAATGCTCCAAAGAGAACAGTTTATAAATGAATAATTAGTTTTAAGAAGGGATATGTAATGTTGAAGAAGAAGCCCACAGTGGCGGATCATCCACATCAGATTGTGAGAAAAAAACTAATCTAGTTCATGGCCTAATTGAAGAAAACCAACAATTAACAGCAGAAATGACAACCAACACCATAGACACACCTTACACAATTCTGACCGGAAAAGTTCAACAAACTTTACACCTGAGAGGTACAAAAACCATTGCACCCAGATCAGCTACAGACAAGAGCAGAGCTTTCAATGGCCATTTTAATAAATGGGCTCATGATCTTGAAGCATTTCACTGAAAACTTGTAACAGGAGATGAAACCTGTCTTTACCAGTGCGATCCTGAAGACAAAGCACAATTAAAGCAATGGTTACCAAGATACAGAAATAGTTTAGTCAAACTACAAGTGGACTGGTTGAGAACAAAGGTAATGGCAACAGCTTTTGGATGCTCAAGGCATTTTGCTTGTTGACTTTCTGTAGTGCCAAAGAATGGCAACATCTGCTTATTATGAGAGTGTTTTGAAAAACTCAGCCAAAGCTTTAGCAGAAAAATGCCGGAGAAAGCTTCACCAGAGAGTTCTTCACCACAGCAATGCTCCTGTTCGTCCCTCTCATTAAACAAGGGCAATTTTGTGAGAGTTTTGATGGAAATCACTAGGCATTCACCCTATAGTCCCAGTTTGGCACCTTCTCACTTTTTTGTCCTAATCCTAATAATTTGTTAAGGGCAGTACATTGTTCTTCAGTTAATAATGAAAAAAAAAAACTGCATTGATGTGGTTAAATTTCCAGAACTCTCAGTTCTTTCGGATGGACTAAATAGCTGGTATCATCCCTTAGAAAAGTGTCTTGAACTCGGTCAAGCTAATGTTTAGAAATATAGTTTATACTTTTATCTTTTAATTCCATTTTTCCACAAATTTTTGAAGTCTCCTTGAATATTCACCCTTTATAGAGGGGAAAAATTATTGTGACTATTCATGTTAACTTAAATTAATGCTGACTTAATTTTCTATTTTGTAAATATACACAAACATAAAAATTGATACAAATTTTGTTTATAGCCCTTAACAAACAAATTTGTGAAATAAATGCATTCAGAAACAAACTAAAACAACATTAATGGAATGGATGCTACTGTTTTACCGAGGAGTAAACATGGTACTGGCTGCTATGGAAAAAGTTACAGTCATGTGCCTTGTGATGATCGTTTTGTCTACAACTTTACTCTTTGCAGACCTCAAGACTATTGAAATGAGGGGAGGGGATCTGAATTCCCAAAAGAATGTCGACTGGGCATGGAGGCTCATGCCTGTGATCCTTGCACTTTGGGTGGCCAAAGCAGAAGGATCCCTTGAGGCCAGGAGTTCCAGACTAGTCCTGGCAACAAAATGAAATCCTGTCTCTACAAAAAATAAAATAATTAATGAGGCATGGTTGTGTGTGCCTGTGGTCCTAGCTGCTTGGGAGGCTGAGGTGGGAGGATCACTTGCACCCGAGGTTTTGAAGCTGCAGTGAGCTGTGATTATTGCCACTACAATGGGTGACAGAGCAAAACCCTATCTCTAAAAAAAAAAAAAAAAAAGAATGTCTTTGTTCTATGCAAATCCTAATTTGAAGAATTCTGCATTAAATTCTTTCCAAACATTTTTCTAACTCCAGTAAGCAGTTCAGTTTTTATTTGATTCAGGATTAGGCTTTGACAGTAGTTAACTAAATTGGATTAAAAGTTTTGTGAACTCATAGGCAGTTTTGCTTTTTTTAGATACAGGCAGTCCTTGCTTTGCACAGTTCCAATATGCATAAATATTGGTTACCACAGTTAAGTTAAATAAAACCAGTCCAACAATGTGGTTAATATTTCCATGACCACAGTATTGAGAAAACTTGCATAAATTTTGCTGCCAGCTCTTTAGTCCACAAATCACTGTGCAAAAAAAAAAAAAAAAAGATGGGCATCATGATCGGTCGCCTATTACATTACTTCTTTCAAAGTTTGTTGGTGATTCGTTACTGATCATCTGTTCAGTTCATGCACAGATAGCAAAGCACAAAGTGCATAGTAGTGTTGCCTCCGCGACCCCAAGGATTAAACTCGTGACCATTTACAAAAATGGATAATCAAAAGAGGTAACTGGTTAGCAAGGGACAGGGCAGCAAAGAAAAGTGATAATGCTGGAAGTGAAATTGGATGTGATTAGATTTGAAAGTGGTGACAGCAAAGCAAAGATAGGTTGAGACCCAGACCTGCATGAAATTGTAATACAAACCTATTTTAAAAGTCTGATAAATGTAAAAAGGTAAAGTTGCTTCAACATCTTTCAGTTTTAGTTGCACTGGGAACAGAGAGCTGCTTGTGGTTGAAATGGAGCATTTACTTGTTTGGATTGAAGACTAATCAAAAACAAATCCCAATCAGTTTGACTAGCATTCAGGCCAAAGTGATAACTTTAGTTACTGCATTGAAAGAAAATGGTAATGACAAGAAGACTGAAAGAGAATATATTATTACCAGTAAAAGCTGGGTTCATCATTTCAGAAGTCGGCATGAATTGATGTTAAGCTATCTCATGAAGCTGCAAGCTTCAGATAGAATGTTACAGAAGATAAAGCTGACTATGGGAATGTTAACGCTGCTGCTGTTCAAGAGGCAGTTCTAGATATGTAGCCAGGGGAATTTAGCAAAGTCAAATGTATAGACATAAATTAAGAAAGTGGTTGTTATGTAAAGAACAACCATGTCTCAGGAAGTGATGCCAGCAAAAAACTTCACATTAAAGGAGCTCTCAGATACTTCATTACATTGAAAATGCAAAGGATAAACTTTTGGAAGCTGACCCAAAGTTAAGAAGGAGTGAGACAATTTGCCAAGGCATAGAAAAGATGAACACTAGTAAGTTATATGGTAAGACAAGCATTATTCAAACTATTCTTTATAAAATTATAAAGAAATGTTTTAGTGTTTCAATGTTTCTAATATTTTAAATTACTAAAATATTTTAAATTACTAAAAGTTTTATTAAGTATACTAAATAAATATTAGTTTTACATTATTAGAAAAAAATACAATTTTTCTTTTTTTTTTTTTTTTTTTGAGACAGAGTCTTGCTCTGTCACCCAGGCTGGAATGCAGTGGCATGATCTCGGCTCACTGCAAGCTCCGCCTCCTGGGTTCATGCCATTCTCCAGCCTCAGCCTTCTGAGTAGCTGGGACTACAGGTGCCTGCCACCATGCCTGGCTAATTTTTTGTATTTTTAGTAGAAACAGTGTTTCACCATGTTAGCCAGGATGGTCTTGATCTCCTGAAAAATATTTATAGCCAACAACAGGAGAGGTTTTTGTTTTGAGAAGGTGTGATGCTATGTCACCAAGGCTGGAGAGCAGAGGTATGATCTCGGCTCACTGCAACCTTCGCCTCCCAGGCTCGAGCGATCCTCCCACCTCAGTCCCCCAAGTAGCTGGGACCATAGGTGTGCACCACCACTCCAGGCTAATTTTTTTGTGTTTTTAGTAGAGACGGGACTTTGCCATGTTACCCAGGCCAGTCCTGAGCTCCTGAGCTCAAGCAATCTGCCCACCTTGGCCTCCCACAGTGCTGGGAGTATAGGCATCAGGCACCGTGCCCAGCCAGGAGAGTTTTTAATCTAGCAAATTTAAAAGTCACAGAACAATCATAAATTTTTGCATAGATTAAGATTACACTGCATAATTTCAGCTTGCATGCTCAAAGCCAGGACTCCTTGCGTGGAAAACAAGCAAGGGAGTCCGCATATTTAACCAGATGTAAATATGCACATCAAGTCTACAAACAGCTATATTTTTCCTTATGGTATTCAGTTATAATTTAACATTTACTTTTTATTTTTTTTCTTTGAGATAGGATCTAGCTCTGTCACCCAGGCTGGAGTGCAGTGGCATGATCTTGGCTCATTGCAATATCCACCTCCTGGCTCAAGCAGTCCTCCTACCTCAGCCTCCTGAGTAGGCGGGACTACTGGTGCGTGCTAACATGTGCAGCCAATTTTTGGTTGTTGTTGAGACGAGGTTTTGCTGTGTTCATGGGCCTGGTCTTGAACTGCTGGACTCAAGTGATCTGCCCATCTCAGCCTCCCAAAGTGTTAGTATTACAGGTGTGAGCCACTGGACCTGGCCTAACAGTTAGTTTTCATATTGCTTTTATGTGTTGCTATATCAAAAGCTTTGAAATAAAATTTTTATAATACTGTGAAAAAAATTACTTATTACACATTAAAAAGCCCATAACAAATATTTAACTTTGTGTATTATTGTTTTAAAAGTGCAATAAGTAATATCATAACATTTGCTTCCATTTCATTTTTTTCTGCTTCTTTGTAATACAGTCCCTAATCAGGTCAAAGATAGTGCAAAAAGTGTTTTCTTTTTGTTTATACCATGTTCTTTTCTTCTCAAAATAGCAGGCATAATTTATAATTTGGACAAAACCTATGGGACACCCTGCCCCAACCCTTGATTTTCTGCCTGTTTTCTTCAATTATCTCCTTCATTGAAATCTGACCCTGACATAGCAAGTAAGAAGGTATGAATGAACACTTTGAACCCAATAGGATGAATGTTATGAAAATCAGATTCTACACGTCTCTCCATAGGAGCAAATTATTATTGGATTCATTTGATTGAAAATATTGAGCTAAAGGTATAAGTTTGAGAACAAAATTATATCCTATTACTTCTACTTTCCTTAATTCTATATGGTAGCATTTATAAGATGTACCGGAAGAATAAACTCAGATAAAGAGAGAGTGATACTTACCTCCAATGGAGCTGATCAAAGACAATGTTAGAATGACTTCAGGGAGGTCCTCAGTACTGAAAAAAAACTCCTTAAATATTCCAGCCATGTTTCAGAAAAATTTTTATGCAGATTTATGTTAGAAGCAATCTCCATATGATCATCCATCTTGTTGTTTTTCACAGTCCATCTGAATCTAAGAAACATAAGATTTGCCTTCTTGGTGGCCTTCTAATAATTTTCTAAAAAAGAAAAAAAGCCCTATTCTCCTTTAATTATTTCTAGTGATTTCTCGTGGTCTGCCAAATTTAGGGATGCCTCTCCCTTCTATGATGCTTTCAAGTTAATGTAATAAAAAAGTCAGAACCCCAAGTGATAGAGACTACCAGTGTTACCTTATGTTTACTTACAATGCCAAGCACTACGCACTTGTTACCCACTCTGAATCCATCCAACTGTCTGAAAGAAGGATTCTCCATCTAACTATTCACACTCACCAATGTGGTCATTGGAACCACAAGCTGGTGCAGGTTACTTAGCTCTGTGGAAGGACAACAAAGGGTTTTGTCCTCAGATTATCTAAGCCTCTGCAAGCATGTTCTGACAGCTATTCCAAAGTAGGAGGAAAAGCAGGGAAGAATATTTGGATCTCTTTTGTTGTTTTATCCAGACAGAAATTAATAAATCATGATGATATCCAATCACAGCCTTCTTTGATCTCATTTGGGACACTGACAGACCAGGTGTTCTCTAAATTTATATGTGTATATAGCAACCAAGAATGTAAGAAAAATATTAAAACCAAAAAACTTTCTTAAATCAGGGAAATTGTTACATGTTCTATTTCTTTGTTACTTCTTGGAAGAGGAACAAGAGGGGCCTTGATAAGAGTTTGAAACAATAGACAGTTAACCACAGTCAGGCAATCTCGCCTGCTTCCCATGGAAAGGAAAGTTTTACATCAAAGGTCTTACATTTCACACAGGATATTATGATTCTATCTCTCATAATGGTAGCTTGACATTTTTTAGTGCCTTCTATCAGCATCTCATATGGCTGCCTTACTAAGAAATTATAATTCCTGGCCGGGCACGGTGGCTCACGCCTGTAATCCCAATACTTTGGGAGGCCGAGGCGGGTGGGTCACGAGGTCAGGAGATTGAGACCATCCTGGTATGGTGAAACCCGGTCTCTACTAAAAATACAAAAAATTAGCCGGGCATGGTGGCGGGCGCCTGTAGTCCTAGCTACTCGGGAGGCTGAGGCAGGAAAATGGCGTGAACCGGGGAGGCGGAGCTTGCAGTGAGCCGAGATCGTGCCACTGCACTCCAGCTTGGGCCACAGAGCAAGACTCCGTCTCAAAAAAAAAAAAAAAAAAAAAAGGAAAAGGAAAAGAAATTACAATTCCTCTCATAACCTGGCAAATTTTTTTTTCAGTTTCATACACACACGCACACACACACATCATATATACATATGATATATATATGTTTTCTTATGTCTTCCTTTTTATTATAAAACAATATTTTGAAGGGGAAAATAAATACATGTTTATTGTGAACACTTCTTGAAATAAATATGTAAACAAGTATTTCAAAAGCAGAAGAGAAATGACCCAAAATCATATCATCTAGTGGCTCTTACAGGTTTTATTTGCATTGTTGGGCTCATCCTTTTACGATTAAATTTTGTGCTGTTTTCCTCTTATTATTGTATCACCAGCATCAAAAGCCTTATAGATAACATTCACAAAGCTTGTAACATATTACCACCAAGGTAAAAGTGCATACTCTGGCTGGCATACTGGCCCATGCCTATAATCCCAACATTTTGGGAGGCCAAGATGGGAGGATCCCTTGAGGCCAGGAATTCAAGACCAGGCTGGGCAACATAGCAAGCCTCCATTGCTACAAAAAATAAAAAACTTACCTCAGTGTGGTGCTCGCCTATGGTCCTAGCTACTCAGGAGGCTGAGGGGGTGGTGGGACATTGTTTTGAGCCCAGGCATTCAAGGCTGCAGTGAACTATGATCGTGACACTGCATTCCAACCGGGGTGACAGAGTGATACCTTGTCTCTAAAACAAATTTCAGAATCTGCGGTCAGACTACTTGCATTCGTAGGTCTGATGGGCTTCTGCTTGTAGGTTGAAAGACTCAGGGTAGCTTACTTTAACACCACTGGCCTCAGTTTTCAAATCTGTATAATTTTCTAGTCTGTGTAATTTCTCTCCCTTTATTTATTATTTTTTGGAATTACCTAAGGAGCTATAATGATACTTGGTGCCTACGTCCTATCTCCAGAGATTCTGATTTAATTCAGTCTGGTTTGCAGCCTGGGCTCTTCAGGTAATTTTAATTTAACCCAGCCAAGGTTAGCAACCACTGTGATCCGCTCAATTCAGACAACATTGCTCAATTTTTAGTCTCAAAGCCAGCTTCTTTTCAATATTCTTGGTGAGGTTTTGTGAGAAAGGCTGTCAATGCCCTTCAGCCAAATGTTACCAGAAATACATCTGTAGTTAACAAGTTTTGTTTGTTATTTATTTGTTGCGGTGAAGGAGATGACTCACCATGGGAAACCATGGGGTATATCAGCAAAAGAGTGTTAGAAATAACCTATTAGAGGATCTGCGCTTTGTCTGGGTAATTTTGGAAAAGGTCTATGGAAGTGAGGGTTCACTTTAGGTAAGGTGCTGTCAGAAAGTGAGGACAATTCCGTGATTGAGTATTCAATAAAACTTTACTATAAGGAGGGTAGACTAGAGCTAAGATACAGCTGTGATGGGCACAGAAGCAGCAGTCACTCATTTTAGCTGAGACTGAGGGTGTTTGGTGTTGTATAGGTTGCACAACAACCTTTGTGTCTCATTTTGCTAAGGTTTGAAGTGACTTTGTCTGATGTTGATGTTCTGTGGGATCATTTATGTCAAAGAGGAGAACAACATTGGCGCAGCTGTGAGCCTAAGGCCAGCCTGGAGCAACATACTGAGTCCTATCTCTGAGTATTAGATCACTTCCTGGATTTGGGGGTTGTTTTGGGTTTTGTGTTTGGTTCTTTTCCTCAAAGGATTTCTAAATTTTTTAATGTTACCTAAACATATCAAGAACTGTAGGTAGACCTGAAGATCTCGAATGTAATATAAGTGACAGAGAAGAGTGAGCTCAGCTATGTCTCTTAACAGACATTCTCAACCTTGGCCACACATGGAATCACGTGGCAAGTTTTAGAAAATACTGATGCCTTGGTGCCCACCCTCCAAGGTTAATTTAATTCTTCTGGGGTGCAGCTTGAGTACTGGGAACTCTAAAAGCTTTCCAGTGATTCTAATGAGCAACTGGTGTTTAGAAACACTGCTCCAGGGGAAGCCCCTGCCATTAGGAAAGAACATTTTGGTCAATTAGTAATATTTGCTCTTAACATCAAACTATTGAGAAAAATATTGTCAATGTCACCTCTTAACTTGCCCACTCTTATGCCAAGACTAAGCATCCTCGAGTATACAGGCTAGACGAAATAAGGAAAATTATTTTCTGTACCACAGTTACACATTCCTACATGCTTTCTGAATTTAATATAGTTAAGAAGTCTATTGTTTTCCAAACTAAGAATACATGTTCCCATGAGCATTTTTATCATTTCTAAAATTATTTAAAAATTGTAATAAGTGTTTACACATTCAATTATAATAAATTTTTTTTTCAGAAAATAATAAAATTGTGCTGTGGTCTGAGAGAGTGGTTATTGTGATTTCAGTTCTTTTGCATTTGCTGACAAGTGTTCTTTGTTTGACCGTATGGTTGATTTTAGAGTATGTGTCACGTGGCAATGAGAAGAATGTATACTCTTTTGTTTTTGGGTGAAGAGGTCTGTAGAAGTCTACAGGTTCATTTGAGCCTGCTGAGTTTAGGTCCTGAATATGTTTGTTAATTTTCTGCCTTGATGATCTGTCTAAAACTGTCAGTGGGATGTTGAAGTCTCCCACTATTATTATGTGGGAGTGTCAGTCTCTTTGAAAGTCTCTAAGAACTTGCTTTATGAATCTGGGTGCTCCTGTGTTGAGTGGATATATATTTAGTTAGGTATTGTTAAATTGAACCCTTTACCATTATGTTATTACCTTCTTTTCCTTCTTTTTTTTTTTTTTTGATCTTTGTTGGCTTAAAGTCTGTTTTGTCTGAAATCAGGATTGCAACCCTTGCTTTTTTCTGTTTTACATTGGCTTGGTAGTTTTTCTCCATCCATTTCTTTCGATCTTGCATGTGAGATGGGTGTCTTGAAGACAGCATACCATAGGGTCTGGGTTCTTTATTCATCCTGACACTCTGTGCCTTTTAATTGGGGCAGTTAGCCCATTTACTTTCGAGGTTAGTATTGATACATGTGGATTTGATCTTGTCAGCATGATGTTAGCTGGTGATTATGCAGACTTGACTGTGTGCTTGCTTTACAGTGTCACTGGTCTGTGTACTTAAGTGTGTTTTTGTAGTGGCTGGTAATGGCAACATCATTCTTGACATAGGAGTGGGCTAAGGTTTCACGACAAAGACATCAAAAGCAATCACAACAAAAGCAAAAATTAACAAATGGGATCTAATTAAACTAAAGAGCTACTGCACGCAAAAGAAACTATCAACAAAGTAAACAGATAACCTACAGAATGGGAGAAAATTTTTGCAAACTATGCTTCTGACAAAGGTCTAATATCCAGCATCTATAAGGAACTTAAAATAATCTACAAGAAAAAACAACCAGCCCCATTAAAAAGTAGGCAAAGGACAAGACACTTCTAAAAAGAAGACATACATGCTGCCAACAAGCATATGAAAAAAAAAGCTTAACATCACTGATCATTAGAGAAATGCAAATCAAAACCACAAGGAAGGTACCATTTCACACCAGTCAAAATGGCTCCTATTAAAAAGTCAAAAAATAACAGATGCTGACAAGGTTGTGGAGAAAAAGGAATGCTTATACACTGTTGGTGGGAATGTAAATTAGTTCAACCACTGTGGAAAACAGTGTGGTGATTCCTCAAAGACCTAAAAACAGATCTAACATTTGACCCAGCAATCCCATTACGGGGTATAAACACAAAGAAATGTAAACTGTTCTATCATAAAGACATATGCATGCGTACATTCATTGCAGTACTGTTCACAAAAGCAAAGTCATAGAATCAACCCAAATGCCCATCAATGGTAGACTAGATAAACTAAATGTGGCACATATACACCATGAAATACTATGCAGCCATAAAAAAGAATGAGATCATGTCCTTTGTAGGAACATGGATGGAGCTGGAAGCCACTATTCTTAGCAAACTAATGCAGGAACAGAAAACCAAATACTGCATGTTCTCACTTATAAGTGGAAGCTAAATATTCAGAACACGTGGACACATAGAGGGGAATACACTGGGGCCTACTTGAGGGTAGATGGTGGGAGGAGAGAGAGGATCAGGAAAAATAACTAATGGGTGCCAGGCTTAATAGCTGGGTGATTAAATAATTTGTACAACAAATCTCCATGACATGAATTTACCCATATAACAAACCTGCACATGTATCCCAGAACATGAAAGTTAAATTATAATCACATTAATAATAATAAAATTACCACGAATCCTGTTTACTCTTAAATTCAGAGATATATATGATCAAATTCAACACAATTTATCTCTCTGGCTATGCATATGTGATAAATACCATTTGGCTTCCCCAACCTCTACTCCAAAATCTCATAAGAAATCTCTATTTGAGAATAGATGTCATCTTAAAATAGTTTTAAAAATACTAACATTACTGTAGCTTAATATGTTAAATGTATGGGTAAGGAAATAGCTATGAGAATAAACAGGTTTTCTTTTTTTTGTTTTTTGAGACGGAGTCATGATCTGTCGCCCAGGCTGGAGTGCAGTGGTGCGATCTCGGCTCACTGCAAGCTCTGCCTCCCGGGTTCACACCATTCTCCTGCCTCAGCCTCCCGAGTAGCTGGGACTACAGGCGCCAGCCACCACGCCCGGCTAATTTTTTGTATTTTTAGTAGAGACGGGGTTTCACTGTGTTAGCCAGGATGGTCTCGATCTCCTGACCTTGTGATCTGCCCGCCTCGGCCTCCCAAAGTGCTGGGATTACAGGCGTGAGCCACCACGCCCGGCCACAGGTTTTCAATATAATTAGAACTCTTCATCTTAAGCTGACTTTTGACAGCTTTGTAAAAGTCTGTGAGTCCAAATCCCATTAAAGAAAAAAATATTGGTTTATCACATAGGTCCTCTGCATTAATTTAACAATAAGTTAGTTGACTGAGCACAGTGGCTCACGCCTGTAATCCCAGCACTTTGGGAGGCCTAGGCGGGTGGATCACTTGAGATCAGGAGTTCGAGACTAGCCTGGCCAAAATAGTGAAACTGTCTCTACTAAAAATACAAAAAAAAAAAAAAAAAAATTAGCCAGGTGTGGTGGCACATGCCTGTAATCCCAACTACTTGGGAGGCTGAGACAGGAGAATCAATTGAAGAGGCAGAGATTGCAGTGAGCCTAGATTGTGCCACTGCACTCCAGCTTGGGTGACAGAGTGAGACTCTATTTCAAATATATATATATATATATATCTCTCATGTTAGCTAATATCTCAATTCTCTTTGTGTGTGGAGGAAATTAATGACTGCCCTCTCAAAAATGACATGAATTTGTCCTTGTCAGTCAGCCAGCATTGAGAAATTTTGTCTCATGAACCGTAAGTCACACTAATTTACCATGTTACTGAACATGGAAACAGTCTTCTTCCTTCAGATTGGAACGTTTTGCAAGAATTAGGTGAAGAAAGCATCCTGAAGAGGGCACTGTGGGATCTCAGTAATCTTCACAGCTACAAAGCTCATGCTTAATGGTTTATTTTATATTGATACCAGAGGCTGGATTGTCTCCTTAGTAAACTCTCCTACCACACAACGCAGACATCTTACTGACTCTGAAGGTGGGTGGGCTATTGCCCTCCTAATGCCCCTCCACTCAGAATGAGCCCTTCCTCCAGCTCAAGATCAGCTCCACACACCTGAGGCGATTCCCTGAACCAGTGAGCTTTCCCCTAGGGCTGGACTTTTCAGTTTCAGTAACGCAAAGGGAACACATGCCACTGGATAGTTCACAAAGAGTTGATGTAAAAAGCATAATGGAGGAGGGGAAGCAGCTAAGGGGTAGAAGTTCAAACCGAGAAGCTAGCTGATCTTTGGGAAAGTGTTCCATGGTCTGCCACAAGAAAGGCAGAAGCGCCAAGAGGGAGTGGCTGAATCTCTAGCAGGAAAACAGTGGGAGCCTTTGTTCATCTAGGAGGCGAGACTGAGAGAGAAAGTACCAGTAGGAAAGGTCAACTTCCAGAAAAGGAAACTAGAGACTGGAGAGCTCACCATCCGGAGCCTCAGGAGGAGTATCCCGTGGTGTGCAAGTGAGAAGTGGGGGGCAGCTATTTCGCTCACAGCCAAACAGCCCAGACCAACTGCAACCTCACTGACAGTTACTTGCTCCAAACTCGCCCCTAGTCTGCACCGGTTAGCTTCAGGCCCATCATCTCTTACTTGATTGGCTGATGAAATGCAACGTCATTGCTCCTGTATATCTCAGGCATTTGACGGCTTAAGGCTTTGTTTTATTTTTTAAAAATAAACAAATAAGGGGTGAAAATGAACCTACAGAAATTGCGCCATTGTGTTAATTTAAGACTTTGGGACAGTGGATTTCTGACAAAGAGCTGTTGGACACTGCTTTCCCAGAATTCTAGTAAAAGGAAGTTTCCTGGATAAGATAGTGTGGTAGAGATATGAGGACGCAGGTTGCTGGGTTAGGGAAAAAGTGAATGGATATTGTGGGCATGTAAGAGAATGAAATCAAGATGACAAGGTGAACTTTCACTCTGGGTTATATGTGAGGAAATTTTCAGGAATAATGATATACTCATTTGTTTTTTCTAAACATAATATGTAAAAAATATTTTAATTGAAATTACTTAGTTATTACTATAGAGCCAACTTTTCACATTCCTACTCTCATAAAATATCTTAAAGTTATTTAAAATTGTATTTAATGTTTTGTTCTCTGTGTTTCATCTCTTTCTCCCGACCCACACGTTTATAAGTGAATGGTGGTAAAATTCCCAACTCTTCATTTGGCCTCCTCTGATACTACCCTGATGAAGAAGGCAGGAGGCAACTTGTTTGGCTGGGTTGGAGCAGAAGTCCAGGCTCCCTACATGGTCTCCAACTGAGGCATGGGGTGCATCTTTATGGCCTGGTTGTTATGGAAGTTCCAGCTCCCACAAGGCCTTTTCTGATACTGCTCTGGTTGGGGTGGGGAAACAGGCAGGGTTCTGGCATCTTGTATGGTATGGGTGAAGTTTAAGCTTCCTACTCAGTCTTTGCTGGTATGTGGGTACAGGGAGTGGGTGAACACTTTTCTGTGGTGTTTGGTTAAAGTAGAGCAGTTACTGGTGAAATTTTCTGTCTTGCTGGGCTGCCCCTTTTCTTGGGTCTTTAAAAAATCTATTCTCGGCCAGGTGCAGTGGCTCATGCCTGTAATCCCAGCACTTTGGGAGGCCGAGGCAGGTGGATCACCTGAGGTCAGGAGTTCGAGACCAGCCTGACCAACAAGGTGAAACCCCGTCTCTACTAAAAATACAAAAATTAGCCGGGCATGGTGGCAGGCGCCTATAGTCCTAGCTCCGGGAGGCTAAGAAAGGAGAATCACTTGAACCCGGGAGATGGAGGTTGCAGTGAGCCGAGATTGCGCCACTGCACTCCAGCCTGGGAGACAGGGTGAGACACCGTTTCAAAAAAAAAAAAAAAGGATTCTCATTGTTGGAAATACATGCCACATATCTGTGTGTGGGTTGTGGTTCATGTGTGGATATATATTTAAAAATTAATTAAGTTGCAAAGCTAATATTTGCCACATTATGTATTTGTTTATATACATATGTCTTGCTAAGTTTATATATATATATATATATATATATATATAAATAAAACAGGAAATGTAAATGTTGTCTAATATTTCTCTTTAGCAATATACTCTAATGACCACACACTGGACATCCTTGTAATCCAGAATCATTCACCTTTTTTTTCCAAGAGATGGGATCTCACTCTGTCACTCAGGCTGGAAGGTAGTGGTATGACCATAGCTCCCTGCTACCTTAAACTTCTGGGCTCAAGCAGTCCTCACACCTGAACCTCCCAAGTATTTGGGTGAATACTTCTACAGGCATGTCACCACACCTAATTTTTTAATTCTTTTTGTAGAGATGGAGTCTTGCTATGTTGCCCAGGCTGGTCTCAAACTCCTGGCCTCAAGCCATCCTCTCCTCAGCCTCCCAAAGTCCTGGGATTATAGGCATAAGCCACCTCCCATGGTATCAGTGGAGACCATGCAGGGAGCAGTAATAGGACACCCTTCTCTTTCCCATCCAGGGGGCTATCATCAGAGACCTAGTGAAGAGCCTGAAGCCCCACTCCTACCTAAGCAGTAAGAAGACACCCCTTCTTCGGCTGTGTGTCAATGAAGACTGAGTAGAGAACTTGAGCTTTTATTCCAACTTGCCTACAAGAGGTGACCCCACTTCTCCTGCCAGAACAGTGTCAGAGGATGCCTGGTAAAACCCAGGATTTAAATAAGATCCAGTATCTTATAATATCTGCAATGTCCAAATAGAAATTGAAAATCGCTCATCATACCAAGAACCAAGGTGATCCCAACTTGAATGAGAATGGACAATAAAAGACACCAACCCTAAGATTACAAAAATGTTAGAATTATCTAAAAAGGATTTTAACATAGCCATCATAAAAATATTTCAGCAAATGCTAATAATTATGAACAGTATTGAAATAGATGAAAAAATAGAAAGTCTGGGCAAAGAAGTAAAGTTCCAGGGAAAAAAATAGGTGATATAAAGGGAAGCCAAATGAAAATTACAGATGCAAAAAATACAACAACAAATTCTAAAAAAAAAAAAAAATCAGCAAATGGACTGCCTTGCACCTCTCTTGTTAAACTTATTCCTGGTCATTTAATTCTTTTTTTTTTTCCTTGCAATCACAATGGAACTGGGTTTTTAATTTTATTTTTGCATTATTCATTGCTAGTGTATAGAAGTACAACTGATTTTTCTGTATTAATCTAGTATTCTATAACCTTGGTGAACTCATTTATAGGTCAGTGCCAAAGTAATGGCAAAAACCGCAACTACTCTTGCACCAACCTAATATTAGCTCTAATAGGCCTTTTGTAGATTTTTAGGGGTTTCCGTATATAGGGTCATGTCATCTGCAAATAGATATACTTCACTTCTTGTTTTCCAAACAGTATCCCACTCCATCCCCCACCTTTTAAAAAATCTTGCCTAATTGGCCTGGCTGGAATTTCAAATACACTGTTTAATAGAAGTAGGGAGAACAGACATTCTTGTCTTGTTCCTGATCTTAGGGAAAAACTTTTTCACCATTAAGTATGCTGTTAGCTGTGGGTTTTTCATACATGACCTTTATTGATTCAAAGTAGTTTCTTTCTATTACTAGGGGGTTTTTTTGTTTTGTTTTTTGTTTTTAGTGTTTTTTTGCTTGTTTGTTTGGTTTTTTCTTTTTTTTTTTTGAGACGGAGTCTCGCTCTGTCGCCCAGGCTGGAGTGCAGTGGTGTGATCTCGGCTCACTGCAAGCTCCGCCTCCTGGGTTCATGCCATTCTCCTGCCTCAGCTTTTTAATCATATAAAGGTGTTAGATTTTGTCAATTGCTTTGTCTGCATGTATTGAGATTATCAAAAGCTTTTCTCCCTTATGGTGCATTACCTTGATTTTCATTTGTTGAACCAAACCTACATTCCTGAGATAAATCCCACTTGAACGACATGTAAATTTCTTTTTTATATGCTGCTGGGTTCAGCTTACTAGCATTTTACTGAGGATTTTTGCATCTACACTCTCAAGAGATAATGATCTATAGTATTTTCTTGTGAATTTTTTGTCTGGCTTTGGTATCAAAGCCTCAAAAACTGAGTTAATAACTATTTCCTTCTCTTCTACTTGTTGCTGTTATTGTTATTGTTAGGATTTGTGAAGAATTTGTGTTACCTCTTTAAGCATTTGGTAGAATTCACCAGTGAAGCCATCTGGTGGCTTCTTTTTTGTAACACATTTTTTGATTACCAACTCAATTTTGTTACTTGTTATAGTTATATTTACATTATCTATTTTTAGTCAGTTTTGCTTGTTTCATTTTCTATTTCTCCCTCCACATCTGCTCTAATCTTTATTGTTTCCTTCCTTTGCTGGTTTTGAATTCAGTTTGCTCTTCTTGCTCTAGTTTCATAAGGTGGAAGATTAAGTTATTGGTTTGAGATTCTTCTTTTTATTGACTATATCTATATATATTTATGATGTGCAATGTGGTGTTTTGATATGTGTATATATTGTGGAGTAATTAAATCAGGCTGATTAACATATCTATCCCTTCACACATTTATTATTTTTTGTATGTGTAGGTGATATACTTAAAAATCTATTCTCTTAGGAATTTTAAATTTATACACTGTATTATTAACTATAGTCACTATGTTGCACGATAGATCTCGGGAACTTATTGCTCCTGTTCAACTGAAAGTTTGTACCCTTTGACCAACGTCACTCTATTTCCTTTTTCCTCCATCCTCAATCCCCTAGTAAACACCATTCTAATCTCTACATTTTCATTTCTCTACCCCCTCCACATATAATGCTATTGATATCAGTTTACATCTTTTACACATTATTTCCATGACCAAATTTTTGTAGTTATAGTAATTTTTAATACTTAAAAAATCTTTTACACTGGATCAAGTCTAATTTATGTGCCACCTTTACAGTATTTAGCATATCCTAAATTTGACTATATTCTTACCTTTATACTGAGTTTTGTACTTTTATGTTTTCATGTTATTAGCATTATTTTGTTTCAACTGAAATAACTCCCTTTATCATTACACGTAAGGCAGGTGTCGTGGTGGGTGAACTCCCAAAGCTTTTTTATATGGTTACTAAAGTCATTTAGATGTTCTACAATGTTTTCTTTTAAAACACTGTATTTTGCACTTTGGGAGACCAAGGTGGGAGGGTTGCTTGAGTCCTGGAGTTTGAGGCCAGCCATGGCAATACAGTGAGACTTCATTTCTACAAAAACTTTAAAAATTAGACAAGCATGGTGGTACATATCTACAGTCTCAGCTACTTGCTACTCAGGAAACTGAGGTGGGAGAATCACATGAGCCCAGGAGGCAGAGGTTGCAGTGAGCTGAGTTTGCACCACTGCATGCCAGCCTGGATGACAGAGCAAGAGCTTATCTCAAAAAAACAAACAAACAAACAAACAAAAAAGCTGTGTTTTATCTTCACATTTAAATCTTCAGTGCATTTGAAATAGGTTTTTGTCTCCAGTCTTAGGTAGGGGTCAATATATAATATATAATTTTTCCACATGGATATTCAATTGACACAGCATCTTTTATTGGAAAGATCATTTTTCTCTAATCTGATACACTGTTTTATTTGTATATATATATATCTATCTATATATATATATATCAGGTGACTATATTTGTGTGTCTTTTTCTGAATCACTATTGTATTGTATTTTCTTATCCTTAAATCAATATCACATTGTATTACTTTAGCTTTATATCTGGAACAGAGGTAAGTCTTATGTTCGTTATCTTGGCTTTTTCAGAATCAGCTTGTCAATTTTCACAATTAAAAATTTTTTAAAAACTGGTTGAATTTTGATTAGGTTTGTACTGAATCGAAAAATTAGCTTGGAGAGAACTGACATCTTTATGCCTTTCCCTGTGTATGAATATGTTATATCTTTCCATTTATTTAAGTCTTTAATTTTCTCAGAAATATTTTGCAGGTTTTAGTGGAGAAGTCTTATAAATCTTTTAATGTATTTTTTTGTACAGATACTTTTATTTCTTTTTATTTTGGAGATGAGCTGTTGTAAATGCTATATTCAAGTGTTTGTCTTCTATGAGCTTATTGAAGATATATAGAAAAACAATGCTTTTTTTTAAAGATACTATTTTTTAGAACAGTTTTAGGTTTATAGAAAAATGGAAAAGATAGTACAGCATTCTTATGTACTCCCTTCTCTAGTTTTTTTTCTATTATTGACATCATACCTTAGCATGATACGTTTCTTAAAATTAATAGACCAAATTCGATACATTTTTCATAACTAAAGTTCACAGTCCATTCTGATTTCCTTAGTTTTTACCTAATGTCTTTTTCTATACCAGAGTGCCAACCAGAATATCGCATTGCATTTACTTGTCATGTCTACTTAGGCTTCCCTTGGCTCTGATAATTTCTCAGAATTTCCTTGTTTTTGATGACTTTGACTATTTTGAGGAGTCAAGTATTTTGTAGAATTACCCTCTCTCAGAGCCTGTCTGATGTTTTTCTCATTATTAGACTGGGGTTATGGGTTGGCAGAAAGTCCACAGAGGTAAGGTACCATTTTCATCACATCTTGTCAAGTGTGTGCACTGTCAATTCTTATGTTTGCATAGATACACTTATAATACAGTTAGATTTTCAGGTTAAAGTCTGCACTCCTTGGAATTCCTAAATTTCTTTTTCTCATATCTTAAGGTAGAAGCTTATTGATTTAAATCTTTCATCTTTTCTAATATATGCATTTAGTGCTATATATTTTTCCTCTGAACACTGCTTTTACTGCATCTTACAAATTTTGATAAGTAGTATTTTTATTTTCATTTAGTTAAAATATTTTTAGGGTTTTTTTTGAGATTTCCTATTTAACCCATATGTTATTTAGAAATATATTGTTTAATATCCAAATATTTGGGGACTTTCCATTTATCTTTTTGTTATTTCTAGTTTAATCCCATTGTGGTCTGAGAACACATTTTGTATGTTAAAGTGTTGTTTTAACTCCCAGAATGAGTTCTAGGTTGGTTAACGTCCTGTGTGAATTTGAAAAGAATAAATATTCTGGTGTTTTTGGATAAAGTGATCTTAATGATATTAAGTTGATTGATAGTGTTTTCAGGTCAATTACATCCTTCCTGATCTCTTGGCAGCTTGATCTATTAAGGGATGTTGAAGTCTCTGGCTACAATAGATTTGTCTGTTTTTCCTTGTGGTTCTATCAGTTTTTGCCTCACATATTTTTAACATCTACTGTTAGGCACATACATATTAAAAATTATTGTCTTCTTAGAGAATTAACCCCTTTATTGTTACATGATGCCCTCTTCTATCCCTGAAAATTTTTCTTGTTTTGAAATCTGCTTTGTCTAAAGTTAATATAGCTACTGCAACTCTCTTTTGATTAGTGTTAACATGGTATTTTTTTTGGCTCCTTTACTTTAAATTTATCTGTGTCTTTATATACAGTCATTCCTTGGTATCCATGGGAGATTGGTTGCCTTCTCCCCAGTACTCTACACTACTGTAGAGATGAGGGCTCAAGTCACTTATATAAAATGGTGTAGTATTTGCATATGACCTACATACATTCTATCATATACTTTGTTTTAAACATTTTTTATAACATTAATATTTATTGCTTTATATGAATACTGTATTGAAAGCCCAAGCATTCCATTTACTCACAGAAACTGTACAATTATATATTACTTCATAAATGCAATGAACACATTACAGTCTACAAAATCAGAAATTACAGAAGTTTAAAAATTCTGAGTATCAAATAATACAGATGAAGAAATAGACATAAATATGGCAGCCCATAATTTTGACAAAGAAATTGTAGCCTCCCTGACTTTAAATATGTGAATTTGAAAATACTGAGTTTGGAGTAATCATTGTGCTTTGTGTTGGTCTAAAAAATATAACACTGGCTGTCAAATCAGCATGTCTGAAAATATTTAATTCACTTCCAAATGTCATACAAATTATTGTGGCTTCTATGTACCCTAAGGCTTCAGTCATTTAGCTCAGGTACATTACTAAAAGTAATATATCAATTCTTCCAGTACAGTGATGTTTCACATCATTCACATTTGCATACTCTGGAATAAAATAGAAAGTAATGTGTTATATTCAAAATATTCAGAAAAGCAAGCAAAAGGTCAAGGAAACTGCTGGTTATTCTGAAATAATCTTGTGTTGAGGTGAGAAATTAAAGAAAAATAAAATTAAAAAGAGAAAAAAGTTTTCCTGTTTTAGGCTAACTTGTCCAAGAGGCAGCAACAGGCACAGCCCAGACCTAGGAAAAGTCTTGATAATATTATCTAATGTGCTCTGGAGACTCTCCCAGCACCCCCTCAACACAGGGAGAAGAAAAACAAATTTTCCTTTGCTTTATGGAATGAGTTTATAGATTCTTGTTGTCTGTAACTAGTGATTTTAAGTATTCTGTTTTATCTAAGAAGTACAAAAAAAGTCATGAGAAGCCTGAGTAGGCCTGAACTACAGCTGCCTGGGCCCCACAGTGAAGGTTATAGGATAAGCCCCTGCACAGGCAAACCTAGATAAGGAACATCTGGGTTGCTTGGCAACGGTCATATGCAATCCTGTCTTTGTCCTGCCTCTGGATCCCTCCTTTCATGCCACTGTAAGCTTGCTTCAAGCTAGCCCACCCCGTTTTGTGAAGTGTGTATGAAAGTCAGGTGCTGTCTTTGTTCTGGGCCCAGCCTTTTGGACATGAGTCAGCTGGGCCTGAGTGCACTCAATAAAGATTCTCCTGTTTCAACCCAAGGTCTCTCTCGTCCTCCTGAATCCCGCAACATTTCTGGTGAGTCAGCCAGGAGGCCGTGGAGAGGACAGGTTGGCTGTCTCCTTTGCCTGTAGGTGGTCTGGGGCCCCAGCAGTGGGAGACCTGTAACTTCAGGCACCACTGGAAGAACTTAAGCCCAGAGAAGGAAACGGCTCTTCCACTCCCCAGCGCCCCTCCCCAGATGGTGCATCAGAACCTGGAGGGTTGCAGGACAATCTCAAGAGCAGCAGGCAGACATCTGAACCGTGGTAAGGTTTTGGGGCCCAAGGCAGGGAAGCCCGTCCCCTAAGGACAAAGGGGAGCTTGATCACTTCCCAGGGAATGACCACTAATCCAACCCAGAGCGGTTGGGGGCGGCAGGAGAGTCTTGCCCATTTGGATGAACCTCTTGTCCCCACTAACAAAGTGAAAGTGGTTCACTGGATCTGGAGACAGGAACTGGAAAAGGGGAGGAAATGGGCCAATAGAGCGGCAAGTGCAGCAAGGTAGAGATTGCTGGCAGGGTGGCAAGAGTGGCTTGCCACCCCAACTGGGAGTGTGTGGGTGCATGTGAACCCACCCGGGACACGAGAGACACTTGTTTCATCTGATGAGGAGTCCCGGGGCAGGGGAGGTTTGTGAAAGTGTGTGAAAGAGACGGTTCCGGGAGAAACCAATGTGAGGAGTGACATGCAGGGGGCTGCAGGTCTCTTAGTAGAGGCTGTATGCTCCGAGCAACATATAGGACCAACTGGGTCTGATCAGCCTAAAAGGAAAGGAAAAGGGAGTGTGCTGAGCCTTGAAGGGAGAAAGGGAAGACTGAATGTGATGCATTGTTACTGGGAGGAAATGGGAGGAAAATCCTCAAAACCCACCCCCTTGGAATGCATGCTAAAGAACTTTAAAAAAGGCGTTGCGGGAGATTAAGGAGTCAAGTTAACCCCTCAGATGCTGAAAACTCTCTGTGAATTAGAATAGCCCTCTTTTAGTGTGGCTGCCTGGCCCAAGGCACTATAGATAAAGAAATTGGCCATGTGTTTTAAGGTGGTGACTAGGGTGGGAGGACAGCCAGGACATTCAGACAAAGACTTTATATTTACTCATGGCTAAATAGATGCAGCCCTGCCTAGCAGTTTATTGCAGAATGCTCGCAGCTCAAGCCAAGAGAAATCAGCTGCGCTGGCAGCTACAGAGTTAAAAGGAAAGTCACAGGGGCTTGTAGCACAGCCGAGCCAAAAGTGAAGGTAAAAATCAGCTGCCCTGGCAGCTATAGAGACAAAAGAAAAGTCTCAGGAAAGGCAAAAAAATTGGTTTTGCAAGAATAACGGGACAATCTACCCCCCCTTTACCAAGCCTAACTGCCCCTAAGAAGTTAAGTTCAAACCAATACATGTTCCCAGTCTCACCCGAGAAGGAGAAATCAGAGCTCCAGGAAGTTAAAGTGAAAGATTTGAAAAGTCAGGCAGGCTATCTCAGGTCTGTCCGTGCCCAAGTTATGCTTATACCTCTTAAGAGGACAAGTGGACCCCCACTAGGACCCAGATGATGCAGTCCAGCTTCTGTGCCTGCAAAGATGCAGAGAAGCACTTCTGCAAAGGCTAAAAGATGGTAGAAGAGAAAGGCAATCAATATAGAAAAAATCTCAGAGGTGCTCCAGGGTACAGATAAAAGCACCAGCCAGTTTTATAAAAGACTTTGTGACGCATTTTGGTTGTACACTCCATTTAACCCCGAGGCTGCTGAAAATCAGCGCATGGTGAATATGGCGTTTGTAAGGCAAGCCCAGGGAGATATCAGGCAAAAATTGCGGAAGTTAGAAGCTCCGCAGGCGTCAATGCCACTCAGCTTATTAAAGTGGCTACCAAGGTGTACATTAACCGAGATCAGGAGGCAAAAAAGGAGGCTGATCATTAAGAAAGGCTAATTTGCTAGCAGCAGCCCTTAGAGGAAGAGAAGCTGACTTTGCAAGGAGGCTTGGACGCGGGCATGAACGTAGTCGTGGAAGAGGCTATTCTGGACAAGAATTTGAAGGCCTGCCGAGGCTAAAGAGAGATTAATGTGCACGGTGCAAAAGGAAAGGACACTGAAAAGATGAATGTCAAAAGAATAAGGAAAATGGTTAGGGCGATGGTATAAGAAAATCACCAGCCAAGGGCTACTGCACCCAGGAGGAACCCAAGACCTTCTGCACCTGCTGTAAAAGGCAGGATATAAAGTGTCAGGAAAAAAGACTCAAATCTGCTCTAAAAGTGTCCAGTATTTAAGCTTTTACATAAGCCAAGAGAAAAGATGGCTTAGTAGTGAACAAAAGCAGGCTGTTTATGCACTTCCTACTCCAACCACCAGGCATCAGATAAAAAAGTTCCTAGGGGCAGCAAGGTTCTGCCGCATTTAGATCCCAAATTTCTTGCTCATGGATAAGCCATTATACGAAGCCACAAAGGGGAGGAAAGAAGGAGCCCCTTCTCTGGAAGGCCAACCAGGAAAAGGCTTTTAAGGAAATAAAAAAAAAAGCCTTGACTCAGGCCCCAGCTTTAGGGTTACCAGATCTAACTAACTAAGCTTTTCTTCTTGTATGCCCACAAGTGAAAGGGACGCCATAAAGGTTCTAACTCAAGCCATAAGGTCATGGCATCACCCGGTGACATACTTATCCAGCAATTAGATTCTGTGGCACTTTGATGACCTCTTTGTTTTAAAGCACTAGCTGCCACTGCCCTACTGGCGCAGGAAGCTAATAAACTGACTTTAGAGACTGTGAATACCCTAAAGGAGCTCCTAAAGGAGCAAGGAGCTACCTTGCTCCTTCCTCATCAAGTCAGTGCCAGGAGGCCCCCTTCATTGCTGTATGGACGTGGTAGATGAAGTGTTCTCAAGCCGGAGAGATTTGACAGATCAGCCCCTCAGGGACCCGGACATTGAATATTTTACTAATGGAAGCAGTTTCATACTAAAGGGAGTCTGCCAAGCTAGATATGCAGTGGTAACTTTGAACTCAGTAGTAGAGGTGCAGTCTTTGCCTACAAGAACTTCTGCTTAGAAAGCAAAGCTAATAGCTCTCTGGCTAGCAAAAGACCAGAAGGCAAATATTTACGCAGATTCCAAATATGCTTCTGCCACTTTGCATGTTCATGAGTCTATTTACAAAGAAAAAAGAAGACTTTTAGCTGCTGGAAGTAAAGAAATAAAGTACAAGGAAGAAATTCTACAGCTCTTAAATGCTGTATAGGCCCCCAAAAAGGTAGCAGTAATGCATTGCAAAGGGCACCAAAAAGCAAGAACACTGAAGGCTAAAGAAAACAGAAAGGCAGACAAAGAGGCAAAGCAGGCTGCAGTGACAACTCCACCTTGTAAAGAAGCCTTAGCTATACCTTTCCTCCTGGAGATTCCCTTCCCAGAGATCCCAAGCTACACTCCAAATGAAAGGGCTTGGTTTGCCCAGGAAAATAGAAACTACATTGAAGGAGAATGGTAAAAAATCTCCAATGTGAGGCTAGCCATACCTGAAATGGTGGCCCCTAGATTTGTAAAACAGTTCCACCAAGGAACTCACATTGGAAAAAAAAAAAAAAAAAAAAAAAAAAACCAGCACTGAAGACATTATTAGGGCATCATTTTCTGTGTGCCATGGCTCATTGCTATTACTCAAGTCATTTATAAACAAACAGTGTTTAACTTGTGTTCAGAACAATCCACGACAAGGGCCTACGCAGCCCCTGGGAGTTCAGAAAACAGGAGCCATACCCTGTGAAAAACTGCTCATGGACTTCACCGAATTGCCCTGAGAGGGGGGCTATCAGTACATGTTGCTGTTCATTTGCACCTTTTCAGGATAGGTCAAGACCTTCCCCACCCAGACAGAGAAGGCACTAGAGGTGACCAACATGTTGTTAAGAAACATTATTCCCAGATTTAGACTGCCTCTAACTCTAGAATCAGACAATGGACCAACATTTGTGGCTGAAATAGTTCAGAACTTAACTCGATTATTAAAAACAAAGTGGAAATTATATACAGCCTATAGGCTGCAGAGCTCAGGTAAAGTGGAGTGCATGAACTGGATACTCAAACAGCTGCTGAAGAAATTTTGCCAAGAAACTCATCTAAGTTAAGATCAGGTCTTGCCCATGGTCCTCCTCCGAGTAAGGTGCACCCCTACCAAACAAACTAGGTATTTGCCCTGTGAGATTTTGTTCACCCAGCCACCCCCCATCATAAGTCAGATTAAAAGTGATTTCTGTAAACTAGGAAAACTAACTTTAAAAAGGCAAATGCAGTCTTTAGGTATGACCATGCAAAAAGTTCATGGCTAGGTATAGAAAAAATGCCTATAAGTCTGACAGACCCCCAATACACCCTTTTAAAACTAGGAACCTTAGTTAAGTTAAAAAATAAAATCCAACCACTCTAGGACTCATATAGGATAGGCCCCATTCTATAATCTTGTCTACTCCCACTTATGTTAAAGTTTCAGGAATCATGCCTTGGATTCACCACAGTCGGCTAAAACCAGCAGCCCAGGATCAGTGGATCAGTCAATAAGACCCAGACCGTCCAACCCGGCCAATCCTGCGACAAGACCACGTAACTAGTAGAAATAACAGCAGCCCTGCTGTGGCCACTCCGGAGGCTGGCCAGTCTATGCACGGCAGAAGCTTGAGGAAAACTGTAAGCCCTGCTCTAGTCACACAACTGGAAACTGACTAGTCTACGCATGGCCAAAGCTTGAGGAGTCATCATCAAATGAGTAGATGTGAATACAAATTTTACGTTTAATTACTATCTTAGTATTACTAGTTGTTTTATTACTATGCTATCATTATTGCCAATCTGTCTGTCCAAGGGAGAACTCTTTCTGTCCATGTTTAGTATAAGAATATTACTTTTTGCCTTGGCTTCATTTGCACCTAAGTCTATACAAAAAGAAAAGCACATAGATAGTTGCCATCAGTGCGTGCACACTACATAAATAAGAAACACAGTAGTTAAGACTTTATTGTACCATACATACTATGAATACACAGAAACCCCTCTGGAGACTTGTATGTACAACCAAACCACCTATTCATTCTGTGACCCGAGGAATAGCCAGTCTTATGTATGCTAGAACCCTAAGCTTTTATCTAGGACCTGGTTTAAGATTTGAACTGGGTCAAGGAAAGGAAGTCTCTTAAACCAGACCAAAGTGTCTCTCCCACGAAGAAGTCAGATCTTTATATTTTAATGTTTGCCGGATAACATCCTTAGGCTCACTCTTTCCCATAATCCACAGTTCCACAGAGTACTATAGTATCTGTTTGCACAGTTGGCTAAAAACATAGCTAGACAAACTACCACTCAGCTAATGGCTTTGTGTAAATATCAACCTTTGCTCAAAGAAGAAAACTTGTCTCTTCATGGAAAATTAAGTAATATTGAGGCCTTCTAGTAAACTCTTTTATAAAAGGCCTCAAAGCGGGGAATGAAGCGGGAAATTAAAAAAAATAATAAAATTAAAAGAAAGAGAAATAAGTTTTCCTGTTTTAGGCTAACTTGTCCCAGATGCAGCAACAGGCACAGCCCAGACTCAGGAAAAGTCTTGATAATATTATCTAATGTGCTCTGGAGACTCTCCCAGCACTCCCTCAACACAGGGAGAAGAAAAACAAATTTTCCTTTGTTTTATTGAATGAGTATATAGATTCTTGTTCTCTTAACTAGTGACTTCAAGTATTCTGTTTTATTTAAGAAGTACAACAAAGGTCATGAAAAACCTGAGTAGGCCTGAACTAGAGGTGCCTGGGCACCACAGTGAAGGTTATAGCATAAGCCCGTGCACAGGCAAACCTAGATAAAGAACATCTGGGTTGCTTGGCAACGGTCGTATGCAATCCTGTCCTTGTCCTGCCTCTGGATCCCTGCTTTCATGCCACTGTAAGCTTGCTTCAAGCTAGTCCACCCCGTTTTGTGAAGTTTGTATAAAGTCAGGTGCTGTCTTTGTTCCGGGCCCAGTCTTTTGGACATGAGTCAGCTGGGCCTGAGTGCACTCAATAAAGATTCTCCTGTTTCAACCCCAGGTCTTTCTCATCCTCCTGAATCCTGCAACAGTGTTAGCTTCATAAGTATTTATTTTACAAAATAGTAAGCTAATGTTTGAACACAATTTCCAAGATAAACCACATTTTCTCATAAATAATGTAGTCTTTTTATCAAGCACCTCAAGGTATAAAAAATAATTTTAGTTTGAACAGATCTCTTGGAATGTGTTTAACCTTGTATTTCAACAGACTTAAGATTTCCAGGGTTTCACAAGGGCCAGATTTTTTTTGAATTACTCAGAAGAGAAAGAAAATGTCTTCTGAAAGAGGTGAACTCAATCATTACGAATAGAAAAATATCCACCGTATTTATCTCTTATAGAAACAGAGAAGGATAACATTTCCCTCCTTCAAATTATATATATATGTTATATAATATTATATATATAATTTAATATAATAATATATTAATTACATATTTCTATATAATTATAATAATATAATATATTATATATATTATACATAGCTCAAACTTCATTGTTTGTGGTCAAATAATAAAATCTGGAAGCCAGCATGAAACCCTATAATTCACATGTTAAAATGTTGAAACTATGACCAAAATATGAAACTCCTAGAGCTATCAGAAAGAGACAAGACAAAAAGTTTTATTGTATGTGTATAAACTAAAAGTGATAATCTCAAAAATCTTTCAAAATTATAATTATTACCTTCCAATATAAAAACTAGTTCTAAATTTTAGAAAATCTATACACAAATTACTGATTTGCTCAGACCAACAAAAAGTCAGCAGTAACCAGAACCCAGAGGAGCTGATACTCACAGTTCTTACATGTACGACTTTTTAGAAATCATCTATAAAATACTTTATTTTACAACCTGCTTCTCCTGTAAAACTAAAGGTCCATTTAATTATATAAAAGTTGTATACAGTGTTAAAACCAGAGCTGTATTTAAAATACTGCATCACAATGTTTCTAAATAGTCAGTCTTGTTCCATTGATTCATCTGTGACTTCAGTGGCTTTGCCATAATTTTCCATGGATGGTTCTGAGAGAATCTGTAAATCATTTCTAGATTACTTATAATACCTAATACAATGTAAATGCTATGTAATGTTGTGATACTGTATTGTTAGGGAATAATGACAAGAAAAAAAAGTCTGTGCCTGTTCAGTACAGACACAACTAACCATTTTGTTCCCAAATATTTTTTATCTACTGCTAGTTGAATCCAGAGATGTAGAACTCATGGATATGGAGGGCTGACTGCATGTAGTGAATGTCTTGTAGACAGCATAAGATTTTTTTGAAAAAATGTAGTCTGGGCTGGGTGTGGTGGCTCACGCCTATAATCCTAGCACTTTGAGAAGCCAAGATGGGCAGGTCACCTGAGGTCAGGAGTTCAAGACCAGCCTGGCCAACATGGTCAAACCCCGTCTCTACTAAAAATACAAAAATTAGCTGGGTGTGGTGGCACGTGCCTGTAG
The DNA here is from genome assembly GCF_000001405.40 of Homo sapiens. Lineage (NCBI taxonomy): Eukaryota > Metazoa > Chordata > Mammalia > Primates > Hominidae > Homo > Homo sapiens. The sequence continues at coordinate 112,309,970 of NC_000003.12, forward strand.
TCCCAGCTACTCAGGAGGCTGAGGCAGGAGAATCGCTTGAATCCAGGAGTTGGAGGTTGCAGGGAGCTGAGATTGCGCCACTGCACTCCAGCCTGGGCGACAGAGTGAGACTGTGTCTCAAAAAAAAAAACAAAAAAAAACAGAAAGAAAATAAATAAAGAATGTAGTCTGGCAATTACTTTTAATTGGTATACTTAGACCATTCATTAGAAGGTGATCATTGATATAGTTGGATTAATATCTGCTATGTTTATAACTGTTTTGTTGTTTACCCTTGCAATTTGCTTCTTTTTCATACTTTCCCTAGCTTCTCTAGTTTTAATTAAGTATTTTATATGATTCAATTTTCTCTCCTCTCTTTGCACACCCATTAGACTTCTTTTTAAAAACATTTTAGTGGCTTTCCTAGAGCTTGCAAGATACATTTACAACTAATTGTAATCTACTTTAAAATAACACTATACAATTTCATGAGCATTGTGGGTACTTTATAACAGAGTATTCCCAGTTTCTCCCTCCTATCTTTTATAATATTTTTGCCATTTATTTTATTTATCCATATGCTATAATTACACAGTGTTTTGTCACTGTTATTACTTTGAACAATTAGATCAAGTATGTAAAAAATAAAATATCTTGTTTTACCTTTATTTATTCTTTTCTGATGCTTTTACTTTTTTATGTAGATTGAAGTTTTCTATCTATATTATTTTTGCTCTATCAAAACAGCTTCTTTTATACACACACACACACATTTTGGCACAGCAAGTCTGTAGGTCTGCTGTCAATGAATTATTTGTCTGAGAAAGTCTTTATCCTTCACTTTTAAATGAGAATTTTAGGTTGGTGGATTTTTTTTTCTTTAAACACTTTAAATATTTTACCCCACTCTCCCCATGCTTGAATTGGTTTGATGAGAAATTCATTGCAACTCTTATTCTTTTTTCCTCTATAGGTAAGATTTATTTCCTCTCTCTTATTTCAAGATTTTCTCTGTCTGTTTTTCTGAAGTTTGAACATAATGTAGATTTTTTTTTTTGGTGTTTATTCTGCTTGATGTTATCTCAGATTTCAGAGTCTGTGATTTCATGTTTGCCATTAATTTTGGAAAGTTCTCAGCCATTATTCAAATATTTCTTCTCCTTAATTCTCTCTCCTCCTTCTGGTATTCCAATCGTGCATAAAAATTATTTGAAAATAATTTTCTCACCATTTTTGGATATTTTATTTTTCCCCCTTTATATTTTACTTCGGGAAATTTCTATTGAAATATCTAGAAGATATCTAGAAATATCTAGAAGCCACTAATTCTTCCCTTGGCCATGTGCAATTTATTGATGAGCCCATCAAAGACTTTCTTCAATTTGTTACTCTGTTGTGATTATCATTATTACTATCTCTTGCATTTTCTTTTTATTGCTTCTTAAAGTTTCCATCTCTCTGCTTATATTATCCTTGTCCATTGTCTATTTTTTCTACCCAAGTCCTTAATATATTAATCATAGTTATTTTAAATTTCCTGCTGGATAATTCTAAAGTTTGTGTTTTATCTGAATATAGTTTAATGTTTGCTTTGTCTCTTCAGACTGCCTTTGTTCTTGTCTTTTTTTTTTTTTTTTTTTTTTTTTTTGAGACGGAGTCTCACTCTGTTGCCCAGGCTGGAGTGCAATGGTGCAATCTTGGCTCTCTGCAACCTCTGCCTCCCAGGTTCAAGTAATTCTCTTGCCGCAGCCTCCTGAGTAGCTGGGATTACAGGTGTGCACCACCACACCTGGCTAATTTTTTTTGTATTTTTAGTAGAGATGGAGTTTCACCATGTTAGACAGACTGGTCCTGAACTCCTGACCTCGTGATCTGCCTGCCTCGGCCTCCCAAAGTGCTGGGATTACAGATGTGAATCACTGCTCCTGAACCATTCTTGTCTTTTAACATGCCTTGCAATTTTTTGTCAAAGGCCAGACATGATACATGAGGTAATAGAAATTGAGGTAAATAGGCTTTTAGTGTGGGTTTTATGCAAATGTGGCTAAAAGTTGGGTTGCATTATTGTTTACTATAGCAGCAGGTGTCAAGGGCTTCACATATCTATAGTTTCCTTGTTTTTTTCTTCCCCATTTTCTTTGAATATCTCTAAGAACTGCTTATTAATTAGAGTCTGAGACTTGCAAGTATTTCAGCTATAATCCAATGCTATTATACTAGAGCTCTATTGATGGTGGTAAGGAATTGTGGAGAGAAAGCATTCTAAAATCTTATGATTAATTCTCACTCTTTTAGTGGGCCTGTGTACCTTGGCTATAGGCTATTGAGGTGGGAAATTAAAGAAAAATAAAATTAAAAAGAAAGAGAAAAAAGTTTTTCTGTATTAGGCTGATTTGTCCCAGGGGCAGCAACAGGCACAGCCCAGACCCAGGAAGAGTCTTGATAATATTATCTAATGTGCTCTGGAGACTCTCCCAGCACTCTCTCAACATAAGGAGAAGAAAAACAAATTTTCCTTTGTTTTATGGAATGAGTTCACAGATTCCTGTTCTCTGTAACTAGTGACTTCAAGTAATCTGTTTTATCTAAGCAGTAGAGTGAAGGTCATGAGCGTCTGAGCAGATCTCAGTTACAGTCACCTGGGCGCCATAGTGAAGGTTATAGGATACGCCTGTGCCTAGGCAAACCCAGATAATGGACATCTGGGTTGCATAGCAATGGTTATGTGTAATCCTGAGTTATGAACCTGTTACAATTTGATTAACCATCTTTGTCCTGCCTCTGTATCCCTGCTTTCATGCCACTGTAAGCTTACTTCAAGCTAGCCCACCTTCTTTTGTGAAGTGTGTATAAAAGTCAAGTGCTGTCTTCGTTCTGGGCCCAGTCTTTTGGACGTTGAGTCAGCTGGGCCTGAGTGCACTCAATAAAAGATTCTCCTGTTTCAACTCTAGGTCTCTCTCTCATTCTCCTGAATCCCACAACACTTATGACCTTCATACATTTTCTTACTTATTTTTCTCTCGCTTACCACTTTAGATGAGACAGGAAAGCAAGAAATGACTGGAGTTAGGTCATTTTCCTTCCATCTACATAAGATAAGGTTCTGGTTATATATATCTTTTTTTTTCTTTTTTTCCTAGAAAGTAGGTTTTTTTTTTTTTAATGAAAAATGCACTGGGCTTATTTAAAAATGGTTACATTTCCTCTTCTGTTTTTAAACATATGAAGTGATTTTTCTTGGCTCTTTACTATGAAAAGCTGATAAGGTTCCTGGAGGTGAAACCTATGGAATTGTGGGGTCTCTCTAAGACTGCAGCTCTGAAGAGTTTATCACTCTCAAGCTGATTCACATGAAGCCTCTGGCAGTCCATCAAAATTATCATTGATATGTCCCTACCATTTTATAACACCAGTGACTTTCATTCCGAGTAAGCTGATCTCAGTGCCTTTCTATTCACGTCTCTGCTGATTTCAGGGTTGTAGTTTTCCCTGTGCCTTTAATTCTCTGAAGAGTCTAATAAAGACCATTGATTTTCAGTTTGTTCAGCTTTTTTCTTGTGTTAGGATGAGATGATGAATTCCAAGCTCTTTGTATGTTAAAACTGAAACTGGACATCTTATCTATTTTGGAATATTGACCTTGAATCCAGGTTCTTGCTGAATTGACTTGTTAATTGTAATAATTTCTCTGTAAATTTTTCTAATTCTTTAAGTACAAAATCATGTCACCTGGAAATAAAGACTGATTTAATGCATTCCCATCTTTATTCATTTTATTTCTTTCTCATGGCTTATTGTCCAAGCTAGGATCTCCAGTCAACCATTGGAGAGAAGGACTGAGAGTGGTGGGAATTTTTGTCTTGTTACTGAGCTCAAAGGAAAAGCATTAACAGTTTCACCATTAAGTGTAATGTTAGCTGAAGGTTTGTTGTAGTTATCTTTCATTATATAAAGGAAATTCTCTTATATTCCTAGCTAGCTATTATTCATTCATAAATAGGTATAGAAACATATTAAATGCTTTTTTCTGAATCTATTAATCACATTATTTTTCTCACTTTTTCTGTTAATATGGCTGTGTTAGTCCATTCTCACACTGCTATAAAGAAATACCAGAGCCTAGGTAATTTATAAAGGAAAGAGGTTTAATTGACTCACGGTTCCACATGGCTGGGGAGGCTTCAGGAAACTTATGATCATGGTGAGAGGCAAAGAGGAAAGGAGGACCTTCTTCAGATGGTGGCAGGAGAGAGAAGTGACTGAGCAAGAGAGAAGCTATCAAACACTTATACAACCATCAGATCTTGTGAGAACTCGCTCACTATCATGAGAACAGCATGGGAGGAACTGCCCTAATGATCCAATCACTTCCCACCAGTTCTCTCCCTCAGCACCTGGGGATTACAATTCAAGATGAGATTTGGGTGGGGACACAAAGCCTAACCATGTCAATGGTGATTTAAATTGATTGATTTGTGAATATTAAATCATCCTTGCATTACTGGAGAGAAGGAAACCTTAGTGATAATTACTGTGTATCCTTTTATAACGTATTGGTTAATTTGATTATCCAATATTTATTTTAGGATCAAAGCCCAGGAAAGATACTGGTCTGCAATTCTTTTTTCTTGAAATATTTTTATTAAGCTTTATTATTAAGCTTATACTGTGTAAGTAAAAAAAGTAATTAAGGCAGATCTTGATTGATTTTGAGATTCATTTTGCCACGGTTGAGGATGTGCCCGGGAAAAACAAACACAAGTCACAGTAGGATCTGTGCCCTGTGCTTTTTTTCAGAGAGGATTTTGGGAATGTCAATGTTTAAAGAGGAAAGAGGAAGCAGAAGGGGAAGAAAAAAACAGGAAGGAGGGTAGTAATTAGCACTCAGTGAGTCTGTTTTACATGTGAAGAGGAGGGAGTGGGACAAAGTCAATTATGCATTCATTTCATGCTCAGTAAATCTACATTCTACATAACATAAGCATGTGAAATTACAGTAATCTATTTGGGAAAAAAAAGGAAGGTAGTCTCTTGTTTCACTTAGTTCCCAAACTCAACTTTCCCTTTAGCATAGTGAGTTCAGGATCCTGAGATTTTATTTTCTTCCACATTTTCCCCAATTGTTCAAAATCTTTTGGAGAAAGCATTGTAGAAGAATATTAGTCTCTGGTTATGGGTTTTTTGTGATCCCTTGTTGCTAGATAGCTTATTCCTATGAGGTTAGGTTCCACGTTACTAGGAAGGCTCATTTCTAGGAGGTTGTCAAGTTTTCTGTCCCAAGGAGCGAAAAAGGGGAAGGAAGAAAGAATGAAAGGGAAAAAAGAGAAAAAGGGGGCTACCAAGACCAGATTACAGAAACAAAGGGAAAGCAATCTTGGAAAACAGATTCAGGCTATATTACAAGAAGTCTGTACATCAGTAGTCAGGCATGAAATTGCTGTTATTTCTTCCAAAGTTCAAGTTGTCTAGCTTCAGTTTGCAGGGTTTTAAGAAAAGCATGGTTTTAATTTCTAGTGATTCCAAGTTAGAAAAATGGGAGAAAAATAATTTTAAAACATTAGTTTGGAGACTTGTAGTCAGGACAGAATTCAAGATGTAGTCCAGATAAATTATAGATAAATAATAAAAACTGAAAAACAATAGACAAGGCTAGAATCTAACAACAGTTGTACTACAGTTTATTTTGAAATGTAATTTTTTATATTTTCCTATTTTTACCGAAGATAAATCATAGTCAAAACATTTATTTGCAAAATAAGTTGTAATATAAGACTGTTATTATAGTGGTTGTATGGCCTGATTATTTGCATAAAGTACAGCAAGAATAATTATTGGTTGATAGGCTCATTTTGAATTGGCTTTACTGGAGCTTTCTTATAAAGAATGACAGATTTTACTTTTAAGAGGCCTCTAGAGCCTAGAAGAGGATTTATCTGTGCCTGCATATACCTCCATGAATTGGGTGAAGTCTATTCTTCTCAAAGTCCCAAAATAACTTGAGGTTCCTGGGCCTGTCAGAACATGACATTCTTTTCTTACCACAAGTCAAGAGATGTAAAAAAAATTGCATAGACAAGGTATGAGACTAGTCCTTCCAAGAGTCTTTTATCACCTTATAAAGTCAATTTGAATTCCTCGAAGTCATCTGTTTATATCTGAAAATATGCCAGTTCAGTCAAAGCCTTGGAAACATAACCAATGTCTCCAATTGTGTCCTGTTACAAAAGAAAACATGTTTTTATTGAAATCATGCAAATAACTATATTGCCATAAATTAAGAATACTCTCAAATGGTTTCCACATTCTGGAGAAATCAGGTAGAGTGAAAGAAATATGATTCAAATTTTGATCACAAGAGTATAATTTACTCAGTTGTTAAAAAGCTATAAATAGCTCAGCTACTCAGGAGGCTGAGGCCGGAGAATTGCTTGAACCTGGGAGGTGGAGGTTGCAGTGAACTGAGATCACACCATTGCACTCTATCCTGGGCAACAAGAGCAAAACTCCATCTCAAAAAAATAAAAAATAAAATAAAATAAAAGCTATAAATAGCTCAAAATAAAAAAATCTTGATTCTGACCAAAAAACTCAGAATCTCCAATGTGTCAAACACAAAAAGTCATAAAAATCATTTTAGTCCCCTATTCATTCAGTCCAATGCAATTACTCATTCTGTTTGATACTGGGGTTAGTAATCCTCCTGAACACATTAGTTCTTCAATGAAAGTCCTGAAATTATTTTTTCTCTAGTTTCATGTCACAATCAGAAGGATTATCAGAAACCTGCATTTAAGAGCTTGTCAGAGTTCTTCCTGTGAACTCCTTAAAGAAGGAAGTTTTGGGCTATTGCTGGTTATAAACCACTTTTTGAGAGGAATCAAAGTAAAATGTTAATTGTCTGTGGATGACAAAAGCCCAAACAGCCATGGTCAAAGATACAAATGACAAGAAAATTTGGTTATTTCCGTAACATGCAGCAATTTAATGTAATAACCATATGTATTGTAGATAACATATACAAAGACATATAAAAATTCTAGAAACCTCATATAATTTTGAAATACATATTACTAACACATTTATATAAATAAGACTCAAAGAAAGTTAAGCACCATTACATATTTGATAATGCTTCCTGTATGATTTTAACATCTTGAATTAACTGAATATGTCTCTTTTGGACTTCAGAGGACCTAGCACCAAAAAAAGTTAATGAGATTAAAAAAACTGAGTTTGGGACTTGAAATTTTGATTTTGAAAAATTTTTCGAGTATTAAAGGTTTAAAACACTTGATATCACAAAATACTATCCCAGTTAATCCCAAATAACTTGTTAACTTAGATAAAATGAGAATTTAAAGATTTTGAAAGCACAAAGCACAAAAACCTTTACTCTTTGATAGAGACTCAGTTTCGCAAACAACAAGACAGCATGAGCTCAATCGAATCTGTCTCTCCTCTTTCTTCTCTCTTTTTGCAGTTTACTCAAAAGGTAAAAAAAAAAGAACTTTTGCTATCTCTTACTATTAAATGAAAATCTTGTTCAAAGGAGAAAGCCATATTTTACCTTTGCAAAGTGTAAATGTTATTATTGCAAAAGATAATTTTAAATAAAATCTTATAAACAAATCCATCCAAACTTACCTCATGAGGTAATATTTTTATAAGCCTTTTATAATTCTTTTGTATTTTCTTTTTTTCAACTTTCTTTATCCATTGTTTTATCTTTTTTTTTTTTTTTTTCGAGACTGGGTCTCACTCTTTCACCCAGGCCGGAGTGCAGTGGTGTGATCTCAGCTCACGGCAAGCTCCGCCTCCCGGGTTCAAGTCATTATCCTGCCTCAGCCTCCCGAGTAGCGGGGACTACAGGCGCCCGCCACTGCACCCAGCTAATTTTTTGTATTTTTAGTAGAGACGGGGTTTCACTGTGTTAGCCAGGATGGTCTCGATCTCCCGACCTCATGATCCGCCTGCCTCGGCCTCCCAAAGTGCTGGGATTATAGGCGTGAGCCACCGCGCCAGGCCTTATCTATTATTTTTAAACACTCCATTTAATATAGTTTTTACAAACCTCTAAAATAGACAAAATTACTTTTTTCTTTTTTAAAAAAGTACATTTCCATGTCTTTTTATAACTCTTTTAATAAAAACACGTTCTCTTTTTCTTATATACTTTGTGTATAGAATTGTTTCTCTTATATCTAATAGTTTTAATTACAGCCATTAATTACAATGTTAACTCTTAGTAACACTTATTTTTATTTTTGATGAAAAACCTAGTAAGTAACCAATTTTAGTTATGTACTAGATGCAGAGTCCAAGACAATGAACAATGTCTGAGGCTGGGCCTTGAAATGACCCTACAGGCTTAAATCTAAAGACACGTTCATAGGCAAGTTAAGCAAGTATCAAAAGTATTAGACAAGCAAAGTTTTATATCTAGCAGAGACAGTATCTGACCTTCCTTATTCAGACCAAATGTCTAAATTAAATTTTGAAGACACATGTTTTATTATACCAATAATTTAAAAACTGTCTTTATTTACTAAAGATTATTAAAGTCACGTAAACCAAAATGCATATGAGTTAAAGTTTTTATTTTCCTGATAAAATATTTGATTTAAGCACTTACTTTCTCTAAGCCAGTTATAGAACTCTTTTATCTATTTTGGTAGTGAAACATCATGTACATATAGCATAAATACACAGACATACAGATACACAGATTTTAAAAAGTTGACTATTTGAATCACATAGCCAGCTGTGAAAGAAAAATAAAAATAAAAATTGCTGGTATGTGTTTTTCCCCCTTTGAAGAATATTACAATATTGATAATTTTTCTCCCTTCAAGTATTTGGAAGTATTCACCAGTGAAGATACAAGAGCCTTGGTATTTCATCTGGATGATTTTTAATAATGGATTCAATATCATTAATAGATATCTCACTTCTCTGTTTTTTAATTTTTTCTTCTGTCTATTTTGATAAGTTACATTTTATGCCAATTTTCAAAGTAATTTTCATGTAATTGGTAAAAATATTGTTTTTCTTAATGTCTGTAGGATTTGTGGTAGGGTTTCCCTATTTATCACAATATTGGTAAATTGTATTTTCTTTCTTTTTTCTTTTGGTTAAGCTCACCTGGGGTGTATAAATTTTACTAGTAAATACCCACTGGAATGTTGTTATTTTATCTTTTATTTTATTGAGTTTTGCTCTTGTCTTTTTTATGTTCTTTCTTCTACTTTCTGTAGTTTGGATTTCCTGCTGATTTACTAGTATCTTGACATGGAAGCTCTGATCATCAATTTTCTGCCTTTTTCTTCTAATGTGTGGATCCAAGGCAACACATTTTCCTTTGTTCACTTCTTCAGCTATATATCACAAGTTTTGATATGTCATATCTTCATTGTAATTCTGTTCAAAATATTTTCTAATTGGTTTATCACTCTTTTTAAAGCATGAACCTCTAGAGCTTTCAATTGTGAGACTAATGCATATTTGTCTCCTTAGCCCTAACAGACTACGAGAATTTTTTCTGAGCTGTTGAGAGATTGAACTTAGCTCTTTGGTTTTTTTTCTCTGCACGAAATCAGAATTCGGTAAATGTTTTGAGGGGGAAGGTGACTCTATGTGTGAGTTTCTTCAAGTCTTCAGTTTTGTTACTGTAGCCCAAGAAATCACCAAATGCTCTTTTGATTTCTTTGTTGCTCAGCAGCAGAGTTCTACTTAAGGTCAAAGCTGGATTCTTACATGTATCAACAAGTATCCTCAGAAAAAAGGTGTTGGCAGCTTTTCACTGCATGAATTCAACACTATTTTTTAGAGCTTTTAATCTCTAGTGCTCCTTCCTAGAGATTTTTATCTTCTAAGAATCTTAGGTCTGGAAGAGTTCCACTCTGACTTCCTGAGGTTTTGATTTACCTTTTAACTTCCCACCATGTGCAGATTTGCAGTTCAGCAAGATGTTAAGGGAGAAATTGGCATGTGTCTGAAGCTCTACAAAGTCTTCCATTTGTCACTCCACTCACTCTAGGGCTGCAAAATTCCAGGAAACTCCAAAGGTTTATCTGTTTCCCGATTCTCAACTTCCAACCCACAGAGTACTGACAAAAGTAACCCCAGGTTGTTACCGCTGACTCTCAGCTCACCTCTGTAAGACTCCCTCCTCTCTGTATTTTACTCCCTCTAATTCTTCTTGGCTTTTCAGTTGCCCAATGCCTTGAAGTAAATTCTTGTGTAATTAATTCAGTTTATACAGTTATTCTCAATAGAAATATTAACCTCCTGCAAACTACTCCATCTTATCTAGAAAGAAAGCTTTGAAAATATAATTCTAATTTTTATTTAATTATTTTTGCATATTTTGAGACCTCAAAAACACACACATGGAGGCATACACATACATATATACATGTCACTTAATAGATTTTCCAAAGCCCTTCTTTCTTATCGCAGGAAAATTAAAAATTTCACTTTAACTTCCTATTAGAGAATAACCTAATCAGATGCCCTTTTCTGCTACCATGTGGTGTCAGGGAAAATTATTGGTAATTTTTTCTCAACCAGCAAAGAAATTGTGGCCTTCTGCCAATCTTAACAAACTGTAGCAGAGGACTGAGGAAATCAATACCTTTGAAGATCTTAGGAGAATTATTTGCTCTTATCATTAAATTATTGTGCCCACAATCACCACACCCTTAGTTTAGATCAGTTAGTAGCATTCTTACTATGAGTGAAATTCATGAAGGACTTTCATACTGGAGAGCTGAGAAATGAGAGAAAAAGAAAAAGAGCCAGGAAAGAAAGAAAGAAGAAGGATGAGGACTCTAAGAGAACAGGGGATTCCCAGTCTTCAAATTAACACCAAGTTACAGGAATAATTATAGTGTCATAGTGTCTCCTCATTATGTTGCCATACATTTAAAGTGTTGGGGGTTTATGTAAGGTTGAATGAGAGTTACGACATCAACTGTTCTTCTCAAATTGGAGGGCCTGTCAGTGGGTACAGGAAATGGTACTGTGAAGTTTTGTAAAATGTGGGGAGAAATATCTGAGAGGGATATGTTTCCTATACTTTGGTTCCATATAAAAATTTGGGGAAGACCAGTCTTAGGGATCATATAAATCTAGCATGACATACTTTTTGTTTCTCCCTTTTTTTTTTTTTTTTTTTTTTTTGCCTCAGCTGTATCTGAATTAAGAACTGAACTCTAGCTGAATCTGGACTTTGAAGATTTTCTTAGCCTTAATTATTCAGCTATAAGAAAACCTACTCCTCGACTATCTGTTTTCCCCTCACAAGTATTAATTAACTCACCAGAGGAATATTTTGCTCAGAATCCAAATGGCACAATAACTGTCACTGAAATATGCACCATCTCTATGGAGACTGTGAGGTCTCTGGTGCTCCAATGCCTGATTTTGTACTTGAATCATCTTCTAATGAATAATGAGAAGATTGTCCCTCTTTTAGTAATACAAGAATGTAAGTGGAAGTGATACATCAATAACGAAAAATATTTATTTTTCTTCAAAATCCATTACCAGAAGTGTTTGTATAAGTCACGTATTTTTTTAAATGTAAATCAATGTATTATATATGCATGGTTAAATGAATCAAATAATGAAGACATCTCTACCCTAGTCCTGCTTCCTGAGGCAACTGTTCTTATATGGCAAATGTTAAATTGATCTACGGTCTCCACTGGATTTTTGCCACAATTACTGAAGATTGAGCTCTTTTTACACCTCCCTCAACTTTTTCTCCACCATTTTCCTCCCAATATAGTTTTTTTTTTTTCCCTGCTTACCTCTACAACTTTGAACAGCCTTGCCAAATCTGTTTTTTGTTTGTTTGTTTGTTTCATCCACCATACAATTTAGGGAGAAGGAAAGCAAAAAGTTAGGTAGACGGCTAAGGCTAGTCCTTGGAGAAACAGCTGAAAAATCACAGCTACAGGCACAAGTAGAGCAGCCTGGGGAAAACTCAGGCTGCAGCTGCACAGATAAGGAGGCAAGGTCCAGCATGGAAGCCTTTTGTTCTTTTTGTGATTGGTGGGATCTCAGGAAAAAGTTACCTCCCCTTTTCAGACATGTACACGGTGGGCTCCACGGGCGCTTTCACAGGGAGGGGAGGGGGACTTACCTAAAACAAATCCGCAGTTACACAAACAAGAGAAGCTGTGCTTTGAGCTTACCTGGAGACATATCTGTAGCTGCATAGATAAGGGAAATTACACAGACAGCTGTACAGATAAGAGAATTTGCTCAAGCAGCTACAGAGTTAAGAGGAGTTTCTTATAAAAGCTTCTGAATTCAACTGTAAAACAGCACCCCACTGGGGCTCCCCTCTCTGCTGCAGAGAGCTTTCTTCTTTCACTTATTAAATTTTTGCTTCAACCTCACCCTTTGTGTATCCATGCTCCTTAATTCTCTTGGTCGCAAGACAACAAGCTTGGATAACACCTCAAACAACAAGACCATTGACCATTGACCCAGTTTCAGAATGTCTCTCTTAGCTGCCCATTCCTGTTTGCTCTCCTTCCTTCCAAGCTCTGTCACCTGTATTTATCTTCTGTTTTGTAACAATAATTTAATTATAACAATAGTTAAACAGGGTATAATTTCCTCACAGGATATTTCTAACAGTAGAAGCCAATAAGCAGTATTTAAATAATTGTTTTTATATTATAGCAAATAATCTTTTGAAATTAAAGTATTTATTCTCCATATAGTCACTGTAAATACTGATATTTTGGGGTTTTAATCTACCACGTTACTATTCATTTTCTATTATCTCTCACCTGTTTAATGTTCTTTTCTCTCTTTCCTTGATTTTGAGTTATTTTTAAAAATTTTATTTCCCCATTTTTTAATTTATTAACTAATTTTTAAGTAAGATTTCTTTACTCTTCCTTTAGTGGTTGACTTGGGCATTATGAGCTATATGCTTGTTAAAATTATTTATTTATTTATTTATTTTAATTAACAAATATAATTGTACCTTTTTATGGGGTATACACAGTGAAGTTTTTTGATACATAAAAGGTATAGCGATCTGATCAGGATAATTAGCATATCCATCTTCTCAAACATTTATCATTTCTTCGTGATGGAAATATTCAATATCCCCTCTTTTAGCTATTTGAAACTATGTAATATATTGATGTTAAACATAGTCATCTTACAGTGCTATAGAACACTAGAACTTATTCCTCCTACCTAGCTAAAATGTCATAACCTTTAAGGAATCTCTCTCTATTCTCCCTTCCTACAACCCTTCCTGTCCTCTAGAATCCTCCTTTCTTTACTTCTGTGAGATAAACTTTTAAAGCTTTTGCGTATGAGTGAGAACATGTGGTATTTAACTTTCTGTTCCTGGCTATTTCCCTTAGCATAATGTCCTCTAGGCTCATCCATGTTGCCATAAATGACAAGATTTCATTCTTTATTATGTCTGGATAGTATTTCCATTGTGCATATATACCACATTTTCTTCATTCATCTGTTGTTGGACACTGTGGTTGATTCCTTATCTTGGCTATTGTAAATAGTGCTGCAATTAATATGAAAGTCACCAGCCACAGTGTCTCACACCTGTAATCCTAGCACTTCGGGAGGCTGAAGTGGACTGATCGCTTGAGACCAGGAGTTCAAGACCAGCCCGGGCAACAGAGCAAGACCCTGCCTCAATAACAAATAAAAAAGTTAGCCAGACATGGTGGTGAGCGCCTACAGTCCCAGATACTCAGGAAACTGAGGTGGGAGGATTGTTTGAGCCTGGGAGGTTGAGGCTGCAGTCAGCCATGATCATGCCACTGCACTCCAGCCTGGACAACAAAGCGAGACCCTATCTGAAAACAAAACAAAACAAAACAAAACAAAACAGCCAATATGAGAGTGCAGAAGATATCCATTCAATATACAGATTTCCTTTCCTTTGGATAAATATGAGCATAAATCACAAGGATCCATTGACAAGCCAAACAACTTTCACCATTCTCTAGGGTTAAAGAATAATGCATTCTCCCCTTCCTACTTCAACAGAAGATCTAAGACAAGCTTTGGAGCAAATACTCTTAATTCCTTTATCCTGTAGCCTAGAGTTTTGGTGACTATCTTGCCATGAACTATACAACTTTAATATATTAATGAATTACTGGGAACCACAAAGAAGGCATCCCAAATACCTGTACGAAAAAAAAAGGTTTTCTGGCTTGTCAGAGAGCTTTAAATCAATAGTAGTCTCATCTCTGCTCTTTCTACATACCATATACTTTTAATTTGAGCCTTATAGTCCAAGACATTTTAGGTTCTATACCATGATCTTCTGCATTTTCAAATTAATGGGCTACATCTCAGGCTTCAGTAAGTTAAGGAAAACATGCACCTGTTCCACTGAAATGTTTCCTCTTTTGCCATGGCTGTATCCTTTTTAAAACAAATTCTTACAAATTTTGTAAGAAGACAAAATGAGTTACACAGTATCCTACTCCTCTCCCTTTTCCTAATTACTCTGGTGATTTCCTCTGAAAAATGTAGGCATGATGAGTCTAGGATCTTTGTGTCTGTCCCACTTTAGATGCCAAGCTTCATAAACAAAGCTGTAACAAATTTCAGTATTAACTATGGACTAACAGACTGATGAATATCAGTATATCACTTGGGCAAATGAAACAAGATTTATTTATCTGCAGGACATGTAAGGAAGTTCACAATCAGAATATACAGGAAAATGATCAGAAATATTCTTTTTTTTTTTTTTTTTTTTTTTTTTTTTTTTTTTTGAGATGGAGTTTCACTCTTGTTGCCCAGGCTGGAGTACAGTGGGGCAATCTCGGCTCAGTGCAACCTCTGCCTCCCAGGTTCAAGTGATTCTCCTGCCTCAGCCTCCCGAGTAGCTGGGATTAGAGGTGCATGCCACCACAATTGGCTAATTTTTTGTATTTTTAGTAGAGACAGATTTTCACCATGTTGGCCAGGCTGGTCTTGAACTCCTGACCTCAGGTGATCTACTCGCCTAGGCCTTCCCCAGCTCATGAGATTGGAATATGCCAGTTGAATAGCTTATGTATCTTCCATCAATCTACTAGCTAGATATCAGTTAATTTTACTTCTTACTGAAATACAAATGTCAGTAAAGAAGTTATCAACTAAGAAAATGATTCTTCCTTGCTTAGTTTTGTAACAAATATTAGCAATATAAATCCCAAATTCTGTTGAAATTCTTATATAAGGCTTTCTTTCTATGCATTGTTGTTGTTGACTTTAAGGATGTGTTCATATTTTACCACCAAACTCTTCACATTCATCCCCCTCCACCTATTTAGAATGACTATGTAGTATTTTCTTGAGAAAGACTATTGGTAAAATCTAGAAACTGAGACAAAACGATGTCTGAGCACTCAAAAATAAATGGCACACCGGATCACATGCACTCTCTAAATAACATTTCAGAGAAGAACTACTAAAAAAGATTTCTCTTTTCCTTCAATGGTAATGAAAATTCAAAGCAGCAAATTTAAAAAGAGTGAGAGGTTACTGTAAGCAGGAAAATTACAGCAGTCTGGCAATTAGGAAGAGGACACAAAAAAAGCCTACTGTGAGAAGACCTAAATATGCAAAATGCAAAATATTTCATGTTAACGTTAGCAAAAACTTACTTAAGGGCCAACATAAAGTGTATATGTTCATTTTTATATCATATCTAAGAAGAATCATTGACAATTATAGTGATGGCTTTTTGTTAATTTTAAATTGCGATAAAAAAATGTACATTTTATTCAGAGGGCTAAACGAACACATGTCAGTAACACAATTTAGTTACACTTTGGTCAAAGTAGCTATTTTTTAAAGTGTTGATGCCTGAAAAATTGTTTTTCTTGAGTGTAGGCACTCAAGTGAAAATTAAACTTGTTTCTCACTTTTTCCACTTAATCATGGTATATCTTTGAGTGATTTTCTTAACATCACTGAGACTGCGTTTTCTCATCTGTACCTAATAACTGCACTTACCCAGATAATGTGAATAAATGGTCCCTATAAAATGCTTATCGCATTACTCAGTACATTCATCTTGAATATTTATTATTATTATTATACATTTATTTTCTGAGTTTATTCCAGACTCTGGAAATTCCATTTTAGTAATATAGTCAGCAAGTGACATTATATTTTATTATTAAGCTTATTTATATATATAATTATAAATTTATATATAATTCTTAATAAAATTATTTATTAATTTATTATTTATTACATTATATTATATTTTGCTTAACCATTTTTCTGTGATAAATATTTAGGTGATTACCTATTTTTTCTTATTCTTGAGAATGTTAAGATTATATTAGATGTTATATATCTTTGAAGAACATGTAGGAGTTTGAATATTTGTTAGTTTTTTTAATAAAGTAAAATATGGCAAATCTCATTATAGTATTAATTTTAATGTCAAAGAGGCAAGGCATCTCAAAAGAGCATTACAGATTAAAGGTATCAAGAGGGCAATACAGTGTATAGAAAAGAAGTATAGTCACAAAGAACGTTTCTGATTTGTGTTTTTCAGGTACATCTAGTTCTTCTATTTGTCTACCTATAGGTGCACTCATAACATTTTAATTTATTTCATGTGTTGTCATCGTTATCCTCTGTATTACTCTGAGAAAGAAGATGTTACCTGTTTGTGAAAAAGAGGGTGAGTGAAACAGGGTTAGTTTCAATCATTAAAAAAAGAAATTCCAAGGGCTGTGGCAAAATCCGTCATGAAAAGAGTTGTTATGAAAAAACTCTTCCACATGCTTGGTAATTCCCGCAGTGAAGGGTATATCTTTTTTAAAGTGATAGTTTACTCTGGAATATTACAAAGGTAGGCTGTTAGTTATCATTAATACTTATGGTAAATTGAGTTTAAGAGTCTTTACTGAGGACAGGTTTTTGCACGAGAGAATATGGACCACAGACAACTGGTGGGAGGAAGCTCATTGAGAGGTAAAAAAAGGTAGAGACTGGAAGGAGATTTTTCAAAGAGACTATTGCAGTAGTTAAGATGAGAGTTGATGGTGGCCTGGACTAGAGTAGCAGCAAAGGGGACTGAGGGATTAAGGACAAGTTTAGGATAGCAAGATTTGCTGAAGGAACAGCTGTGGTAAAAGAGCAAAATATAAGAATTGTCCCGATGATTGTTTGCTTTTTGGTGTTAGATGAAGAAAACTTTTACAAATACGGGAAAGATCAGAGAAAGAATAAACTATGGAAAGAGAATCCAGAGTTCAATTTTGAACATGTTAATTTTGAAACGCCTATTTTACATCCAAAGGAATAGGTTAATTATCTCTATATATGAATCTGAAATATATGGAACATATAAGGACCAGTGGTTTAAATTTTAGAGTATAATGAATAGACTCTCCAAGGGGACAAATCATAGGTTATGACTCTCACTATTATAGAGTGGAAATAATCTGCAAGTTCTGTAATTGGAGTATTTTTATGCCCAACTAAGCATTTGAAAATATACTTTGGTCAATCTCAAGAGAATTTGAGTCTGAATCTCCCAATTTTTTACTCGTAGCATACTCTTACAATGTACTGCCATGAGGGGGAGTGTTTGGGCTGTATTCCTCTTATGGATACATTAATGTCGCTGTATCTCTAGGTCACAGAGTATGTGTGAACCAATACTTCATTTGAGACAGCCTCACATGGAGAATGCAATGAGCCATTCTCTTCTCACATACAGGTAAATTGGAAGGTTTGTGAATTTGTTACTGTTATTTTGTACACTTCAAATTTAAGATTTAACCTTCCAAATTAAATCATGCATTTGGTAGCAACAATTATTTTAGAAATAAATGAAAACAATGATTTGGTTAAATATATAATCAAATTTCATGAATTATTGGTTTCTAATGAGGTTATATTAATATTAATGTCTTTGAATATTTCTATTTATTCCCTGATTCAGATCCCCTCCCATCATCACCAATTGAATGACTGCTTTGATTTGCATTTTTTCAGATTATTAATAAGTATGAGCATGTATTCATATATTTGTTAGCCATTCAAGTTTCCCCTTCTGTAAAGTTCTTGTCTACATCTTCAAGTAATGTCTGGTTGGCTGTTTATATTTGCAAATTTTTTTTTTTTTTTTTGAGACGGAGTCTTGCTCTGTCACCCAGAGCTGGAGTGCAATGCTGCGATCTCAGCTCACTGCAACCTCCACTTCTGGGGCTCAAGTGATTCTCCTGCCTCAGCCTCCCAGGTAGCTGGGATTACAGGTGCCCACCACCATGCCCAGCTAATTTTTTGTATTTTCTTTTTTTTTGAGACGGAGTTTCACTCTTGTTGCCCAGGCTGGAGTGCAATGGTGAGATCTCGGCTCACTGCAACCTCCGCCTCCTGGGTTCAAGTGATTCTCCTGCCTCAGCCTCCCAAGTCACTAGGATTGCAGGTGTCCACCACCACGCCCAGCTAATTTTTGTTATTTTTTAGTAGAGAAGGGGTTTCATCATATTTTGAGGCTGGTCTTGAACTCCTGACCTCAGGTGATCCACCTGCTTTGGCCTCCCAAAGTGCTGGGATTACAGGCGTGAGCCACAGCGCCCCTTTTTGTATTTTTAGTAGAGACAGGGTTTCACCATGTTGGCTAAGCTGGTTTCGAACTCCTGACCTCAAATGATCCTCCTGCCTCGGCCTCCCAAAGTGCTGGAATTACAGGGGTGAGCCACCGCACCCAGCCAGAAATTTTTTATATCTTAGATCCTTTACATACTAGATATAGATTACTTCTCCCTGTTTGGCATCACTCTATTACATTTTTCAGTTATACTGTTAGGGGAACAGAAGTATTTAATGGAAAACCAAAAGTCCACTTTTTGTGGATAAAAAGTAGATGGATTTAACAATGTTAAGTCAAACTATAAGTTGTTAATAAGTTTGAGTTTGGGGCATTGATGTCTTTATAGTGGAATTTCCTTCAGCCATAAATATATTATCCATTTATTCAAGTCTTTCTAAATGTCTTTTAGGAAGGCTTTACAATTTTCTCAATGTAGGTGTAATTTTTGCTAGGTTAATTCTTTGGTACTTTTAATTTATTCACTATAATTAATGATATTTTAAAAAATTTCTAGCTGGTTATTATTAGTGGTTTAGGAACATTTTTGGATTTTTTAAGTTAACCAATATTTGGAAACTGTGCTAAACTCTGTATTTAAGTTTTTCTGTTGATTTTGATTGTTTTTCATGAAGTTGATTCTCTCTCTTACAACTAATGACAGTTTTGCTTCTTTCTTTCCAATCGACACCTCTTTTTATATTTAATACCTGCAATAACAGTTATCTTTTTCTTGTTTCCGATTTAAAAGACCATGTCTAAAATTTCCTTACAGTTGAATATGACATTTACTGCAGTTTGATCACTAAGCATAAGGTTAGGAAATATTTTCTTATTCTTATCTCCTTTGCTTTTATGATAAATATGTTGTTGAACTTAAGAAAAAATTTATTGGTACTTGTTGAGATAATCATGAATTTTTCATAGCAATTTACTAATATAATAAATTATACTGACAGTTTTCTAATGTTAAGCCATTTTGGAAATTGTTCTGCTTTATATTTATAAGTAAAAGAGGACTATAATTTTATTTTCTTGGATTATCCTTTCCTGGCTTTAAAATTAAAATAACACTAGCCTCAAAGAAAGATCTTAGTAATTTTATAATTCTCCCTTTTGAACATGAATAAGATAGATCTATTCCTCAACAATCCTCTAGGTCTGTTATTTATTTATTTATTTTGCAAAACAAGTCTTTGATTTTGATTTACTTGCTTACTAATTTATTGGCCTATTTAATTTTTAAATTTTTATGGCCAATTTGCCACTTTCAGAAATTTATTCATTTTGTGTAAGTTTTCATATTACTGTTCACAATATTGTTTTGTTATTTTTGCTATTTGTTGCATCAGTATTAATTCTCCCTTTTCATTCTATATTGTTACTCTGTATTACAGTAATAATTTTCTGAGTATTACAGAAATAATTTTCTGAGTATTACATGCCACCCGTTTGATCAATTAATCTCTAAAAAAATTATATTTATTCTATTTGTGTTCGTTTTTATTGATTTCTGCCTTTAGTTTTATTATTTTTTTTCTTCTCATTTTGTTGAGTTCCTTGTTTGCTTCTTTTGCTCAATATTGACATCTGATATAGTTAAGGTGATATATTAATTCTGAATGCTCCTTTAAATCTGTCCAATAATTTTAAATGTCATTTTTTTCTTTTTCCTGCAGACCTTTCTTTAAAAAAAATTATGTAAGCAAATTTCTTCTTTTTCAAAGGGTTTTTAATACAATGTTTATGCTTCATTATGGCTGGGAGTTTTTCCCCTTTTGTTCACTCTTCTGTGTCCCAAGTCTCTTTTAACCTAAAAATGTTGTTTTTAAGCTATTTTTTTTTTTGAAATAGTGTTTCACTGCATCACCCAGGCTAGAGTGCAGTGTCTCCATCATGGCTCACTTCAGCCTCAACCTCCCGAGCTTAAGCAATCCTCCCATCTCAGCCTCCTGATTAGCTGGGACTACAGACATGTGCCACCATGTTCAGGTAATTTATTTTTATTTTTTGGTAGAGACAGGGGTCTCACTATGTTGCCCAGTATGATCTTGAACTCCTGGCCTCAATCATTATGAAACTGGTTGCTTAACTATATAATTTGAATCTGGATTTTAAAATAATAAATGTAAGATTTTATTTTTAAAAAATTAGAAAATAAGATTATGAGAGGTGAGGAGAATTATGCTAAGGTATACGTGTTGGGAAATTTAAGAAATTGACTTAAAAAAATAAATATATGCATTGTCCTTAGTAAGTTAGGAGAAAACAGCAGAATAATAAAATATAACTCTTAATGTAGCAAGATAATATTTAGCTTAATGAAAGATAAGACAGAAGAAAATATACTAAAATAAAATATAAAAAAATTAAAAGTCCTATTATATCAGTAATTACAACATACAAATAGGTTAAGGCCGGGTGCAGTGGCTCACAACTGTAATCCCAGTAGTTTGGGAGGCCAAGGTGGGAGAATTTTTTTTCCAAGTGTGCAGTTAATATTTCTCTAATAGAGGAAGGTTAAAAATAAAGTGATAGGAAAATATATGGGAAAAATAAATGTAATAGAATGATGTACATATGCTTGTGAAAAGACAGGTATAAGAATGTTTATAGCACCACTATGAAAAATGCTTCCAATTTGAAAAACAAAGAAATGTTAATTAATAGAAGAATAGATAAATAAATTGTAATAGACAGTATTTACAGAATAGGATACTATACATCAGTGAGAATGAATAAGCCACACTACAGGCAATAACATGGATGGATTTTTAAAATCTACTGTTGAGTAAAAAACCCAGAAACAAGTGAAGACATATGCTACGATGCCATTCATATAAAATTCAAAATCAGGTGAGCCTAGTCTATGGTGTTAGAAGTAGGAGAATAGGGGCCGGGCGCGGTGGCTCACGCCTGTAATTCCCACAACTTTGGGAGGCTGAGACGGGCGAATCATGAAGTCAGGAGATCGAGACCATCCTGGCTAAACGGTGAAACCCCGTCTCTACTAAAAATACAAAAAAAATTAGCCGGGCGTGGTGGCGGGCGCCTGTAGTCCCAGCTACTTCGGAGGCTGAGGCAGGAGAATGGCGTGAACCCAGGAGGCAGAGCTTGCAGTGAGCCGAGATCGCGCCACTGCACTCCAGCCTGGACGACAGAGCGAGACTCCGCCCCCGTCTCCCACCGCCCCCCCCCCAAAAAAAGAAGTGGGAGAATAGGTCAGGTGCAGTGGTTCATGCCTGTAATCCCACTGCTTTGGGAGGCAAAGGTAGAAGGAGCATTTGAGGCTAGGAATTTCAGGCCAGCCTGGGCAACACAAGACCCCGTGTCTGGAAAAAAAAAAAAAGCTGGACATAGTGGCTGCACAACTATCATTCTAGCTACTCTAGAGGCTGAGGTGAGAGGATCCCTTGAGCCCAGGAGTGAGTTATGATCGCACCACTGCATTCCAGCTTGGACAACAGAGCGAGACTTTGTCTGTAAAAAGAAGCAAAAACAAAACCCCAAAGCTTTGTCCCAGCTCCTTATGAGAGGGTGGTAGTAGTAAAACACAAAAGCCTTCAGGAGGTGAACACTTGATGATTTCTTTGTCCTTTTTTTTTTTTTTTTAAGAGCCAAGAACTCTGGAACAAGAAGAAGAAGACGAAGGAGGAGGAGGAGGGGGAGGGGGAGGAGGAGAAGGAGAAGGAGGAGAAGGAGAAGGAGAAGGAGACGGAGAAGGAGGAAGAGGAGGAGGAGGGCCGGGCGCAGTGGCTCACGCCTGTAATCCCAGCATTTTGGGAGGCCGAGGCGGGCGGATCACGAGGTCAAGAGACCGAGACCATCCTGGCTAACATGGTGAAACCCCGTCTCTACTAAAAATACAAAAAATTAGCCGGGCATGGTGGCGGGCGTCTGTAGTCCCAGCTACTCGGGAGGCTGAGGCAGGAGAATGGCGGGAACCCGGGAGGCGGAGCTTGTAGTGAGCCAAGATAGCGCCACTGCACTCCAGCCTGGACCACAGAGCGAGACTCCGTCTCAAGAAGAAGAAGAAGGAGAAGAAGGAGAAGGAGAAGGGAAAAAAGAATCCTCATCATTAATGCAAGTGGAAGGAAACTCTTCACCAAAGAATTGATCACATCATGAAAGGTGAAATCATTACGGAATTGCTTAAATATATAATTTGAATCTGGATTTAAAAATAATAAATGTAAGTTTTTTCTTTAAAAAAAAAAAAAAGTCCATTGGTTAAATTCAGCTTGAATCCTTTGCCACTACATCAAGAGCTAACAGGTCAACAACTGATCTCCACAACCTCCCACCTCATTTCCTTTCTCAGTCCAGGTAGCAGGAAAATGGAAAAAAAAAAATGATTTTTTTTTTCCAAACACTTTGTCAGTTTCCCCAGCGGTCACCTTTGAAAAGGGAAAAATGTCTGAAAATAGACAAAGCTGAATATAAACATCATTTAATTCCCCCCACACAGACAGCCTCCGCTCCTGTGAGGGCGTGGGGAAAACGGAGTGGGAGAAGGGGGCTAGCGAGGAGGAAGAGGCGGGAGGTGCGGCAGGGGCACAGGTGACGCTCCTCCCGCCTGCCTAGCAGAGCTCCAGGCGCACATCCGCAGTCAGCCACCTCGCGCGCGCCTCCAGGAGCAAGGATGGAGAGGCTGGTGAGCGGGGCCGGGGCTTGGGAAGGAGGGCGCAGGGCAGGCGATGTTGAGCCGGTGGCCCTGGGGCGGGCGGCGAGTGGAAGGCGCGGAGCTTCGGCTCTTGCCACAATCTGGTCCGGGGACTAGATCAGCGGTGTTGATGGCAGCGCTTTTCTCTAAGCGCTTTCTCTTGCTGAGAAACGGATTTTGCCTTCCAAAGGGTGGTTTACAGGCAGCTGCTGGCGTCCAGATTCTCCATTCCAATTGCCTGAAAAAAAGATGCACCAGGCCGGGGCTCCGGGGGCTCTTGATCCGCGCTGACGAAGCTGGCGCATCCTCCGGGCAGGCTCGGCTCGGCTCACTGGCTCCAGCTCCCAAAACTGGGGAGGCACAGCCTATTTTAAACTGCCCCCAAAAGGGAAAGAGAAATGCTGTATTGGTTCCATATTGGCACCAAAAGCTGCGGCGGAGATACAGATTTCCAGGCTCGCTTTCTCCGGGAGAGCTCCTGCGTCTCCTCTTTGTTATGCAGCCCCTTTCTCCCTCCTAGCCCTTGCCTGGGGGAAGCCATGAAGGATCAGTTAAAGCTGAAGCTACACTTGAGAGAGCTGAAATGCTCTGTGATCATAATGCTTTGAAGGGTTAACCCCGGGTATCTAGAGAAACAGACATTTTGTTTATTCGGAACCAGCTTACAAGACAAAAAACGGAGAAGGTTTTCATATATCCCATTGGTATATGAAATCCAAATACAATGGTATTGGTATAAGAATCCAAATACAGTGAATGCCTCAAGATAATTTTTTCATGTATGGTTTGTTGGCAAGACCACATAGCCAATGATTTCACTGTCTTTCTTAACAAAGGAGAATGGTGGTCTGTGAGCTACGGTCTACTGCAAGCTAGATGCTGTTAATCTTCTTTGTAACTATCCTTCTAAAAATGAATTATTACCTCGTTTTACACATAAACAGGCGGAAAGGCTGATATTTCCAAGTCCTTGTGACTACATGTGGGGTAATGTGGATTTGGACATAGAAACTTGCTGAGGAAGAGGCATGAATAGGGGCAATATAGCTACCAGGTGGGCAGCTGTCTGGTAAGACCCAGGTTTTTGTGAACCCTGGACTGCATGGCAAGGGTTATAAGTGGGCTTCTTTGTTTTCAGGACTGTAGTTCCCCCTATATGATTTGATCGATTAATTTTTTTAGCTACCTAACACGTATTGGCATTTACTATAACCTAGGCTCTATACTAAGTGCTTTAATTGCCTAATTCTCATAATAACTATGTGAGATAAGAGCAACATTTATTTAGTGCTTATTTCTACTGGCAGTATTCTAGGAGCTTTATATACTACTTCATTTAGTCTTTTTAACCATTAGATTGGTACTATTACTTTTCCGGAGTCTCAGAGAGGTAAAATGATTTCTTTTGCTCACAAATCTAGTATTTGTTTTAGCCCCGGTCACCTCCCTGTAAACATATAAATACTGTTGTTTTCAGATTGGTCGTATTTTCAGTTATTCTGCACAGACTCGAGGAAAAAAAAAACCTGTAAAATAAAAATACGTATCTATTTAAGAGTAAGGCTTTCCTTCTGATTTCCTTTGCCTCAATCACTGTGTTTTGTTTCTTAACATTGCTGGCTCCCAGTCCACAATATATGGTTTGGTATGTATCTGCTTTCTCTCTTGTCCTAAAACACAGATTTTCTCTATGAGAGCTTGTCCATTCTGCATTCTTCATCATGGCCTCTGGTAGAGCCTGGATTTCCACGTCAGAGAAGCCTAATGGTTTAAAAAATATCACATAGAATTGGAATGCCAGTATCTGTCTCCACAATTGCCTTAGCTGAAAATAAAACAAAATGTGTTGGGTGGGCACTGGCAATGGAGCCTGAGGAAATATTTGGCCTGATTTTTTCTGACTTTCCTAGATAATTAGATAGGATGGAACAGTCTCAGTAATACTGAGAAAATTATCGAGTTATATATTTTTTTTCACTTCAAAACCAAAGCCTTTGTGAGTATAATACCCAGCAGTGGATGGGCAGGGTGAGCAGATCTTTGTAGGCTGTATGTATTCAGGCAGCTGAACCATCTTGGGTTTCTCAAAGAGCAGTGACTATGTTATTAGTCTTAGACCTATGAAGACAGGAAGAGAAGTCACAAGGAAGGGATAGCATGCTTATGGTATGCTTGGGTATCGAATAATAAAATATATCTGCAAAGAATAATTTGTCCTAATGGCACCTTCAGATGATATAATCTTGAATTCTCTGTAGCCTTAGAGATGTAAGGAAAAAGCAACTTACATCACAAAGATCAGTATTACTGTGTACTATGATGCCACTGCATGGGGTCCAGGATGAGAGTCTAAGTGATTGGTTCTCTCTAGCTGAAGACAAGAAGACACTCAGGTATGTGGCAGCACTTGGGATAGGCCACAGGGCGGCGAGACATCATTCCTTCCAGGACATCTATCCTGAAAGATCCATCAGGAATACTGTGATGGAGATAGTGATGGAGACTCCTTGTCTCTGGCAGTTAGAGTGAATGCTGAAGAAGAGCCCTTTTCCAGCAGGCCAGTCTCTAACATGATCTTGGGTCTTCACCCAGACCATGACAGCTCTGGTGCTCAACACACACAACCACCTCCAGGGTACAAGTTGGCCCCAAGAGAGCTGAGACAATATTGGCTCTAATTTTTATCATCTCATTGATCTCAAACCACAGACTCTGACCAGGACAATTGGGGGCCCTCTCCTTACAGCTACACTCCTAGGAAAGACCACCATCAATGATTACCAGGTAATTTTCTACCCCTACCTATGAAGGGACTTGGTTAGTAACTTCTCTTGCTAGAGGAAAAATGAAGCTTATTATATAAGATTAATGTTTGTGAAACACCTGTTATTTGGAATTGGTTTGGTACTTCCTCTTGAAATTTCCCTCATTAAGTTTAGGTCGTGGCTGTTTCATAAGGAAAGAAAAGGGCATGTATTGACTGGAATTAAAATTAACAAATCCATTGAGTAGGAGGATATTAAAATTGAGTGGCTCCCATTGGACAGGAAAAGGAAGAGAAATCCTTGTGGCAGGTAAAGGAGGAGAGATTTAGATCCTTGAGAACTCCATTCCCGACCCGCTGCTCCTGAGCCCACAGGAAGAAGGCCATCACAAGACAATAAAAATCCCAGAGAAATTGAAAGGCAAACAGAAAGACCCAGCTTGGAGTGATAAGGAAAATGAATTCCAGCAGGGAAGTCATTGTATCTAAAAGGAATGGCAAAAATAGGGCTTAGTTAAGGCAAACACCGAGAATGAGGGGATGGGATTCCCACAGGTAGAACACCACCCTTTAGCAATGATCCTGACCCTAAAGCAAGGTCATTTAAGTGATTATGGGCCAATATTCTAGAAATAAGCTTCAAATTATAGTAGCAACAGATGGGGCTAAACAGGAGCCGATAAGAACATACAAACAACTTCAGAAAGGGATGCCCGTGATGGGTTCATTAAGGAAAAAGTGGTCAGGACATCCCGCTAAAGCAACAGGATTCAGTGGATATTGAGGTTCTTGGGGGGCAATGAGACAGGCACCAAGAGACCACTACTTTATGGAAGACTATGATCATACTGCTAAATACCATAAAAGAATAGACAGAGCCAAATAAGAGACTGTTTCTAATGAAACAAGCAGACAATGTCCCAACCTCAGGAATTTAACTCAGTCTGAAAAAGAAGAGTAGTTTCAAAACTGTCAAGCCTGCTTTAGTGCTATAATTTTTTTCACTGACAAGAGAGAATGAAAGACTGATAGCTGGGGGAGTGGCGGGGGGTGAGGGGTGTTGACAGGTAGTAAGCATGCTGGAAACAGTGTCTCAAGGTGTGGGGTATATGGTGGGTATATTTGGGAAGTAGTCATTTTCTCTCAAACTGGAAAGCAGATGGGTGTGTTCAGACAAGATCTGGAAGCTGTGGCATGGCAGACAAAGGGAGATGGGACCCCTTTGGCACTGGAGGAAGAGGCTTGAATCTTCTTGGAGCACTAAAAGTTCCAAAAGACCTAAGCAGAAAATGCTTCCGAAGAGGAGGATCTGTATGGCAAGATGACTGTAATCAGGCTCATAAAAGTAAGACCTTACATAAATACAAGTGAGGGGGAAGACATTTCATGTAGGAGGAATGGCTCAAGCAAAAATACCAAGGCGGGAAATTGCGTGGTGCGTTTAGAAGTAGAAAAGGCTAGCTGGCAGGGAGGGGATACATAGGAAGGCAATGGAAATGAATTTGCAAGAATGAAAACAGGCTAAGAACTTTGAACAATTTTCTCTAGATAGTTAGGGGCTATAGAAGAAGATGGCATCTTGTACAAAGAGGAATTTAAGGAAAATTAATCTGTCAATAGTGTGTAAATACATAAGCTGGATAGTAAACTTAACTAAGTTAGGGACTATATCTGCCTTATGCACCATTGTCTCCAAAGTACCTACCATAGTGCCTGGCATGAAGTCAGACTCAATAGAGATGATTAATAATAGAATAAATGAAAGAAGTATAGTTGTCCCTTGGGACCCATGGGGGCTTTGTTCCAAGACCCTCACAGATACCAGTTGGTGGATGGTGCAAGTCCCTTATATGAAATGCTGTAATATTTGCATATAACCTATGCATATCCTCCCATATATATAAACTCATCTCTTGATTATTTATAATTTTAATACAATATAAATTCTATATAAATAGTTCTTATGCTGTATTATTTAGGCAATAATGACAAAAATCTGTGTTTGTTCAGTGCAGATGCTTTTTTAAAAAATATATTTTCCATCTGTGGTTATCTGAATCCACGGATACAGAACCAACAGATACGGTGGACCAACTATACGGGCAAAAGTTCAGTTCCAATAGAAGACAAGACTACTGCACAAAACACCTAGTGTTATGAGCTGAGACTAGGGTGGTAAAGAACAGACACTTCACATGGGTACCAAGGAACAGACACTTCACATGCGAGAATCTAATGTGTAAAGTGACTAATTCCATATCTAGGTAGGGGAAAAATGATTCATCCTGGATGACTTGAGTGCCTGGGAGATAAAAGTACAAAAAAGTAGCTGTTTTGGGTAAAATGACGATTAATTTGATGTTATTCATAAATTTAATTATTCAGCATTCCTTCATGTTTTTTTTATTCAACTGACAGCATCTTAGGCAGAAGGAAAGATAAAAGAACTAATGTAGGAAATAGCTTGGTAATTTCAAGTCATTGAAAGAATGGTGAAGTGGAGCTTGGTGTTCAAGGTGGAAAGCACAGTGACATGAGATTGGATAGCATGTTTGTAGGTGCTGAGCTGCAGGTAGTGACAGATGGGGTCATGCTTTATTACTAGCAGAGCTTCTAGACAATGACTCAATGGCTTTCAGAGATTCCTTGGCTCTGTGGAAACCGGTTTAAATGCTTTTTAAAAACAGCTTCAAAATTGAATTTAACATTGTTGCAGGGCAATGAAGCAGGGATTGCTGTGTGAATAGCAGTTTGGTAATTCCTCACAACGATTTGGTCATAGGCAATAACAATGTACTTTTGTGACGATGTGTCAAAATTTTTAAACCAACAAAACTTTATACATAGGGGAGGCAAGATAGTGTGGTAATTATGGTTATGAGCTCTGAAACCAGACTGCCTGGGCTTAAATCCCTTCTCTGTCACTTCACAGCTGTGTGACCTTGGGCAATTTACTTAACTTCTCTGTGCCTCATATTCTTTATTTTGAAAATGATGATAATAATAGTGCTTCCTATATAGATTATATGAAATATTGGATGAAATGCTTTATCTCAAGTGCTAAGAACAGTGCCTAGTACATAATAAATGTTAAATAAATGTTAGCATTAGTGGTTTAGTAACCTTATGCAAAATATAAGTTGGAGTATTATTTTAATGTATCATCTGGTGTGATTTTTTATTCCAGTACTTTATTTTTGTCCTCTGGTCTTTCAAATCAGACAATTAAGCTTCCATTGCCTTAGAGAAGGAATACTAAGCAGAAAATAAATTTTAGTTTCAAAAGCCAAAATTTTGCAATACCAAGAGCCTTGGCATTCCAGTTTCAAAAGACTAAATGCTAAAAGACCAAGGATATAATGTTCATGCTAGAAAGGGTTGATTGGATGAATGCAGAGTGATGGAGGAACTAGCTTTTCTGGCTCAGGGAGATAAATATTTTGTAGGCTGGGAGAGCAAAATGGGACTGATTGATGTCTATGCTCAGATACCAGTTTGCATCCCCAAAATAAGGCCCTGTGTCCAGGCCCCAGACATGGGAAGTTCAGGAGAGTAGAAAATAGAACCTGCAAGTAGTTGTTGAGATCCAAGAAAAAAATAATACCTGTGTCTCACAGTCCCCTAAAGGGACTGTAGGAAGCAGCATGCTTGTCCATCATGGCAAGTGAACAGTAAAACAGAGATGGATTGATACACAGGAATTTAGGCAGAAAGCCTTGTAGAATTTTCTTTCATCCAGCACAAGGGGAACCCAGGGACAGCCTGGAAGAACATGAGCAAGCACCAGTTCATCTTGTGAGCAATAATTGCACAAACTAATGACAGTGATGACTTGAGGGGAACACAGCCATTTTAGCCAATGCTAGCATAATAGATGGTTGTAATCAATGATTAGCAGTCCTGTCTCATAGCTGGGCATTTTGTGAACCCCCAGGAATGCAGACGCAATGCTAGAGATTGGGACAATTATGGGGTATTGTGGTGGTGAGAGACCGAATTGACAGAGATTATGCAACATTGACTGGAAGTAAATTCTTATCTCCAGTTGGAATAGTAACATGAAATAAAAATAAAGTTCAGTTAAAAACAGATAAAAGTTACATTTTTTAATCATCTCTATTATGAAAAATAGAAATATAGAAAAAATAAAGGAAAAAGTTACATTTCTTTCCTTTGCCCCTTAGTATGAACATACATACAGACCAAATGAATGGATCCATGGCACTATTGCAGAGAAAAGTTCAACTGCCTCTACCCTGACTTACCATTTTATAGAAGGATGATGCCCAGAATAACATTATCTTAAATACTCCCAAGATTTATAAGAAGGCCGAGGATTTCTGCCCAGACACATGAAAATAAGGCAGCGAAGGAAAAAATTAAAGCCAGTACTGCTTTTTAAAACATGCGGTTTATATGTAAGACTTGCAGAATTAAAATCAACCTCAACAAAATTCAAGGCAGTCAAATAATGTTCTTGAAAAGTGGTTACCCTCTGAGTTACATTTTTAACATTAACAGACATGGATTTTTTGGGAAGTGGATGCTGTATAACATTTGTATTCTCAGCATTTTCTGTATTTATTTAAGCCAGTTTGTTTTCCCCAGTGATCCTATGTCTTTGAGACCTCGCTCTTGACAATGGTGGCTTCAGGAGCAAGGCCCCAAATTGCCAGGCATTGCTATTGTGTTGAAGCCACGCTGCTGCTTTTCCCTCCTCATATCCTGAGCATGCTTTATTATTTCTTCCATTTATAACCTCTAGTTCTGCTCCCACAAAACCAAAATTCTCTGGGGGGTAAAAACTTAGCTACAACATTCCCTGAAATAGCGATTAGATTGAAGCTTCCTTGGATTTGTCCAAATCCAAACCCCCATTTCTGTACTTTGCTTTCTGTCTTCAGGTGATCAGGATGCCCTTCTCTCATCTGTCTACCTACAGCCTGGTTTGGGTCATGGCAGCAGTGGTGCTGTGCACAGCACAAGGTAAAGAAACTCAATTCCCCTGCTTGGAGCCCAGCAAACACAATTTCTGGGGTGAAGACATTTAGCCAGTATTGTTTGTGCTGTGCTGGTTCCATTTGTCTGCATGAATTATTTAAGCATGTAATCTGCCTGGAGGAGTGGACGTGGTTCTTTTCTGCTTTCCACACTTTTGTTTTCGATGTAGAAGCACACTTTGATATTTAGAAGCCGTTTCCATAGTAGATGAACCAGACTTATGAAAAAATCCTCTATTTTAAAATGTCATTTTTCACTTACTGAATTGAATTACAAATAATGATTTCCTCTGTTTTTAAATATATGGGAATGCTTGAATTCAATCTTTTTGGAAAGTAATCTGGCAGTAAGCCTTAAAATTGGATGTGTTACCTTTTTACAGAAAAATGTAGAAAACAACGAAATGTAGAAGTTATATAGGCTCATATTATCTATTGTATAACAAATTTGGTTGTGCCATCTACTTATCTACCGAAGTTCCTAGCTCTTCCTCCTCAGTTCCTTGGGAGGCCACAC
This sequence comes from Homo sapiens, assembly GCF_000001405.40. Classification (NCBI taxonomy): domain Eukaryota; kingdom Metazoa; phylum Chordata; class Mammalia; order Primates; family Hominidae; genus Homo; species Homo sapiens. The sequence goes on from NC_000003.12 coordinate 112,341,515, forward strand.
TCACTTTACCACTGGCCTTTTCATCACTTGCAGTGTGATGTTGCTCAGCATCAGCCTCCACAGATGTGGGTGATGCTGGTGAAGATCAGATAGGCTTCATGCCCATCTCCAACTCTGGTCCACAACATTCATCACAGGACTTATCAACTGACCAGAGGAATCTAAGTGAGATTCCATAGAGGTAGCAAAGAATTGTAAATTTCCCCTAAATGATTTCTTCCATAGTCAAAAAGAAAAAAAAAACTCATCTAAGAGTTGAACTCTAGTTTTGAGTTCCCTTTCACTCTGCCTTCTAAAAGCAGTAATTTCTTCAAATCTCTGGTCTGCAAAATCTCAACAAACTTTCAAGAAGTCTCAATCCTAGCAACAGATAGTTTCCCAGAACTTTTCACATCTTCCAAGAGTATACATCATTTAGTTTTGAATCATGCAATACTCAGGGGTTCCAGCCTGTATTTGTTATACCCATCTTTCATTCCCTGATATTGTGGGGGAGTTGCTTGTTTACTCAGCCTTCTTTTTTTTTCTACTTATACTTGTCAACATTTTATCCAGATTATCAGTCTTTAAAAACAAGTCTGGATGCTTGTGATCAAGTTTACATTTTGTGTACCATTTTATTAGTGTCTTTATCTTTATTAATTCACTGCGATATTTGAAAGGGAGGGTAGGAGGTTTGGAAGTAAGTGTATTCATTTTTAAGTATCTCTTCTTTTCTATTAAATGTTGCTAGAATTAAATGTTTCTCTGAGAACTGTCCTTCCTTCCTTCCTTCCTTCCTTCCTTCCTTCCTTTCTTCTTTCTTTCTTTCTTTCTTTCTTTCCTTCTTTCTTTCTTTCTTTCTTTCTTTCTTTCTTTCTTTCTTTCTTTCTTTCTTTCTTTCTTTCTTTCTTTCTTTCTTTCTTTCTTTCTTTCTTCTCTCTCTTTCTATGAAATTTCACTCTGTCACCCAGGCTGGAGTGCAGTGGCACAGTCTCAGCTCACTGCAACCTCTGCCTCTCGGGTTCAAGCAATTCTCCTGCCTCAGCCTCCTGAGTAGCTGGGATTACAGGTGCCCACCACCACGCCTGGCTAATTTTTGTATTTTTAGTAGAAACAGGGTTTCACTTTGTTGGCCAGGTTGGTCTCAAACTCCTGACCTCAAGTCATCCACTCGCCTCGGCCTCCCAAAGTGCTGGGATTACAGGCGTGAGCCACTGCACCAGGCATGTCTTACCCATGTCTATAGATTTTTAACATATTATGTTCTCATTGTCATTCAGTTATAATAATTTATGATTTTTTCTATGCTTTCTGGTGTACCTAAGACTTAAAAGAAGTATGTAAATTTCTAATTTTATTGTATTATGAACGGTGTTCAAGGCCATACGTAGGGTAGCAACTTTTTTGTAGCCTATTTTGAGTTCAATTTGGAGGAAGGTTTTATGTGTGTTTTGAAAAGATTATACATCCTTTCTTTGAGTAAAGTGTGTGTGTCTGTGTGTGTGTGCGTCTTATGATATCTTTATTCATTTAGTATGAGTTATTGGGTTTGTAAAGTTTATTATTTCTCTTTCATTGTATTGACTTTCTCAAAAGTTTGGCTATTTGTTATTATGTTGAGATTTTCCATCAAATAATCTATCATAGTATGAGTTGCTAATATTGGAGAAGGGAAGAAATTTATATTTATACACACACAGAGAGAGAGATCTACATACATATAAAGTATATAGTGTATATAATATAAACATATAAAACATTGATAATATTAAATACCTAAAGTATATATATAAATATATATTGTTTTTCAAATTTTCTTTTCTTTGTGACATGGACTTACCTTGTCACCCAGGCTGGAGTACAGTGCTGCAATCATTGCTCACTGCATCCTTGAACTCCTGGCCTTAAGCAATCTTCCTGTCCTATGCTCCTGAGTAGCCAGGACTACAAGTACATGACGCTACGGCTGGCTAATTTTTACATTTCTTGTAGAGATAAGGGTCTCATCTCTTGCCCACGCTGATCTTGAACTCCTGGCCTCAAGTGAGTCTTCTACTTTGACTTGCCAAAGCACCAGGATTACAGGCATCAGCCACTGTACCTGGTAGTTTTTCAAATTTCCTATTTAACTTTTTTTCCTTTAACAATTGTTTAAATATATTAAATTGAAGGTTCTCGGTATGATTGTGAATTTAAATTTTTTCTTTGTAATTCTATTAGTTTTGCTTTATATATTTCGGAGTTATGTTGTTAGGTGCATAAAGGTTTATGATTACTATAATAGATCTGATTTTAGATTGTTCCTTTTATCATTTTGAAAAATACTTTTTCCCTTCTTACAGTGGTTTTGTCTTCCATTCTTTTTTTTCTCTCCTTTTAGAAGTCTTACTGAACTGATTTTGGAACATTTAAGTCTACTTATTGAATTTTTCCTTAATCCCTTCCATATCATTATCTCTTTGTGCTACATTCTAGAATAATTTCATGGCCTGTTCTTACTTTTTACTAATTTACTCTTCAGTAGCATCTATTTTGCTAAGTCAGCCTATCTGTTGCAATTTTATATTCCTCATTTTCTATATCTCTAATTTCTACTATTCATAATGCTTTTATTATGCTTTTATTACACTTATATCATCACATGTATTCATGTCAAAGTATTTATTGTCTTATGATATCTTTATTCATTTTGTATGAGTTATTGGGTTTGTAAAGTTTATTATTTCTCTTTCATTGTATTGGCTTTCTCAAAAGTTTGGCTATTTGTTTTTATGTTGAGATTTTCCATCAAATAATGTATGATGGTATGAGTTGCTAATATTGAGGAAGGGAAGAAATTACCACCATAGCATTTAGTGAAAGCAGAGGGTGTGTAAATTATTATTTGTGTGCCAAAGCTTCAAGATCCTCCAGAACATTGTCCCATAAATCTCTTTACCTATGTTCCTATATACACTCTTGCTTCCTGGAGGCAGACACCTCTGTTCCACCTGCTTCCTTTGTAGATTGTGTATGTGTGTGTGTTTGTGTGGAATGCATAGGGCTGCTCCATCTTCTTTACTTACAGTGGTCACTCTGCCTGTTATCCTTTGGCCTTTTCCTGCTCTTTGCTTCTACTTCTCCAAGCATGGACAAGATTGGTGAAGCTGCTATCCTACCTGGCAGTTTACATCTTCAATCTCATTGTACCTACTTCGCAGCTTACACAGATCATTCACAATTTCTTGTAACTGAGAGTTGCTCTCTTGTTTTTCTACTCTGCTACTATTCTTTAAAGATTGAACAAACATATTTGAACCTATATATTTCTCTGGCATCACGTAGGAATGTAAATAAATGTTTTCTTTTTTGCATTTTCTCTTTCTTTTCTATATTTGACATTGAATATACATTTTATTTATAATCAGGAAAAAGTGTATGTGTGTTACAATCTTTAAATATAAATGTTCTTTTATGATTCCATAGTGCAAGTGGTGACCCAGGATGAAAGAGAGCAGCTGTACACACCTGCTTCCTTAAAATGCTCTCTGCAAAATGCCCAGGAAGCCCTCATTGTGACATGGCAGAAAAAGAAAGCTGTAAGCCCAGAAAACATGGTCACCTTCAGCGAGAACCATGGGGTGGTGATCCAGCCTGCCTATAAGGACAAGATAAACATTACCCAGCTGGGACTCCAAAACTCAACCATCACCTTCTGGAATATCACCCTGGAGGATGAAGGGTGTTACATGTGTCTCTTCAATACCTTTGGTTTTGGGAAGATCTCAGGAACGGCCTGCCTCACCGTCTATGGTGAGAATCTCTGAGAATCATTGTCTGTGTCTGGAAATACTATTTGCAAGAATGTTTGGAATATAGCCGTAGTGCCCAGTTTTTCAGGATTTTAACCACAGAAAGGGTCATGAGAAGATAGCCTTTCTTGTCTACTATAGCTGTGTTTATGATTATTTGGAGAGTTCATGGGGCTACACTGAGTTCTTTGGCTGGAGCTATCTTTTCTCTGAGGGATCCTGCTGTCAACAGGAGAAATTTGAGGACAATGGTGAGGGCAACAAGTTCTCCATAAGCAGTGATATGATTCAGACCTGGCTTTGCCACTAGCAATCATGCGACCCTAGAAGGGTCCTATCCACTCTCCACTGGAGTTTCATTGTCTGGACAATAAGTGTGAAATAGATCATTTCTAGGGTCACTTACAACTTCAACTTTTTGGATCTAAGGACAGAGCCAGATTGGACTAGCCTTGAGCCAGTTATGATTGTCCTTCTCATTTTGCTTGGGGAGATAGCTCTTTCAGGATTGATAAGGGCACATAGAGCAGAGCCTTTTCATACCTGAAATGATGCCAACTAAAGATATAACTGGGCAAGAGCATTCTTTTAAAATCCAAGAGGCTTAGTTTGATGAAATTCTTCTTAACTGACACACAGCTGAGATGAAAGGTTACGAAGTGAGAATAAGAGATTACTTTGGAGCATGGCACACACGGCAGTAGTTTTAGGGAGTAGAGGACAAACTTATGGTTATTAGGAATATTAAGGTGAGAGTTTACTCATGCCAATAATATTGCCCACAGGGAAGAAAAGGCTTAGTAGATGAGAATGCAAGGGAGATAGGACAATGCCAAAAGAAATTTCTTTTACTTATTTTGCCTATAATGAGTCCTCTCTGTAGAATCTTATGTTGTTTCTTTCTTGATTTCCACTTCTTTCATTCTCTCTTTTTCTGTTTCTCCTCCCTGTCTCCTTCCTTCCTTTCCTCCCTCTCTGCCTTCCTTTCTTCTTTCCTTCCTCCTAATTTTTCTTTTTTTCTTGTGTCATATTTTTCTCATTTCTGTTCCTTTTTATTCTCTTCCTCTTTTCCTCACCTTTCTTTCTCTTAGTCTCCTTCCTTCACTCATAGACTTTTGTATTTTTTTTTCCTGAAAAGCAGATGTCTCTGAGCTTTAAAGCTAGTAATTCTGTTCTCTTCCACACTGACCTTTTCCATCCACACCTTATAACTTTCATGTAAGCCATTCTTTGATACATCATAGGACCTCAACACTCAGTCTGGCCCATCAACCATATTCATGTTTTTTCATTTCTATTTCCCTTCTTCCAGCGCTCACAGACATTAGTAATCTTAGCCAGAGCCACAGTTCCATAGCCCTACTTCCCCAACCCAGTGTCTTCTACCTGCCTCTTGAACCTATAAGCACAGCCCAGGCTTTCAGTTAGCACTGCCATTTAATTATCTTGTGGGCTCCAAAGCCAACCACAGAAAGACAAGTTTACATCTGCTTAGAAAAGAAAAATTCTATATTCCAACAAAAATGAACTCACTAGTCAGGGGATTTTCAAAAGGGTACAGGCTACAGCTGGCCTGAAAATAATTTTCTCATGAGCTAGTTAGTTTTTCTTAACTTAATCAGGTGATTTCCAGTGCTCTTCCAACAGTCATTTCTTAATTTTTATGGTTATTAGCTACGAATTCCAAATTTTGGTTTTGTGTAGCTCTTCCAAAAAGGGATTTTCCAGCTCTCCTCCATGCGTCTAATTCACTGGTCCAGCTCCAAGAAGAAAATGGCTATCTCTAAGCAGTAGCCTTTCTATGGGCTCTCTGTTCCAAAACTGCCCTAGTGCCTCTGATAGGTACAGGACACATGTATGGCAGTGCTGGTTGGTGGTTATTGTCAAGCCATTTAAGAGGAATACCCAGAAGAAGGCAGAGATGCTGCATTGCCCCTGGAAGAGAACAGAATAATTAGGACTGTTTGGGAGAGAAAAGTATCATCTGACTTCTCAATACTCTATGTCCATCTGACAAATTCTGCTACAGACAAATTACAGAAAGGGTCTTTCTCATCACAGGTTTGTACTAGGCCAGTCTCCATCCTGCAGATCAGAAAATTAGACACAAGAGGAACTGGAAAGTCCCCAGTTTGGGTAGGATATGCCATGCTATCTTTCTAGCCTCCATTATCTTTCTATAAGCATATTTCCTTCATCTCTCTGAGGAGACTGCAGGACTCAGACCAGGTGCTTAACTGATAACAGATCATATTTATTTTTTGTCCCAGTACAGCCCATAGTATCCCTTCACTACAAATTCTCTGAAGACCACCTAAATATCACTTGCTCTGCCACTGCCCGCCCAGCCCCCATGGTCTTCTGGAAGGTCCCTCGGTCAGGGATTGAAAATAGTACAGTGACTCTGTCTCACCCAAATGGGACCACGTCTGTTACCAGCATCCTCCATATCAAAGACCCTAAGAATCAGGTGGGGAAGGAGGTGATCTGCCAGGTGCTGCACCTGGGGACTGTGACCGACTTTAAGCAAACCGTCAACAAAGGTAAGAGAAAGTGAGCAAGGTGGCTGTGGTTGTGTCTGTGTGCATGGACCTGGAAGGCAGTGAATGTCCTGCAGAGGTTTTCAGCCTCTTAGCATAATCTATTTGGAGAAAGAATGGGGCAAATAAGGAAAAAACAAAACAAAACAAAAAAATTGAAGAAACAAATAAAGCAAGTTTTACTTTCATAAATGTGGTTCATTGCCCACACACCAAATGCTGTTGCTGAGATCCATTCATTTATTTATTTCTTCCACTCTACTAACATGTAATTAGGTCTGTTCTGGGCCAGACTTTGAGTTGAACATGAAAAGTGCAGCAATGAGCAAGACTCAGTCTCTAAGCTTCTAGTCTACTAGGGAATAGAGATAAATGGATGGGCAATTGTAAAACTGTGCATTACATTCTCCAGTGAGAAAGCTATGATGCACCATGGGAGGATTGGAGGTTGGGAAGGAGGGGCTCAATCTGGGGGAGATTTGGAAGGTTTCCTGGAAGAAGTGACATCTGTGATGAAATCACTGTATAATCTACACTGTGAGAAAGGGACCTATCTGAAGTGCTTTCGTCACCCATTTTAAAGCAAACTGCCTCCTATCCAAGTCCCTTTTTGCTTTCTTGTGTTTTTGTCTAAACTACTGTCTCTGGGCCTCATAGATACAAGAGGTGAGAATGACAGAGGAGAGAATAAAGGGAGCAGAGATTATAAAGACAAGAAGTTTTAGCAATAATAGCCACGTCTTTTCTCTGTGTAGTTTTGAAGCACTGACTCTTGATGAAGCAGTCAGTAATAAGCCTCCTAAAAAGTATTACTCCTCTTTTTTGGAGAAATTATGAGCAATAAACTGGAAAAGCTTTCTACACCCACCTCTTTACTGCAGTGGCCTTTGGAGTCCCTGAAAACCCAGACTAATCAGAAATTGGATATTTAGGTAAATTTGGTCAAAAAGACTTGCAGTGTTGGATTTGGATATTTGTGAAGAGATCTTCAGATTCAGCCATGGCAAAGGGTATATTTCCTGGAAAAACAAGAACCTAAAAAAGAATGTCTTTTTTTTTTCCAAGAATGCCAGATTTGACTTATATCACTTACAGTGTTTATATACCACTTGTATAATGTTTGTTTATTCTGTGAACATTTACCAAAAAACTTCCATGCTCAAAGCATTATGTCAAGCACTGGACCTATAGAAATCAAACAAATCCCTGTCTGAGGTCTGAGGTGTTCAGTTAAATAATGATGTGACGAATCCCATTATGGAGGTATGGAGAAGATGCTAGAGACTCCCAAATCAAGGAGTTCCTCATTTGCCTTTGCATTGCAACATGACACTGAGGAACTGATATTTAGGCTGAGTTGCATTAAAGACATAGATAAGAAGAAATTTACCAAAAACTTTGAGATGAGTTATCTCTGGGGGTTGAAATCATGAGATTCATGTTTCTTTCTTTGTACTTCTCTGCATTTTCCACAATTTCCTCAATAAACATGTATTCTTTTAATAGACAGTATGGCAAAGAATATGTGCTTTAGAGGCAAACAGACTTTCAACCAAACCTTGGCTATCCCATTTGTTATTCTGATTTTGATCTCAGTTAAATTCTCAAAGCCTCAGTTTTCTTTAAATCTGTTAGAAAATAATAACTCTTGGGATGTTTTGAGGATTAAATGCGATAAGTTTAAAGCTCTTATTACACAGTAGCCAGATAAAACATGTTAGCTATTACTAATATCTAAATATTATTAAAATAATATGAAGTCATACGTATAAACCTACATATGTATGTATTTAAGGATAATTTTAACTAAAAGCTCAACTCTTTTTGCCTCAACAATTTCCTCATGTGATGTCATTTTCCTTTTTCTTTCTTCAATATCTATAGGCTATTGGTTTTCAGTTCCGCTATTGCTAAGCATTGTTTCCCTGGTAATTCTTCTCGTCCTAATCTCAATCTTACTGTACTGGAAACGTCACCGGAATCAGGACCGAGGTGAGTTGTCACAGGGAGTTCAAAAAATGACATAAATTAAATTTGATTTTTAATGACAATTTGTGAGTCATTTGAAGATATAAATAAGGGAATGGCAACAATGTGTTTTGTCTGTTGTTTCCAAAATACAGAAATGTTGATACTGTTTTAAAATGCGTCGGGGCATTTTCTTGCAATTGGACATTAAATTGGACATTTCTGCTTTTTGTTTGCTAAGATGACTTAAAAGCTAATGAAATCAAACAATGGTGATAGAACCAAAGAAAGAAGTCTGGCACCCACACAAGGCCCTTTCCACTCATTAATGAGAAGGACAATCTCTTCTCTTTTTATAGCACTTCACAGGCCATCTGCCCATTTAAGAGGCTGCAATTGTCCAATTATGATCACTCATTAAGTAGCACTTTCTGTGTTATACTCCCACGATGCCTCAAACACTGTCAGCATCATGCAAGTGATCCATACTTACAGTAACTGTGTCATGCCATTCTGCCCTTCTAGACTGTAAATTTCTCTTTATCTTTCACAACTATCACAGCATCTTATATATACCAGGGTCTGAATAAATGTTAATTTACTGAATGAACTGATTGAGGACAGAGAGAATTTTTAAGGTGATTTTTTTTCAATTCCTTTTCTCCTATTGTAAATTCAGTACCTCATAAACGCCAGTCTAAGATATTGTGAGAAATTATAAAACAAGAGACACTATAAAGCAAGAGCAGTGAGCTAGATAGAGAGGAAGAATGAAATGTCTTTGGTTTCTGTAGACAATGCATAATTTATTGAAGTGAATACAAAGCTGCAGTTTATGTTTTGTGTAATGGAAATTTGCTAGGGTGAAGGGGTGATGTGGGAGTTTCCTCCATTTCAGATGACTGAAGGATAGGGGTCAGGAAAGAAAAATAGTTGGCTTTGATAGCTATTTTAGACTTTGATTAAAAATCTCACTCATTTTTTCCTTTCATTTTATGTTTTATAGAAATGTTTCCTTTTAGTTTTATGTTTATATTTTTATGTTTTTGTTCATGTTTCAAGTTTTTGACCACTTTATTTTGCATAATCCTCCAGATTAATTCTTGTGAATTTATAAAACACCCAAAAAGCCTTCAGTGTCAGTGGCCCTTTTGCAAAAGTAGGTAAAGGTATTTGTTCTGTCCAGGAGAGAAGATTACAAATCAGTTAATCTTACTACACATAATTATAAGCCTGTGGAACTCATAAGTGCTCCACAGAATAAAATCAAAGACAGAAGTCTGTTTGATTCTACTTTATCCAGAAATTTTTCTTTTCCAATTAGGAAACTGAAGCCCAGAGAGGAAAGCTGACTTCCTTCCATAAGTTTATACAGCTTCTTAAGAGCAGGCTAGGACTAAACCCCGGTGCCCTGACCTCTGCCAAATGTTCTTCCTGTCATTACTGATGCCCCAATGTCTTGACTTGAAAGGAGCTATTGTTATCAGTTGCATTCACTTAATCTGTGCTTACTGTCTATGCCCTTTTCTTTTGGAAAGTGCAAGCAGACAAGTATAAAGTATTTAAATTCATTTTTAAAAGTCCCTCTTGGGCAAAAGTTTTATAATGCAATCTACTCAAGCCTGAGGTAAATTCTACTGGAAAGAGACATGCAAAATAATTACCCTTGTTCATTAAGCAAGTCTTGGATTTTCTGGGAAATATAGTCATTCAATGCCAATATCCGATTCTTGAAGCAAAAAGAATCAGCTTATTTCTCTGCCCAAGTTTTTCCTCACTTATGAAATAAATACCTGAACCTATGTTGACTCCTGTACGCATCAGGATTGCCATTTACTGATGATGTCTTCATGACATATGGCCAATTGCATTAATTCCTCTGAATGACTGGATTTTTGACTCATTTCTTTTCCATTTGTGTTGCTTACAAAAGTTACCTGAGGCTGGGTAATTCATAAAGAAAAGAGGTTTATTTGGTTTCTAAAGGCTATACAAGCACAGTGCCAACATCTGCTTCTGGTGAGGGCCTCAAGCTACCTCCACTAATAGCAGAAGGAAAAGGGGAGCCAGTGTGTGCAGAGATCAGATGGCGAGACAGGAAAATAAAAGAGGGTGCTGCCAGGCTGTTTTACCAGCTCTCATGGGAACTAACAGAGAGAGAACTCACTCACACCAAGGGCATTAATCAATTCCCAAGAGATCTTCCCCCCTTAAACACCTCCCATTAAGCCCCACCTCTAACACCGGGGATCAGATTTCAACATAAGGTTTGCAGGATCAAGTATCCAAACTACAACAACTGATTTAGAAATTTTAACAGCCAGATAATTTGGCATCATACACTTACAGCTAGTAAAACCAAGAGTCAATTATGCTGAAGCTTAAATGCTCAGGGCTAAGAAAATACTGGTTCATTTAGACCAAACTTCAGGTTATACAAAAAGTTGGGACAAAGAAAAGAGAAAGGACAGAAAATCATAGAAGATAGTGACACTTTTTATTTCTACCATTAACAAATTCTGATTGATATTTTGTGAGGAAGGGAAATAGTCCTACACATTTGCCTTCCAGTTGTTTTCATCCTTACTTTTCTTTTCTTTCTCTTTTTCTTTCCATCATCTGAAAACATAAAATTTCCAAATGAGCAGGAAAACACGATTGGTCCAAAATAATACAAAGGTTTTGAACTTGGTGACCTCAAAAATGGTGATGTGAACAGAAACACTAAAGTGAAGAGGTGGAACTGAGAGAGAGAGAGAGAGAGAGAGAGAGTGTTTAGAGTTTGTAGAAAAGCAAAGGAGACAGACGAATAAGTTTTTGAATTTATTGAGTGTGAGCAGACAAAGAATTATCTTCATGTAGCTGTCCAGTAGCCAATAATAAAAATCTGGTAAGTAAGGTAAGTCTGTTAAGTAAGGTCAATTCTGTGTTGGGTAAATGACCAAAACAGAAGTTTATTTTAGGTCATAATCACTACTCATTGCTCACAAATGCCTAAGCAAACTTACAGTTACTGATGTTATTTTTACGTAGAAGTTAGACGACCATTACTTTTCTTGTGATCCTGTATAATGCCAGAGAGCATGACGTTGGTTTTTTCCAACTGCGAAGTAGCACAGGCCATTTTTCTGCACCACTCCTGATAGAATTATCACAGTTACTTCCCAGGAGACTACCACAGTAAGACTAATAAGATTTCAAAGAGCATTCTTTTCTCTTTCATGAATCCAGCACTTTAAAACAGTAAGTGAGAAAGAATTAAAATTTCCTAGGGAAATTTTCCACCATCTCGAAATACTTCTTTCTATTAAAACCCAGTGATTTCATAAAGTTGTGCCTTTCACATATATGACAATGTAGTTAAATTTGGAGTTGAGAATAATCTTTTATTTCTCATTAGTCAACCCACCAACAATTACATGCTTCTCAGAAACAATAAAAGAAACTTCACTTTGAGGCAGATCATCATAGACAATCACCTAATTTTTAGGCAGCTTTATTTTGTTTGGTTTGGTTTGCTTTGCTTTGGTTTGGTTGAGTCAAGGCTGCTTTGGAGAACAATAGAAAATTTAGACAATCATGTAAAATTTATATGCCAAACTTCACTTTTTTTTCAAGTACTAGCTAATCCATGTAGAAATATGTTTTTCATCTGCATGAGCTGTATATTTATCTTGATTTCCTTCTCTTCACAATAACCTAACCTATGAATGGGTTCCTGACAATGTATAATAACAATGGCAAAGTTAATAAAACGTCATTTCCTGGATAACAGCATGTGACTTTCTCCTATTTTAAGCTTAATACTTAATACAAACAACAAAGGTGTTCGATAAACAATTTGTGATGATGTAATTGGTCATTAGTTGAAAGGGGAAAACAAAAAATATCTGTTCACCCCTCCTGAAATAACAACCTTTGCTTTGCTCAGAAAGCACTTTTGCTTCCCGTACAAAGGCTGTATGAATGGGTAGCCCTCTGTCCGGGCTGTATGAAATAAGAACCTTTGCTTTGCTCAAAAAGTACTTATGCTTCCCTGACAGAGGCTGGATGAATGGCACTACCCAACCCCACCCCAGTATCCTCATAGTTCCAGGAGGAAGAAATGTGATGCTTTACATGAGAAAAGCGATAAAGAATCTTCATTGAACTGCTTAGATTAGTATTGCTGGGAGAAATCTTGAATTCCAGGGCTATTTTTCCGCAAAAATTTTACAAATTTTGGGTGATTTACCTATCATGCCAAGATGACATACATAATCTTATCACAAAACCCTTAGCAAACAGATTCTTAATGCCTGGACATTCTTGCCTGGAGCTGTTCTTTGCTGTTCTCTCTAACATCTAAACCCACATGGGCATAGATGACCCAAATTTTAAGTTTCAGTCTGTATGTGGGGAACATCTCTAGGAATCAAGACATCTCAGTCTCCTGCCCAATAATTCAATGTGTGTTCAGTCCTCAAATGGCATACTCATTCCCTTGGCTTTTTGGCCATGGGGCTTTTCAAGGAGATTAGCTGTCAGTACCTGTTAGACTAATTAATGAAAAACAAAAAGGATGAGAAAATCTACCAGCTGAAAAATCCTCTAACATCTCTGCTCCTTTTGCATTTTAGTTTGCATATATCCTTTACCTAGTGTCTATTACCAGTTTGTTTTGTTTGGAACCGCTGTGCATTTCAGTAGTATAGTCACACCCATATAATAAGCTTGCCTCTAAACAGATACAAGGCCCTAGCCTCTACTAACAAAAGAAGCCAACTGTATGCTATTTAAACTGGAAAAGATTGGGCCACTTAATGAAAGTACTCAACATGGCTTACAGAGGGGGAAACATCATAAATGCTGTATTAATTTTCTATTGCTTCTTTACCAAATTATCACGCACTTAGCGGCTTAAAACAACACACATGTATTATACTACAGTTCTAGAGATCAGAAGTCCAACATGGGTCTCACTGGGTTTAAAACAAGGTGTCTGCAGGGAGACATTCCTTTCTGGAGGCTCTAGGGGAGAATCCTTTTTTTCCCTCTCTCTCTTTTCCTGCTTTTAGAGACTGCCCACTTTCCTTGCCTTGCATCTTCAAAACCAACAATGTCCAGTTGAGTCTTTTTCACACTGAATCACTCTAAATCTGAAACATTTGTCTCCTTTTTCCTTTATAAGGATCCTTGTGATTACAATGGGCCCAACTGCATAATCCATCTCAGGGTCCTTAATTTAATCACATCAGCAAAATTCCTTTAGCCATGTAAAGTAACATATTCACAGATTCCTGGAATTAGAATATGGATGTCTTTGGGGTGCCATTATTATGCCTATCACAAATGCTAAGAGGGTGTGGGAGTGACTTACTTAGAGGGACAGCTGTTTACTGACCTCCCAGTGGAAGCATTCTCTCTCTGTAATTCCATAGCCTTTGCTCTGTTCCTGGCAACTCTCTATCAAAGAACTTCAAAACCTGGTCAGAACCTCTGACCAGGCAAGGCTTTATTTTCCAGGATTATATTTTGTCTCTCAAATCTGTAATGCAAAAGCATCACTTCTGCTTTCCCTTGTTTTCTATCACTAACTATAATATTACAAAAACTTTTTTTTTCTTAGAATCTCAGTTCTTGCATATTTCCTGCTTCTCCCTATTCCTACCTTTTCATAGAGGAAGCAATTCTGACTTCCTTTGTCTTCGTCATAAGCATCCCGTAAACACAAGTTCACAGGGAACTGTGAAAGTTCAAAGTGGGAAAATTATATTTATCACTATGTGTGGTGATAGTAGGCATAACCAAATTGGTCTTTCCCCGCTTATCATAACGTATTAAACCGGGAATTTCTCAGTCCCTAATACTTGCAGAGTCATGTTATGAGGTCATTATAGATTTTAGGAGCCTCAATGCTTTTCATATCATTTTCAGAATTCTTCAAAATTCCCATTTATAGGCCCTAATTGATTTCAGCAGCCCAGATGCAGTAGAGCAGTTCTTCCACTAACAATTTTTTTAAAGACAGAGCTAAAAATATATATATTTGATGAAGTATATTAAGTAGAAAAAAATGTTAGAAATATCAGAAAAAAATTAAGAAATAAAAGTATGTTCAGTACAATTTAATTTGAATAATTTTAATCTCTAAAAATAACCATATTGTAAAAAAATACAATTTCTTCTAGTAAATAAAGAACAAATGAGATTTTGTACTACAAACATGCAAGACATGTTTTGCAAAAATCACAACTTCAATGTTAAGTTCCGCATTTCATGAGGCACAATTATGGAAATTTATCAATGAGAGGCTATTAAAAGAGAGCCTCTTGCCCCTCTCAGTATTCAAACTAGATAGAATTTCATGATGACTGACCAATGCTGCTAGTTCTGAGTCTCCGTGGACACTAGTTTATAAATACTCCAACCTTCTCCCTTTTTTATACAATAAAGAGAAATGCTAGCCTTGTGTTTTGAAAGTCCTTTAAAGAGTTCATGTTAAATACCTTTGGGATTATGTACACAATTGTCTTTTAATCTTTTTTAAAAATATTACTTATTATGAATTTTTGTTTTTATTTTTTTAATTGAAAACAGAAATTTTATGTATTTATGGTGTACAACATGATATTTCTATATATGTATACATTGTGGAATGGCTAAATCAAGCTACTTAACATGTGCATTGCCTCACATACTTATTTTTTTGTGGTATGAACACATAAAATCTACTCTGTCAGTAATATTCAAGTATACAATACATTGTTATTAACCGTAGTCACCATGTTGTACAATAGATCTCTTGAAGTTATTACTCCTTATCTAACTGAAATTCTTTTCATCTTAACCAAGGCCACATGAAATAAGAAACTGAATGTGATATTTATTTCTACAATATTTCTCCTTCAAGAGTTTAAAGTTTTCAACTGTTAATTTTAGCAAGGATGATTGCAAATGACATATAAAATTGGTTGTTTTCTAGTCAGTCATTTTTATTTGCAACAATGAACAATTACTTAGCGATTTTGATCAAATCCTGTCCTTTACAAACTAGCTGAGTACCTTTGGACAAGCCATTTAACTTCCCTGTGCCTCCTTTTCCTCACTGAGTAAGATGGGGATAATAATTGTAACTGTATCTCATAAGAATGTTGTGAAGATTTAAACGGGAATACATACAAGTGCTTAGAAAAGTGCCTAATGGCCGGGCGCGGTGGCTCACGCCTGTAATCCCAGCACTTTGGGAGGCCGAGGCGGGCGGATCACGAGGTCAGAAGATCGAGACCATCCTGGTTAACAGCGTGAAACCCCCTCTCTACTAAAAATATAAAAAATTAGCCGGGCGTGATGGTGGGCGCCTGTAGTCCCAGCTACTCGGGAGGCTGAGGCAGGAGAATGGCGTGAACCCGGAAAGCGGAGCTTGCAGTGAGCAGAGATCGCGCCACTGCACTCCAGCCTGGGGGACAGAGCGAGACTGTCTCAAAAAAAAAAAAAAAAGAAAGAAAGAAAGAAAGAAAAAGAAAAGTACCTAAAACGAATGATACGCTGGAACACTGGCCTGGGAGGAGAGGGGCGGAGTGTTTATTTGTAGCTGTCGCCAACTTCCGTGAAGTAAATGTTCCCACCATAGCAAATTTCAAGCTACTAACAATTTAACCATCAGCGTGAGCCAATAAAGCTCTAGCACACCAATGCGGCAGACTAAGTTTGTAACAGATGTTCATTTTTGTAATTACTAAATCTAAGGTCCTTTTTCGTTTTATCGAAGTATATTTTCATGAATTGTACAAATGTTCAAGGAAGGACGAGTTTAGAGAGGTAAATGGAGGGACAAACAGGAATTGTAGCAGTTAGGACAGCTTTGAGGAAGATTTCAGGTTATCTGAATCTGTTTGGACACATGGGCATGCGTATTTGGAAGGGAGAAGAACTCATACAGTAAGTCTTAATGTCATCAATAGGTTCTTGGAAACTGCGAGTTTAAGCAAAACGGCATGTAACAGAACCAATTTTACCACAGGCTAAATGATAGAAACAAGACTTAAGTTCCTATGGCATATTTCTAGTCACAAAAACATCACCAAACTTTTAATAAAGACCAAAACATTTCTAATATTAAACATTGAAATAAATGTGAGTTATGCATACATTTAAGAAACAGTAACAAAAACAAGTGAGATAATTATTCACTCAATGATTTCAGTTCAAGGGTATGGGTGGCCAGAGCCTATGCAGCTCAGGATGCAAGGCAGACACTGACACCAGACAGGACGTCATCCCAGAGCAGGGGGCATTCACACACGCGCACACACACGCACACGCACACACACACAGTTACTCAGACTGGGACCATTTGGACATGCCAATTTACATAACATGCAGTACGTGTTTGGGATGTGGGGGGAACCAGAGTATCCAGAGAAAACCCATGCAGACTTGGGGAGGATGTGCTAACTCCCACACAGTGGTCCTGGATGGGAATCTGTTGTTTTTCTCATCAACATTATAACAACATGTTGTGGAATGAAAGGATGTTGTTGGAGGACCTGCTATATAAGTCATTTCAGTAGCAGTCTTGGGAGAAATTTGTGGGGACCCACTGGGGAGACAGAATCAGAAAATGTGCATTCTAAAAACGTGCGTATACTGAAATGAACTTGTGATGCCTAGATGAACTTGTGATGCCGAAAACTGATTTCCTGCTAGTGCAGTTGTATCTCTTTTTGAAGAAGAGAAACTGTTTTGCTTAGACATTTTTTTTGTAGGAGTATGGGAAGAAAAATTACTCACTGAAGCTAGTGCGAGTCAAGGGTAGAGGGAGGGCAGTTCCTGTAAGGATGTGTATAAATGGATTTCCAGGAAACTAAACTGCCGCATGTCAGGAAGAGCGGCTACCTGAAGGTGCTTGTAGATCCAAAGCTGCCCTAGGTTCCCCATCAGCACTGATTCATGAGTTTTGCATCTAGTTTCTCCTGTCCTTACCACAACTTGGCTGTTCTGTCTTCTCTGCACTAAACAACTTCTTCACTCTCTATTCCATATGTTTTAAACTTATCTTACTATTTTTGTTCCCTCATACCTTGCTTCATAGATTACCCAATCCAACAAGAAACAAAAGAGAGAAAGAAAGAAAAGTGAGAGGAAAGAAAGAGAGAGAAAGAAAGAGAGAAACAAAACGAAAGTATATTCCTGAACCACACAAAAAGACAAAGAATCACATTCTCTACAAGTGTCCTGTGTTTTTGCAAATTAACCGGTACTTCAGGTAGTCCTTAGGTATTCTAGAGTTTAGAAGAATCCTAAAAGGTTTTGCTCTGGCAAGGGCTGTGAGTAAAGCATGGCCTTTGAGGCGATGGAGGGAGAAAGATATATAGAAACTTTATTTTAGAGAAAGGAAAAACTTCTTCAGACCAGATGCAGAATCAAGTAATCAACCATTCAAAGTCAGGCTTAATTTAAGAGCTTTTTTTAAAAAAAACAGACAAACAACAACAACAAAAATGTATACTAGTGATCTTTAAAGGAAACCATGCTATCATTTAGATTATTATTCTGGATTCCAGTCAGTAGTTAGGTCATATAAGAATTATAAATTCTGTTATTGGTAATTGATAGTTCAAAATGCATAGTCTCACCACTCAGGGAAAACAGCACTTAGATTTCAGAAGATAAAACTTTGTAAGTGGGGATGAAAGGAGGGCATGGAGGGTGTTCTTAAATATTTAAATGGATGTTCATGAGACAAAAGGACTAGACCTGGAAGTTATTACATTTAATTCTCATAGCAATTGATAAGGAAAGTATTTCCATCTGATAGGTGATAAAACCAAATTCACAGAAGTTCAATTCATTCATTTTATAAGTATTTATTAATAATTTTTAATATGCTTGGCATTGTAATTAGCACTGGTTATTATACTATAATGAACAAAACAGGACCTTGTCATTTTAATGGAGATGACAGGTTAGGGGGACAGCAGAGAAATGACAAGTGAATCAACAAATAAGGATACTATTAAAACACGAGATTTTAGCACAAGGAAATAATATAGAATAATATAAAATATAGCATGCAATGAAAGAGGATAACTTGAAAAGGATACCAGTTACTTGGATTTTGTTAGGGAAGGCTTCGCTGAGGTGGTGACTTTTAATCAGAGACCTTCAAGGAGAGAATAATCCAGCCATGGAGGAGACAAGGGAAGAGTGGTTTTTAGCAAATTAATTGCAAATGTGAAAGCTCTAAGGCAGAAAAGTCATTAATATTTTACAGGGTGCGGTGGCACATGTCTGTAATCCCAGCACTTTGGGAGGCTGAGGCAGGCAGATCACCTGAGGTCAGGAGTTCAAGACCAGCCTGGCCAACATAGTGAAACCCCATCTCTACTGAAAATATGAAAATTAGCCGGGCATAGTGGCATGTGCCTGTACTCCCAGCTACTCAGGAGGCTGAGGCAGGAGAATCACTTGAACCTAGGAGGTGGAGGTTACAGGGAGCAGAGATTGCGCCACTGCACTCTAGCTTGGTTGACACAGTGAGACTTCATCTAAAAAAAATATATATATATATGTATATATTTTAGAGCAGTGTTACTCCCAATATGGTCTGAGGATGGTTGCCCATCCAAGAAGTGTTCTTTACTAGTCTGAAGTAAAATAAGTACATAACTGAGAAAAAATGCTTACACTCTATGATAAGAATTTGACAGTAATTTTATATCTGTTAAATCTGATAATTTAAAAATGAATTATGTTATTTTATGTCATTTTTCTAGTAATTCGTTTTTACTATTGAAATTGAAAAATATTGAGCCATGTTGGGAGAAGATGGTCTTTCCATGGTCCATTGATATCTGATGTTAGAAATATTGGGCAGGATCTAAAATGTGCAGAACTTTGCAGGTTCTGGTAAACAATTACCTAAGATTACACAGAGAGTGAGAGGTGGTGCCAAGATAAAATTCCAAGTCTTTTACTTCATCGTCTATGTGCCTTGAGAGGTTTCCAGGCTCCCAGTATGTGCCAGAAAGCCACTAGCCCTTGGAAAGGCCTCTACTTCGTGACCATTTCTACCCTGACATCCAGTGAGTTATTATCCATCAGAAACAAAGCTTACAAATAGAATACATTTTGATCATTTGGAATTTTTGAACATATTCCTTTACTTGTAGTCTTAGGTGATTTTCTAAACCATTATTTCCTAGGATTACGTATGCCCTTTTATTTTTGCTTCAGTTTTGTTTTTGTTTTTGGTTGTTGTTGTTTTGTTGTTTTTAGAGATAGTGTCTTGCTATATTGCCTGGGGCTGGAGTGCGGTGGTGAGATCATAGCTCACTGCAGCCCCAATCTCCTGAGCTCAAGTTATCCTCACGCCTCAGCCTCCTGAGTAGCTGGGACTACAGGTGCATGCCACCATGTCCAGCTATTTTTTTTTTTATTTTTATTTTTTGTAGAGACAAGGTCTTACTATGTTGCCCAGACTGGTCTTGAACTTCTGGGCTCAAATGATCCTCCCGCCTCGGCCTCCTAAAACACTGGGCTTACAGCCACAAGCCACTGCATCCAGCCTACTTTTGTTCTTGTAAAGAGTCATAGTCCCCTCACACCATACTGGGTCAGAAATGTCTACTTCTTTATCTTTGCCAATGAATATACACTAGAATAACTCTGTGTTTCTTAATCTCTCTATTATTTATCTTCTTAAAATGTATTATGATAGAATTTACAAGTGTCCAAAGTTAATACCTTGTTTTTCTTTTATCCAGAGCCCTAAATAAGTCACACAGCACCCTGAAAGTGATTCCCTGGTCTACTTGAATTTGACACAAGAGAAAAGCAGGAGGAAAAGGGGCCATTCTCCAAAGGACCTGAAAGAGCAAAAGAGGTGGGAGCGAAAGCCTTAAGGATCCCACGACTTTTTACTGCCATCTGAGCTACTCAGTGTTTGAATCCCAAGAGGAAGTCAGTTTACCTCTCAGGTCTGTTGTAGGACTTGATTTTGTAAAGCAATGCCATGTTATGTGGTTGAAAGGGCACTGGACTTAGTTAGTATCAGGAGCACTGAGCTCACAGACTGACTTGGGCTCCTACTGGTGGGGACCTCTGTTAGTCACTTTACCTCATCCAAAGTATAAAGGAATTGGACCAAATAATTTACCACATAGCTCTAAAACTTAATTTAAAATGTAATTCCAGAAAAAAAAAGGGAATAAGCAAAGGGGGAAGAATTGAAAGAGAGAGAGAAGAAAGAATACAGAGAGCTTACCTTTTGCCTTTCTGTTGATGTTACATCTCTTCTTCCTATGTTCTTAGGTCTATGAGTCTGTTTCCCCATCATTTGGTATCTAGTCCAGTTCCTGCTTACTGCTTTGCTAATAGCTGGCCTTGCTAGAATCCTTGGTTTCACTGCTGTTCTTCATGTGCTTCTATGAGATTTACTCCAACACAAATAGGACTGAATTTATTGTGAAGTAACATTGGCAATCTTAACTTATTCATTTAACTTATTTTTATAGCTAGATAAATATTGTTAGTCTTAGACAATAGCTCACATTTTTTGAGAAGCATGCCCTCCCTGTCCATTTGTCTTATAACATGACCCAGCCCTATTTTACGTCATTCTAAATTCAGCCTCATATAATGAAAATACATTATGAAAACAGATGTTTAGGAGATTTCCTGTATAGCAGTCAGCCAATTCATATGCTTTGTCTCTGCTGGCTTCTTTTTCCATGCGTTAACTTTTCCCAATAGCAGAGGAGGCAAATATGAGCATACAATCCCTTTGTTCTAAAGATATTGTTCCAGCTAGTGGAATGATGTTGAATCTTTAATAACCATAATTAGTTGCTTTTTCAGTATCTTCTGCTTTGTCTGTGTCTATCCAGTGGCCTAGGAATTAAAGTGTAAGTTGTTTTCGCTGTTAAATTGGATATTTATATATATATATAGCAAGATTTTCATGTGTTATTTAATTCTGTATTGTTTCTTATATTTGTAGTAAAATATTGAACAATTAAAAGTGTTGACTCCAAATATTTGGCTTATGATATTCTCTTGGGAAATGTGGAAATGAATGATAATCCTTGTCTTTTCCCATCATATGTAAAACCCTCCCCTCCTCTCTATCTTTCCCCTCCTAAAAGATGAGCTGGGCTGGGCGCGGTGGCTCAAGCCTGCAATCCCAGTACTTTGGGAGGCCGAGGCGGGCGGATCTCGAGGTCAGGAGATCGAGACCATCCTGGCTAACACGGTGAAACCCCGTCTCTACTAAAAATACAAAAAATTAGCCGGGCGCCTATAGTCCCAGCTACTCGGGAGGCTGAGGCAGGAGAATGGCGTGAACCCAGGAGGCGGAGCTTGCAGTGAGCCGAGATAGCGCCACTGCACTCCAGCCTGGGCAACAGAGCGAGACTCGGTCTCAAAAAAAAAAAAAAAAAAAAAAAGATAAGCTGGTGTTTCTGACTAATCACAAAAACACAAATCAGATGTCTGGCCGGTGTGAGCTCCTTTGAGTTGGTGCCTATGTCCTTTTGACATGACCCTGTCAGTTCTGCAGCACTTCTTTATATGTGTTCTTTTGATTTTGCTTTTAGATACCAACCTTTGCAGACAGATTAGCTCACATAGTTTTGAATTTAGTGGGAACCAACCCCTTGTATTTTGCTGTATTTCTAGTATCTCTGCTAAATTGGTACTAGATCAGGCAGGATGACTTAATGCAACAGTTCTTAAACATTTTGGTCTTAGGACCCCTTTATGCATTTGAAAACATCATTGAGGATCCCAAAGAGCTTTTTCTGTAATGTGAATTATATCTGTTGATATTTATCATATTTGAAATTAAAACTGATAAAATTTAAATACAAAAATGTGTAACCATATATCCTATTAGCCATCAGAGTGATGCCAACATCAAACATCATATAGCTTCTGGAAGACTTCAGAGCACATTTATTAGAGAATGAGAGTGAAAAAGTCAAATAATTTATTGGTGTTATCATGACAATAATTTTTTGATTATGTGGACCCCCTGAGATGGTCTTAGGGACAATGCTAAAGACTACTGTTTTAAAGTATTGGCAAAGAAGAAAACCACCTTATGGGAAGATTTCATGAGTCTTTCTCAAAGGAACTCCTTGCTAAACATCTATCTTCATGGTACCTAAGCATTTCACCTTTTAACCAGGACTTTAGGCCATTGTATTACTGGGAGCTCCTCCTCAAAATGCAGAGAAAGCTCAAAGACTAATTTTTATCTATTGTTAATAATTCAATTTAAATTGGCTTATTAAATGGCTTTTCAGTTACTTTTCAGGATGTTGAGATACTTGGACTTAGGATAGGTATGTTTTATGGGGAAGACTTGGGAGGTTATAGAGAAATAAAGGGGAGAAGGAAAGGGTAATTGAGAGCATGCCTCTCTGCTGAGAAGGTGGCTCCATGTGGAACACCACAGCCTTGCTTTCTCCTCTATGTCTCCTGCCCTCTCACCCTGGCTGGCTGCTCACCAACCCTTCCATACTTATCCTAAACTTTCAACTATGGGTGCTTTTTTGTATTTGTGAATTAGAAAGAGGTAGCTTGGGCTTTGCATATTTAAGCAGATTGGGAAAGTTGTAAACTTTTGAGTCCCTTAGAATAACTCAGTCATGTATTTCTCTTCTTAGTAAAAATTCAGAAAAATTCCAGAGTAGTGCAAACCTGCTTAGAGAGAGGAGAAAACAGAAGAAGACTGTTGTGTTTAACTGAAACTGAAACTGCAAATGAAGGGGTTTTTTTGTCATTTTATGTTTTCTTTTTGGTTTGTATTCCTCAATCCGTGCCTTGATAACAATTCATAAATCTAGGTTCAAAGAGTACAAAATCCATATTACTACTAGGAATCATAAGGCTTTGATTAAAATAATTTTTTTGAACTTTCTTCTATGGCTATTCTGAGCTCAGAAAGAGTATTTTATTTAATTTTTGTTGTAGAGACAGGGTCTCACTGTGTCACCCAGGCTGGAGTGCAGTGGTGCCATCATAGCTCACTGCAGCCTTGAAATCCTGGGTTCAAGCGATCCTCCTGCCTCATACTCCTGAGTAGCTAGGACTACAGGCACACATCACCATGCCTAGCTAACTTTTTATTTTTTGTTGAGATAAGGTCTCACTATGATGCCCAGGCTTGTCTCAAATTCCTGGCTTCAAGAAATCCTCCTGTCTGGGATTAAAGAGGTGAGTGACTTTGCTCGGCCTTTGCCTTTTAAAATAAAGCTTCTTAAATTATTTCTTCACAGCGGTGATATTTTTATTTTTTGTTTGTTCTCAAAATATTCCAGATTTGATTTCATCCTTCCCTCCACAGTTGCTCAGGCTAATAATTCACTTGCACAAAGTCACATAGAGCAGTGACTCAATCCAAGCAAACCAACATTTACACAGATGTCATAATCATTTGTCTTGTGAGGTCCTGAAGGTAATTAACCCCATTTTTGTAGGTGTGAAAAATCATACTTTTCAGTGACTTCATACTTTTCAGTGACTTTCATACTTTTCAGCGACTTTCTTCCAGTAGCATTGTAAATGTGTTTTTGGCCAAAACTCCAACTCAGAAATCCCAGCTTCCTGTCTAGTGAACTCTCTTTTCTGCCCACCCTGCAGTGATTTATCTCAATCTTACTTGCCAGCGTAACCTATTTGTTCTGTACTTATATTCAGAATCCAGCTCCTACCTCCATTCTTACACCTGACCCAAACCATTATTATTTGTTTCCTAGATCATTGTTATTGCTTTCTAATTAATCTTCATGCTTCCGTGTTCTTCCTCTTTCAGTCTATTCGAAACATAACTGTTCTAAAATATGTCAAGTCAAATCACATAATTCTCCTGCCTAAAATTTCCAAGTGCTTCCCATCTCACCTAGAATACAAGCCAAAGTCTTTACGTGGGCTATAAGGCTCTAGACAATGGGCTCACTGATAATCTCTGAAGTCACCTCCTACTCTCTCTCCTGATCACTAGTCTGCCGGCTATTTCACCAACATTTCAGACATGTTTCCATCTCAGAGCCTTGGCATTTCCTCTTCTCTCTGCCTGGAATGTTCTTTCTGCAGGTACCTGCATGGCTCATATGACTTTTCCCCTGAAAAACACTCCATAGATACCCCAAAGATACTTTAATACTTTTAACCGGACTCATATTAGTCTAGATAGTGGGACACTTATCTCAGAAATTTGAAACTCAAAAAGAGAGAGAGTTGTGTGTTTCTAGGAGTAGCTTTTATGTTCCAGTGCAGTTACAGAGGCACTGAAGCCCAGCTGCTCAGGTGAA
The DNA here is from genome assembly GCF_000001405.40 of Homo sapiens. Taxonomy (NCBI): domain Eukaryota; kingdom Metazoa; phylum Chordata; class Mammalia; order Primates; family Hominidae; genus Homo; species Homo sapiens. The sequence goes on from NC_000003.12 coordinate 112,366,094, forward strand.
GCATTTCAATTACCACATGATTCTGGATCTGGTTGTGTTTAGCTCAGTAACTTGTATACATGTTAGTTTATTTTCTAATAAATCAGAGACAATATTGCAAATACATTCAGCCCTCCCTATCTGTGGGTTCCACATTTGTGGAGTCAACCAATCACGGATAAAAAATATCTGAAAAAAAAAACAAGAATAAAAATAATACAAATTTAAAAACAATACAGTATAACAACTATTTGTATAATATTTACATTGTAATAGGTTTATAAGTAATCTAGAGATGATTTAAAGTATGTGGGAAAATGTGCATAGGTGATATGAATATACTATGCCCTTTTATATTAGGAACTTGAGCATCTGCAGATTTAGGTATCCATGGAGGTCCTGGAACCAATCTCCTGAGGAAACCGCTCAGCAGAGAAAACCATTTCCTAAGTTTATATATCTATATTCAGGACCTGAGAGCTTACCAAAACTTTCCTGAATCGCTTTACCTTATGTGAGGTTCAGTGTTCCCATCACTGGTGTTTGATGTCCCTCCAACTACTTTGGCAGTGAGAAGGTACTCATCCTGTTTGAGAGATAATATGCACAGTTTTGAGGTTACACTTTATTCTGGAGAATCCCTTTTCCATTGCATAGATTTCCCTTGGCTAGAGTTGTTTTGTTTTCAACAGCATGTTTTTTAGCTTTGGATCTTGAGGAGAGAGAGCAGGAGAGCCAATAAACAAGTCTGGGGAGGGGAACGTTTCCAGATACGTCAGGTTAAAAATAACAAACCAAAAACCATGAACCACTCATTACAAAGCCAGATTTGAATGAATTTCCATTCACTCTCATGAAGTTTCAAAAGCTAAATATATTGGAGAGAACATTTCAACAGTGGTGAAAAGATGAAAAGAAAGAAAACAAGTAACTTTACATGATTGGATCACCATTTTTGTTTCATTTATTTAACCAAGAGATGGAATAGAGGTGCTGATATTATTAGGTGAAGGTTGTGATAATTTTATACCAAATAAATATATAATTTTCTTGTCATAAACTTTATGTTTTAATGAGTGGTTTTCATTAGAAAGTGACACTGCATTTCTCATCATTAGATTATGTGTTTCTGCCAGTAGCAGTTATGTTGATCAGAACAACAGCATGTGTCTCACAATAGATAGCATTTATCAAGCACCATTTTAGGCATCTCACTGTACTGGGTCCTGAGAGGTATTTGCAGAGGAAGACACTACTAAAAATCCTGGTTCTGAAGAAATTAAATATTTAATAAAGGACGAAATAAATCTACCTGCATGTATTATTTAGAAATGACTTGTGGAAATTCATGAAGTACTATCATGAATAGAAAATGAAATTCAGAAATATGTTATTTGTTGTTTTCTTCTTTCTCTTCCTTCTTTCCTTTCCTTCTTTTTTCTTTTTTCTCTTTCTTTCTTTCTTTTTCTTTCTTTCTTTCCCTTTCTTACAGAGCCTCACTCTTGTTGCCCAGGCTGCAGTGCAGTGGCACGATCTTGGCTCACTGAAACCTCTGTCTCCCAGGTTCAAGTGATTCTCCTGCCTCAGCCTTCCGAGTAGTCGGGATTACAGGCGTGTGCCACCACACCCAGCTAATTTTTGTATTTTCAGTAGAGACGGGGTTTTGCCATGTCGGCCAGGCTGGTCTTGAACTCCTGACCTCAAGTGATCCACCTGCCTCGGCCTCCCAAAGTGCTGGGATTACAGGTGTGAGCCACTGTGCCCAGCCAGAAATATGTTTATTATAATTCAATTTATATTTTGATTCTACATAATTACAGATGTAATGCTATGATATTTTGGGTATGGATGATAGGGAATAAAATTGGCATACATCGATCGTTGTTGAAATTGATGCCTTTATATTCTCCTCTTTATTTTGGTGTATGTTTGAAAATCTTATAATCCAAAGTTTAAAAAATACTCATATCTTACTTTGCTAAGCAAGAACACTAGTATCTCCTTTTTTTTCACAATATATTCAACTCTGCCACATTTTCATCTGGTTTCCAAATAAAATTTTTTCTCAACAACCTTGAATTCCATTACTATAGACTTCTATCAATGAAAACAGAATGCCAAACACTCTGCACTCAATCATTCATCAAAGCATGGGTGTTAAAATGAGTATACAACCATTCTCTTGAGAAGTATCATAGTAGGAAAGAGCTGACAGAAAGTCCGTGTACTGATGCAGTTTGGGTAAGCAAACAGAATATACTTTTGGATTTAGAAAAAAAATAAGTGTGGCCAGGATACATAGCACAGAGGTTTCCAATAGTTTCTCTTACCAGTTGGTGTGACTCTCTTGACCACCAATGATTTATCAGAGGATACACTATTGCAGACAATCAAGTTGAAATGATACTCTCTTCACACCTCTGGCAGCATCACTTCTTCCTCTATGACCAGACTATTCCTGCTCATGGCTTGAACTGGATGCAGGTGGGAGGTCACCCATCTGCGCAGGTGCCTCATAATTTCTGGAGTTATGCTACTTACCACATAATTGCAAAACTTTTAACACATATTTTATTTATCATCCTTAGGAACTCCAAGCCATTATAGCCAGTTCCTGACACATTTTCAAATTCAGTACTGTTAAATCAGACATAGTAGTCATTCCTTTACACTCACTCCTGGCCTCATTTGACAGTGATCCTAAGGGACAATTGACTGAAAACACAAAATCCATTTAATTGGCATTTATTCTTGAACCACATGATCTTAGCCCATTACGAAATTGCTTATACTCCTTGCATTTCTGGAACAATGCTACAAGAAGCATTTTCAGGCATTGTCAATGTATTTGCTGAAAAATGATTCTGAAGTTAAAGTACGTTATACTTCTTAGTGTTCCAAGTGAAAACCAATACTAGAAAAACTACTTTCCTGAAGGAATTGGCACACTCTCTACTTTAAAAAACTTTTTTTAAGTTCCGGGGTACATGTGCAGCATACGCAGATTTGTTACATAGGTAAACATGTCCCACTGGGGTTTGCTGCACCTATCAACCTATGCCCTAGGTATGAAGCCCAGCATGCATTAGCTCTTTTTCCTAATACTCTCTCCCCTCCACCCAACCCTCCCCTGACAGGCCCCAGTGTGTGTTGTTCCCCTCCCTGTGTCTCCTTTTTTATTCTAACTATACACAATCATGTGTTGCATAATGATGATTCTGTCAATGACAGACTGCATATTCAACAATGGTCCCATAAGATTATATAATGGAGCTGAAAAAATCCTCTCACCTAGTGGTGTCATAGCCATCATAAGGTTGTAGTGCAATGCATTACTCACAACATTTGTGGTGATATTAGTGTATACAAACCTATTGTGCTGCCACTTATATGAAAGTATAATACATACAATTATGTATAGCACATAATACTTGATAATGATAACAAATGATTATGTTACAAGTTTATGAATTTACTATAGTATACTTTTTATTGTTTTAAGAGTACTCATTCTACTTTTAAATATATAGTTAATTGTAAAACAATCTCAGGAAGGTCCTTCAGGAAGTATTCCAGGAGAAAGCATTATTATAGGAGACGACAATTCTTTGGATGTTATTGCCTCTGAAGATCTTTCAGTGGGACGAGATGTGGAGGTGGAAGAGAGTGATATTGATGATCCTGACCTTGTGTAGGTCTAGGCTAATATGTATGTCTGTGTCTTCATTTTTAATAAAAAAATTGAAAGAGTAAAAAAAATTTAAAATACAAAGTGTTCATACAATAAGAATATGAAGACAATATTTTAGTATAGCTGCATAATGTGCTTGCATTTTAAGATAAGTGTTGCCACAAGAGTCAAAAAGTTAAAACAAATTAAAAAGTTTATAAAGTAAAAAAGTCATAGTAAGCTAAGGTTATTTATCATTGGAGAAAAATTATTTTTATACTAGATGTACAGTATTTTTTAGTCTACAGAAGTCTACAGTAATATCCTAGGCCTTCCTATTCACTCACCACTCACTCACAGACACCCAGAGCAACTTCTAGTCCTGCAAGCTCCATTCATGGTAAGTGCCCTATACAGATGTACCATTTCTAAATCTTTTCTATCATATTCTTATTGTACATTTTCTATGTTTAGATATGTTTAGATACACAAATACCTACCATGATGTTACCATTGCCTCCAGGATTCAGAACAATAATATGTTGCACAGGGTTGTAGCCTAGAAGCAATAGGCTATACTAGATAGCCTAGGTGTGTAGTAGGCTATACTATTTGGTTTGTGTAAGTATACTCTATGATGTTTGCCCAATGACAAAATCACCTAACGACACATTTCTCAGAGCACATCTCCAATATTAAGTAATGTGTGACTATAAATGACTAATTTTCCTTCTTGCCTTGATGGTCAAGAAGCCAACGTCCGATTAAGATGCTTCTTGCTGATTATTAAAAATAATACATGCTCATTATAAAAAATTGTTAAGTACAGAAGAATAAAAATAAAGGAAGTAGAGACATAAAAAATATTAGTCCATTACACCACCATCCAGAAAAGCCACCATTAATTTGTTTTAAGAGCCAAATATGGTACTCAGTCAATGGAATTTATTTACCATTATGGTTGGTACATGATTGCTCACCTTTTCTTGGTTCCAATATTCCCAGGTGACTACTTTTTAAGTATATATATTTTGAAACTGCTTCGAGTTACTTTGGTGAAAATAAGGGGCAATCAAAATTAATCCTTAAATGAACAAATATAGTGGAAAATATGAGGCAAGCATTTCCAAGTCTGGGTTTCCTGACATAATATCTACCCAACTATGTGATTATGAGGATTCATCAGATGAGTCCCTGGTTACACATAGAAAACTGTAAAGTGCTATAAAATAATAATAATTAAAACAGCTAACATTATTGATCACTTTACTATTTTACCAGATGCAGTGTTTATTGCTGTTCATACTGTGTCAATTAATATCCATGACATCTCTATAAAAAGGTACCCTTATTTCATTTACAAAGAAACAGCAATAACAAACCCTAGATGCTCGGGAAGGCTAAGTAATTTCTTCAGTTATAAAGCTAGATATTACTAGATGAAAAGAATTTTGATGTGTTAGAAATTTTTGAAGTGATTTTAATTAAAACCTCTTTGCGAATGTCTCCAGGAAGTAATACCTGAAGTCCAGCCTTTAGTCATTAAACAGTCCACTTCACTAGTTTGTAAGGTAATGAAAGAGTAGATTGAGGTCATGTTTGGGGTTAGTAGTATAGCTACGTAGAAATATCATTCCTCTATTAGAAGAAACAAATAAAAGTGAGAAGGACACCTAACTGACATATTCAAAAGTTTGATGGTGAGCAATGAAGCACAGAGAATAAATGAAGAATCCACTTCAGAGAACTGAAGAAGGAGGGAATGGAGTGAAAAGAGAACTGCTTCTATCCTGAGATAGACTCAGGAGGTAAGAACTACTGGCTTAATCACATGGTTGAGCATTCATTCCAACTAATATTTATTGAGCATCAATTATGAGAAAGGTATTCTGCTTGGCTCTATTGATATAAAATAAATAAGACAAGATGCTTTCTCTAGAGATGCTGTGGGAAGTCGTCATATAAACTGTGACAATGTTGGACTACAGGATGACAAATATTCCAGGCAGAGAGATCAGCATATGCAGAGGCAGGAGGTGTGGAACACCAAGTGAGGCTAAGGAAGGGAAGCATTAGGCTGGACGTTAGGGTGGGCAGCAGAGAAAGGAACATGCAATGTACTGGAAACATAGGCTGGGTTCACACCACAGAAGGCTGTTCCAATATAGGAAGTGTGCCTTTGCATTTTGACCCTGACACTAAAAGGATGTGCGATCTAATGTTAGATGAATTCAATTGAATTGGTGAATATTTCCCTCAGTCAGATATCTGACTCCGTAGACTCAGGTTTATTCTAAAGACAGAAATTTGATATATTTCATTCTGGTCAATGGCAGGCTATATCAAAGGAATAAACAAGGAAATTTCTTGGTTTTGCCATTGTTTCATAGCACAAAGGGGACAGAGGAATTGGGTGATATATTCAGTTTCTGTAATTTTTGTTTTATTTTATTTTTTGTTTATTTTATTTTTTGTTATATATTTATTTATTTTTATTTTATTATATTTTATACTCAGGGGTACATATGCATGTTTGATACACAGATATATTATGTACTATTGGGGATTGGACTTCTAGTGTACCCACTATCCAAATAGTGGATTTCCTGTTATTTTTTTCCACATTGAATCGTATATGGGCCCCCATCAGATAATAGTAAAATCATTGAGCTAAGAGGCCTCAGAACTATCATGTCTGACCCCTATATTTTACAGATGAAGAAATACATTTTACTCAAGATTACACACACAGATAATGATGCAACTTTGGTTTTGGCTGAAAGGTCTTCATGGGTGGTTTCATTCAGAGCTGTCAGGAAAGGAAGCAAAAATTCTGAAAGAGTATGAGGTGGAATATTGAATTTCATTGCTTCATAAATCAGTCTAGATTGTTGTGTTCCTTATTCAGCTGTTCATGGGAATTCCCACTGAGGCAGTTGAAATAGTTGAGAGACAGGTGACTATGCAACAGGACTACATACACCGAAAGAATGGTCAGTTGCCCATACAACTTAATTTAATCCTGAGGACCAGTATCTTCAGGCCTTTCTCAAGCCTAGGTTTATATATACTAATTCTGTTTGATGATATACTGTCATTGGGAACGCCCGACTTTATGCCTGGGTGGATCAATCACACAGTTCATAATTATGGGCAAAAAGTAACTTGGTATCCCAATGATCAAGGACTTCCAGGGCTCAATTGTAAGCCAAAAGCTGTTTCTCAAAAGGAAATAATTTCGTTTTTCTGAAAATGTGTATGGCTTCACTCCAAAACCGAGCTTTGAACTGTAATTCTTTTTTTCTTTTCTTTTCTTTCTTTTTTTTTTTTTTTGATGGAGTCTTGCTCTGTTTCCCAGGCTGGAGTGTAGTGGCACAATCTTGGCTCACCTCAACCTCCACCTCCCGGGTTCAAGCAATTCTCCTACCTCAGCCTCCCAAGTAACTGGGATTACGGGTGCCCACCAACACACCCAGGTAATTTTTTTTTTTTTTTTGGTAGAGACAGGGTTTCACCATGTTGGCCAGGCTGGTCTCAAACTCTTGACCTCAGGTGATCCGCCCACCTCGGCCTCCCAAAGTGCTGGGAATACAGGCGTGAGCCACCACACCAGCCAAATTGTAATTCTTCTGTTGTGACTTGCCCCAGGCTCCTTGCAGCATCCTATTTGACAGTTTGAGCACAATCACATCTACCCATGCACCCTCTTTCATGGGATCCATAGATCGTCTCCCTGTCTCTGCTCTGTTCCTTCTCTCTCCCCACACGTGTGCTGATTCACTTTACCCAAAAGCTTGAGATTTTAGCATTTTGTAAAATAAGAATAAGTTACTATTCTTTTTCCCTCGCCACATCCTTTTCCTGAGGCAGTGAGCAAAAAGACCCCACCTGTTATAACGCACAAAAGGGAAATGGTAATGAATAGGAAGTAAAAATAGACGCTAACATTGTAATATTATTTTGGCACATGCCTGGAACATTGTAGAGCTTCAGTAACATCAGCCATTTTTTCCTTAATATGAACAAGAGGAAATCTAACAGCTTCTTCAACCATTGAAAAAGCAGTTCTATGAAAGAGAAAATAGATGTGTTCATTGGAGGTGGTAGTGGGTTGAATTGTATCCCCCCAAATATAGGTCTACATCCTAATCCCCAGAACCTATGAATATGATATTATTTCATAAGTGAGTCTGTGCAGATATAATTTAAGAGTCTAGACATGAGATCATTCTGGATTATCTGGGCATGCCCTAAATCCAGTAAAAAGTGTCCTTATACGAGACATACAGAGGACAGGAGAAGGCAATGTGACCACAGAAGCAAAAATTAGAGTGATGTGGCCACACGCTGAGGAACATCTGGAGCCATCAAAAGCTGGAGGAGGTAAGAACAGACTGCCCCTAGAGCCTTTGGATGGAATGTAGTTCTGCAAACACCTTGCTTTTAGAACTGTGAGAGAATAAATTTCTATCATTTTCAGCCACCATATTTGTGGTCATTTGTTATGGCAGCCATAGGAAACTAACACAAAGATCCAGAGAGCAGGACCAGAACCAAAACAGAAAAAGTGAAAGATAAACTTTCCTATTATTGAATCTGCTCAAGAGTGTGAGAGACTGAGTTATGAAATAGTTGGCTTCAGTAATTGGAGTTGGGTTTCAGTGGTTCAATGGTCAAAAGGGAGAGAGGCTGGTGACAGGGCGAGATCTTATCTCTTAAAAAAAGGGAGGAAGAGAGTTTATTGGGTGGAACTGGAAATTTTTATAAACTCATGCTCTTATTTATTCAGATTTACATATTCCCGACCATAGTTTTTTGGAAGCGCATCTCAGGAATTCCCAGATTTTACTCATGCTGTTGCCCATAACCTACGGTGTGGTTAAGAATAATACAATTGGTCCAAACAGGAAGATTAGTTTCCAGGGAAGGAATAAGTCACTGTTGATTATGCCAGGAAAATAGGCTGGAATCATCAGGCAGAGCTTCGCATCTGTACAGCTATCTCCCTGCAGCTGATTTATCTAATGCTTTCTATGATTGCAGACGAACAGACTTTCCGATGGACAAATAAAGAAGCTGCCTTATTTATATTAATATAACCTCTTTCTTTGAACCTCTAGCCTGCCTGGGACACAAAATCACATAGTTTCAAATGACATTAAAGTTAGCTAAGCAATTTTTCTTGCCATTGAGAGAGTAGAAAATTAATACTTTGAATCCAGTTAGGTTACCCTGTTAGATGACTGTTTGGAATCCACAGGTAGGAGTTCTTAACCTGGGCTCAGGGGCATACATAAGGGGACAACTCCACGGTCCCCTTGAAATTCTAAGCAATTTTTTGCTTTCTAGAAGGACTCTAGTGACCTCCATATCACTAAGTTTAATGATTTTTCTTTACCTCTTCTGTACATGTCTCACATTAGACTCTTTCTTGAAATTCATTGTCATCTGTAATATGATGTGCCCTTGATTTTCTCATCTTTCCAGCCCAACCTCCTGTACTTAATTTTTAAATTTTGCAATTCTCGAAAACTTGGATAGAGGCTGTCTTGTTTGCTCATAGTGTACTCTTTCCCTGTGTGATCTCATCCATGCCATGTCTTCAGTTATGATCTATACACTCACAAGTCCAAAATTACTACTTCTAACTCCTTGGAGCTCAGATATATGTATCCAGCTGTCTACAAAACATCTCCACTGGCTGACTTACAGGCAACTCAAACTGAACAGGTCCAAAGCTGAACTCCTGGTCTTTCCCAGTCCCATAACTGGTCCTCCTCCAGTTTTCTCTATTACAGTGAAACAGGAGAGTTCCCTGATCCCCCTCGAAGGACATATGATGGGTGTGGCTCGCCTGTTCAGTCACCAGCACTCCTCAAACCCCTTAGGGGAGGGGGAGCACACAGACAGGCAGGTGAAGGAGCCTAAGTGGAGTGTGTTACAATGTGCCCTTTTAGCCTTGCCATCCACGAATGGCTTGGGTGTTAATCAGCTCAGTGGACTCTCTGCCTTTCTGCAAGGGCAGAGGGGCAGTTCAACAGCTTTCTGTGTCCTGAGCTCTTGCCCAGCATCTTGGAAAAATCAGGTCACACACGGGCTTGAAGGATGAATGAGAGGTTTTATTGAGTGGTAGAGGTGGCTCTCAGTGGGATGGATGGGGAACAAGAAGCAGGGAATGGAGTGGGAAGAAGATCTTCCCTGGATTTTGGCCATCTTGTGGCTGAACCCTTCTCTGACCACCCCAGCTGGAAATCTCTCAGTGTTCAGACATTCCTCTTCTTTTCTCTTTCTCTATTGCACCATTTTGCAATCCATCTGCTTGTCTCCTCATCTTCTCATCTGCTTCTGGAGCCTGGGGCTTATATGAATACAGGATAGAGGGCATGGTGGGCCAAAAGGCAACTTCTTCACATGAAAACAGAAATGCCTGTCCCCATTTAGGACCACAGGACTTCAGGCTTGAGATAGGGGCCTTTGCCAGGGAACCACCCTCTTCTACCTAGTGTTTCCCTGTTTCCTGTCCATATCAACAGGGGATGGTGTCATCATCCATTTGGGCACAGGGTTCACTAGAGGGACAGGACTAATAGGATAGATGTATATATGAAGGGGAGTTTATTAACAAGTATTGACTCATGCGATCACAAGTTGAAGTCCCACAGTAGGCTGTCTGCAAGCTGAGGAGCAGGGAAGTCAGTCCAAGTCCAAAAACCTCAAAAGTAGGGAAGCTGACAGTGCAGCCTTCAGTCTGTGGCCAAAGGCCCAAGAGCCCTTGACAAACCACCGGTATAAGTCTCACAGTCCAAAAGCTTTAGAACTTGGTGTCTGATATTCAAGGGCAGGAAGCATCCAGCACGGGAGAAAGATAAAGACCGGAAGACTCAGCAAGTCGGCTCCTCCCACCTTCTTCTGCCTGCTTTATTCTAGTCTTTCTGGCAGCTGATTAGATTGCACCCACTCAGATTGAGGGTGGTCTGCCTCTCTCAGCCCACTGATTCAAATTTTAATCTCCTTTGGCAGCACCCTCACAAACACATCCAGGAACAGTACTTTGCACTTTTCAATTCCATCAAGTTGACACTCAATATTAACCATCATACACACAAGCCAGAAATCTGGCAGGAATGCATAATACTTCCCCATTTGTTTCCATTTGATGAAATAGGACTTTGATCAAAGCCTTATTACTGTAACATCCTAAATATAAAATATACATCTCTGCATCTCTACTGCTACTGCCTTTATTCTAGACATTATCATTGCTTGTCTGAAATATTGCCAATCCATTCTTTACAACACACCCAAGTAATCTTTCTAAATTCTGATAATGATGTTACGTAACTCTGATTCATATTCTCCAATGGCTTCCACTGTTCTTAAGATAGCTAAGATCTGTAACAGGGTCAACAATCTGGCCTCTAGCCACTTTATCAGCTTCATTTGATACTACTTCCTCTGACTCTGTGCAATTCACCCATGATGACTGTGTCAGTTATCTAATGCCATGACTGTGTTATAAACCACCACCAAATCTCTGGGGCATATCACCACCATGTATCACTCATGTATCTAGGATTCTACTGGGGATTTGGGGATGAGAGGTTGGTCACAGAAAGCAAATTATCTCTACTTCATGTTTCTGCCCTCCTCCTGCTTTTTGAGCAACTTGGCAGAACTATGTTGACATCAATTTCTTTTGGAATTGTCAACACAAAAAAGATTTTACAGAATCAAATTTTAGAAAATAACTGCAAAATAAAACAAATTTTTTAAGGAGAGAGGAAGGAGATGATGCATTTGCTATCTCTTTATGAGCCAGATACTGTGCTATGAACTCAACTTATATGGCTTTATCTTTGCAATGAATCTACAATATTGTACCACTATTCACATTTTACAGGGGAGGAAACTAAAGGTCAGTAGGATTAAATAAATGCAGTTCTCAAATTTCACAGTTTGACTTTGATATAACCCACATTTTCAGTTTTCCTTTACTTGTTCTTTGTTATGCTTTTCAATCTCATGTTGAAATTTGATCCTTAATGTTGGAGGTGGGGCCGAATGGGAGGTGTTTCGGTCATGGGGGCAGATCCCTCGTGAATAGATTAATGTCCTCCCTTGGGGGTGAGTGAATTCTCACTATATTAGTTTCTGAGAGAGCTAGTTGTTAAAATGAGCCTGGAATCTGCCCCCTTCTCTTGCTTCCTCTGTCGCTATGTGATCTCTGCACACATCATCACCCCTTCACTTTCTGTCATGAGTGGAGGCAGCCTAAGGCCCTCACCACATGTGGGTGCCCAATCATGAATTTTCCAGCAATCAGAATTGTGAGCCAAATAAACCTTTTTTCCTTCCTAAACTACCCAACTTCAGGCATTCCTTTATAGCAACACAAAATGAACTAAGATATTCTTTACCATATTTTAAAATGTGGTAGTAAAATTAGACATGATTAAGAGACCACAGTCTTAGCAGGATATTCCAAGAATGGACACCTTTGCTTGAACTCCACTGAGGCCCAAGGCCACTCTACTGGAACATATGCATTTACTTCTTTTCTTTGTCTCTATGGTACACTTTTCTTTTCTACCTTCTCTTCTCCTTTTCTCTCTTTTTTTAATGTCCAGACTCCACTTTATATCACAGGTCTCCCAGACATTGCCGAGGAGGCTATAGTCCATTAAGTACCTGTCTTCCAAACTGTCAGAAATGCTGAGAATTCTCTACTGGGCTTAATGAAAGAAAAACAGCACAGGTTTCTAAGTCTGAGGAATGCAAGATAGAATCTCAACTCTGCCAATTTTTTTGTTTGTTTTTTTTGAGATGGAGTTTCACTCTTGTTGCCCAGGCTGGAGTGCGATGGTGCAATCTCCACTCACTGCAACCTCTGCCTCCTGGGTTCAAGTGATTCTCCTGTCTCCTCCTCCCGAGTAGCTGGGATTATAGGTGCCTGCCACCACGCCAGGCTAATTTTTGTATTTTTAGTAGACAGAGTTTCACCATATTGGCCAGGCCAATATGAACTCCTGATCTCAGGTGATCCACCCGCCTCAGCCCAGCCTCCCAAAGTGCTGGGATTACAGGCGTGAGCCGCTGCACCTGATAACTTTGCCAATTATTAATTTTGTAACTTTGAAAACATTTTCTAACTTTCTTCAGACTTGAATTTCTTATTTGAGGAGAAAAAAAATGAGATGCAATATCTTCTTGCTTGAGCCTACTAGCCTTCAAATTAGCTGCAATTAAACTGAGAGCGAGGCGTAGAGGTGGGGAAGCAAAAAAGTAAGACAGGCTTGAAAACTATACGTAAGAAGTATATCTAAGAATATTGTGTATGTCCTGGAAACAGAACTCACTGGGAGGAAAATAGTATAGAAGCCTTGTCAGTTTCTGAGGAAACTGGATTGCAAAAGAACCCGCAGGCATGACTAAACATGCTTGACTGTTTAAGACACTGAAACAACAGCTAGGCCACCTCTTGAACAAGCAGCTGATGAACGTACTCTGTAACGCCCACTTCTGTTCCCGATCTTGTGCTTGGCATAGGCCCTAAATATATGTCTGTTCCCTCCCATATTGTATTCCCACCCTTAAGGACAATTCTATTTTCTGCTTCTAAAGATTAGGTCCCTAGGTCTAGGAATAAATTGCCACTACCCATGCTTTGGGCCTTTCACTCTGTCAGGGGCTGCAAGAATCTGGCAGCTAGCAGAGCCCAATGGTGTTTGGAGAAAGAAATCCCTTAATCACCGTGGTATAACTAGTGAGGTTACTTCTCTTCCATGAAGACATTCTGCCTCTCCTCTCTGATTGACTCATCTATTCTCCTAGTAATGCTAGTCCAGCGTGGAAATGATAGCATTTACTTACACATTATTTACACCATATACTCCTTTTTTAGTCTTTTGAACACTCATTGTGCCACCAGGAAAACTCTTCAGGTCTTTGATCACAACTAAAAGTCAGAGTATATGGTCTGACTATTACTTATCGGGACTCTAGGTGGAATGTTTTTAAAGGGTGTGTCAGCATAGACAGGTAGCAAATCTGTCCACAGCATGCTTTTTTGGTCCTCTGTGAATTTTTTTTTTTTTTTGAGACGTAGTCTGTCTCTGTTTCCCAGGCTGGAGTGCAGTGGTGCTATCTTGGCTCACTGCAAGCTCCGCCTCCCTGGTTCATGCCATTCTGCCTCAGCCTCCCCAGTAGCTGGGACTACAGGCGCCTGCCACCAGGCCCGGCTAATTTTTTCTATTTTTAGTAGAGACGGGGTTTCACCCTGTTAGCCAGGACGGTCTCGATCTCCTGACCTCGTGATCCACTCACCTCAGCTTCCCAAAGTGCTGGGATTACAGGCGTGAGCCACCATACCCAGTTGGTTCTCTGTGAATTTCTGACAAGGTTTGCATGGTGCCTTGGTTCTGATGGAAAGTACACATTTCTGCTGGCATGTCAAGAGTCCAGGGTAGACTGGTACACAGTGGCACTAACATTTTGCTGCCTCCAACCCCTCCACATCCCAGGGCATTGAGGTATACGTCTCCTTTAAGGAGTGGAGAGCAAATGGAAAAGGTAGGGAGGGAAAAAAAGCATGTAGGAAGTGAAAAGAAGAGAGAAAAAAGGTCTATAATTCCCGTCTTGTGAGTCTCCACTGGGCACATACCTGCTTCTTCATGGAGAAAGCCTGCTAATGTGCTCCACGATGCTTTCCTTTTTCTCATCCCTTCACCCAACCTACTTTCCCATTACAGCTTTTCCTCTATAATCCACCAAACAGTAGCCAGGTCAGGTTCAAAGGAAGATAAGAAGCCTGGAGACGTACGACTGTGATGTATGTTACTGACATAACAGTACTGTAGTTCCTAAATGAACAAAAGAAAAAGAAAACTAATTTATTACTGTCCCAGAATAGTAGCCAGGACTGACCCTTGCTAAAATATCTCCCTTTCCCCAACTCTACAAAGGAATTGAATGCACAATAAAAGGAGATCACCTCTCCCAGAGTCCTCTTACTTGCTCCTTCCCTTCCAGTGTTTCTTTCCATCTTTACCTGAGGGCTTCGCAGACTTTATCCTTTTCATCCTGAAAGCATTGCTTCTTTCTAGGATGCTAAGAGTTATTTTCCTGGTAACCTAGCCCATAAGAGAGACTTAAAAAGCACTAATTCCATTTACTCCAATTAAAATAATCAAATACACCATTCACACTAAGGTATTACAATTATTTCCAATAAAGAAATTTTCATTTTAAATATAGAATTCTAGAAAAGCCTTAATTAACAGAGCAGAAGTAAAAAATTGGTCATGAATGACCTCCTCCACTAGCAAATGTGTTTTGTTTGGCCTACCAAGTGTTTTAACAAAATAGAGAAGTTTTTAAAAAACCTTTTCTATAGAAGTATGAATTCCCTGGCTTGCTTTTTAAAAACCTCAGCCTGTGTTTGGTGATATGGTTTGATCCCATTTTCTGAGGACAAATTCAAGCCTGCTGCAGAAATTTGCATAAGTAACAAGGAGCTGAATGTCAATCCCCAAGAGGATGGGGAAAATGACTCCAGGACATGTCAGAGGTCTTCATGGCAGCCCCCCCAATCACAGGCCTGGAGGCCTAGGAGAAAATGGTTTCTTAGGCCAGACCCAGTATCCCCATGCTGTGTGCAGCCTAGGGACTTGGTGCTCTGCATCCCAGCTGCTCCAGCTGTGGCTGAAAGGGGCCAACATAGAGCTCGGGCTGTGGCTTCAGAGGGTGCAAGCCCCAAGACTTGGCAGCTTCCATGTGGTATTGAGCCTATGAGTGCACAGAAGTCAAGAATTGAGGTTTGAGAACCTCCGCCTAGACTTCAGAAGATGTATGGAAATCCCTGGATGCCCAGGCAGAAGTTTGCTGCAGGGGCAGGGCACTCATGGAGAACCTCTGCTAGGGCAGTGCAGAAGGGAAATGTGGGGTCAGAGCCCCACACAGAGTCCCTACTGGGCCACCACCTAGTGGAGTTGTGAGAAGAGAGCCATTGTCCTCCAGACCCCAGAATGATAGATCCACCAATAGCTTGCACCGTTTGCCTAGAAAAGCCACAGACACACAATGCCAGCCTGTGAAAGTAGCTGGGAGGGAGGGTGTACCCTGCAAAGCCACAGGGGTGGAGCTGCCCAAGATCATGGGAACCCACCTTTTTCATCAGCGTGACCTCGATGTGAGACCTGGAATCAAAGGAGATCATTTTAGAGATTTAAAATCTGACTGCCCCAATGGATTTTGGACTTGCATGGGCCCTGTAACCCCTTTATTTTGTACAATTTATCTCATTTGGAACAGCTGTATTTACCCCATACCTTCCATTGTATCTAGGAAGTAACTGGTTTGCTTTTGATTTTGTAGGCTCATAGATGGAAGGAGCTTGCCTTGTCTCAGATGAGACTTTAGACTGTGGACTTTTGGGTAATGTTGAAATGAGTTAAGACTTTGGGGAACTGTTGGAACGCATGATTTGTTTTGAAATGTGAGGGCATAAGATTTGGAGGGGCCAAGGGCAGAATGATATGGTTTGGCTCTGTGTCCCGACCCAAATTTCATCTTGAATTGTACTCCCATAATTCCCATGTGTTGTGGGAGGGACCCAGTGAGAGATAATTTGAATCACTGGGGTAGTTTTCCCCACACTGTTCTCATGATAGTGAATAAGTCTCACGAGATCTGATGGTTTTATCGGGGGTTTCTGCTTTTGCATCTTCCTCATTTTCTCTTGCCACTGCCATTTAAGAAGTACCTTTAGCCTCTGCCATGATTCTGAGGCCTCCCCAGCCATGTGAAACTGTTAAGTCCAATTAAACCTCTTTTTATTCCCAGTCTCAGGTATGTCTTTATCAGCAGCGTGAAAACAGACTCATACACTCGGCCAGAGGACTGCCCACTGCTTCCCGTAGACTGGCTATGATGCTTGGTTTGCCAAGACCCCACCACATCTTATCTTGTCCACAGGGTGTTACACTCATCTCGGTTACCTCCCTGACCTCTCATAGAGCTTGAATCTGCAACTGCTGAACTAAGTAAATTAACACATATCTAGATTTCAGGTGCCCCTTCTTCCTCTCCAGAGTGCTTTCTCTGAGACCAACTCTACCGTTTCCCAGAGTCAGAAGATCCCCTCTCATGGCTCTACACACTACTTACTGCCTGTCTTCTTCTTTAATTTGTCTGTTCCCCTTCCCAGCACATGCACGCATCTTGAGTGCGGAAACAGTTTTGGTGTTCTTTGTAACCACAGCACAATCCACATGATGAATACTCCTGGCAGGCAGATTAAATCTTACCCAAATTAGTATGTGCTTTACTTGGTATTTTCTGTGAAATTACTTCCAGAAAGTTCTTTAGTTTGTCACTTCTTTGGCTATAGTTAGGCAGCCAACAGCAGGACAATTCTACAGAAATGAAATATTTTTTCTAAAATCCAAGAAAGATGATAAATGAGATTGATTAAATTTCAGAAGAAAAGTGGTAAAGCACTATTTGTATAAACCAAATTCTGTACGTGTCTTAGCCTAAGAAATAACCACCTGGAACACAATTTATATCTTCATAGCACATTTTCTCTGTATACACAAGTCCTACTCCATCTTGAAGCAAGGTTTAATTGTCCTCTCCTTTTGAAGGATGTTCTCAGATTTTCTAGGCTAAGATCCAACAGCACTTTGACAGATTTCTATTGTAATGCTTTATTTGGTAAGTATTTATGTATTTGTTTTCCCCAGTGGCCTGTGGTACAGAATCTACATTATTCTTTAAATTTGAAATAACCATCAGAACTAGGCTGAGAGAAGGTGCTCAATGTATGTTTGTAGAATAAAGTTGCTTCAAAATTGGTATCATGAGATGAACTTAATTGTTTCTATTTGAAACAATATAAAAAACAGCAGTGTTACCAGTAGAAGGTATCCAGGTTCTTGGCATCTGGAACAAAGAATTGGACAAAACACACAAACAAAGCGAGGAAAGCAAGGGCAGGGATTTATTGAGAATGAAAATACACTCCACAGTGTGGGAGCGGGCCGAGCATAGGGGCTCAAGAGCCCCACTTACAGAATATTCTGGGGTTTCAATACTCTAGAGGTTTCCCATTGGTTACTTGGCATATATTCTATGTAAATGAAGAGAATGAAGTGAAGTCACAGAGTCATTTACTCAGTATGTGCCATATTGTAAATAGAGAGGATGTTACCTGATGCGTGTGATCTAGGTAAATGGAGAGGATGAATGTGAAGTTACAAAGTGTAAATCATGTGAATGGAGAGGATGAAGTGACTACATGTCTGCAGTCTGAACTACTTGGGAGACTGAAGTGAAAGGATCTCTTGAGCCCAGGAGGTCCAGGATGCAGTGAGCCATGATTGCACCAATGCATTCCAGCCTGGGTGACAGAGCAAGACCCTGTCTCATACAAAATAATAATATGATAAATAAATTACCAGTGTGCATAACATGCAATAAGGGCAAGTATTCATTAATAAAATGCTCACAAATATGTACTTTGGATTATGCCATAAAAGGTATTTCTCCCCATGGGTTATGTGAAAGTGCAAAAAACATTGATTTAAAATGTGACTGAGTTATTAATGTCTGTACAACTCAGCAGACAGTTCAGTATATATTTCAGTAACTTTTTTGTTAAAAATAAAGTTCGAGACCAGTCTTGCCAAATGACAAAACCCCGTCTCTACTAGAAAATACAAAAACTAGCCGGGCTTGGTGATGCACACCTGTAATCCCAGGTACTCCAGCTACTCCGGTGGCTGAGGCACGAGAATTGCTTGAACCCAGGAGGCGGAGGTTGCAGTGAGCTGAGATGGAGCCACTACATGGCAGCCTGGGTAGCAAAGCAAGACTCCATCTCAGAAAAAAAAAAAAAAAAAAAAAAAAGACAAGACATCTCCCTTCTTCTTTGTAGCAGAGCTGAGAGCTGGCATACAAACTCAGAGGGTTCAGGTTCCAACACTCAAGCTTTTTTCTTTCTTTTTTAAATATCTTGCTGGCAGAAAACTGCTTTCCTCTAAGCTGCCATTCAGGGCCCAGTGAAAAATGACCCTGAAAAATCCACCATCAAAGATTAAGAGAGAGCCCTCAAACTTTGCATGCTCCTGACAAGATCCCTCCTCCCTCATCTCTCAAAAACACCAGCTTTGTCACCATTATCTAATATGTCTTTATCCATATTTACATCAGTCATTGCAAGAAACCAAGGACTGATTCTTAGGAAATTGCTCATTCCTCCTTACACTCATTTTGATAAGGCTCTGTTAATTCCTGTTTTTGATCAGTCCTCAACCACTGAACTCCTCCAACTCTGTTCCCTGGAACTCCAATAATCAGCAAACTTCTCTGTGGCCTCAAGTTTTTTCCTAAAAGTTCCCTTCCACCTCTTCTTGCACTAACTGAACTTGGTGCCCCTGGAGGACAGTATCCCCTGCAGCCCCCTGCAGTGGTTTTGCCTTTCTTGTATCACTGGATGCAGACATATGCATGGGGGGAAGGGATGTCCTTTTTGTCCCCCATTGCCACTTCTAGGCTGCTGTCTTTTCTGACTCCATAAAAGGACTTGCTTGAATCTCAAATAATCAGATATTTTACCTTCTCCTTCCCTTTGTTATAGTCATTCATCTTCCCCAGATCACCCCTGCCTCCCACATTTCTTGAAGATTTTAGTTCCTGGTTAACAGTCAGCCTCCAAAACTACTTCTGTGATAAAATTATTCGCTATATATCAATGTGTACACACATGATCCTTTTAATTCCCAGGCTTTTTCCCCTCTACCAACCCAGTCCTCATCCTACATCTGGCACTTGCCTCACTCCTATAATCATATCCTAATCTTTTTCTTACAGAAACTAATACCCCTTTGTTACCTCATTTACACACTTCCCATTGCCATAAGAAAATTTCCTATTTTTCCTGTTCGCTTCCTCTCTGGCTTTCCTTTATGTATGCCTTTCTTTATTCTTTTTCTTTCATCTGTGGTTTTCAACTAAGGGCAATGTTGATGTCCACCCCTCCAGCAGGTATTTAGAGATGTCTGAAGACATTTTTGGTTATCACACCAAGAGGGTGTTACTGGCATCTAACAGGTAAAGGCCAAAGATGCTGGTGACATCTCCCAATATACAGGACAGACCTCCTGAATTTTCCAGTACAAAACATAATTCAGTGCAAAGAATTATTCAGTGCAACAGGTCAATAATGCCAAGGTTGATAAACTGCTTAACATTACCAGGATCTACAGTCCATTGATTTTAACATGGCGTTAGAGATCAAACTGCTTCCTCCAAAAAACATATGTTGAAGTCCAAACCCTGGGTTCCTCAGAATGTGACCTGATTTGGAGACAGGTCATCGCAGATGTAATTAAGTTAAGATGGTATTATGCTGGAGTAGGGTGCTATCCAATATGACTGACATCCTTATAAAAAGGATGCCATGTGAAGACACAGAGGCACAAGAAGAACTTCGTGTGAAGATGGAGGACTAGAGCGATGCATATACAAACCAAGGAACACCAAAGATTGCCTGCGGACCACCAGAAGCTAGGAAGAGGCAAGGAAGGATCCTCTTCTAAAGATTTCAAGAGAGCATGGTGCTGCTGACACCTTGATTTCAGACTTCTATATTACAGACCTACAAGACAATAAACAACCTTGTTCATGGTACTTTGTTACAGCAGCCACAGGAAGCTCATACAACTGGTTTCTCTGAACTTTGCTTGAATTTACGTTCTCACTTCCAGCCTTGCCCAGCTTAAATAATAAGACCAGAATACTAGCTATTAATAATGGAATCGTGTTTGCTAAGCCATAGAATATAAAATCTTACACTACTGTGTTTATTCTAATTAGGAAGCAAAGAGATTCAAATCTGGTTGTGCGTATTCATCTATCCAATCAAGTGATAAAATGTTATAGGCAGTTATGACAGAATTTGTCTCAGGGTAAATTTGAAAGATGGCAAAAATTTATGTGATACAGTAAATTGATAATATCAATGAGTTCTCCATTAACAGCAGAACTCTTGAGAGGGGATTTTCCTTATAAACCTGAGCTGAATTTTCTCAGAAGGTGCTCTGCATTAGTCCACATGTTCCAGATTTTAATTCCTTGTCCAGTGACCAGTGACCCCAAATCCATACTGTTGTTATCAAATCTCTGACCAACAACTCTGAGTGAATAATCTCAGCTTTAGTGGTGGGCCTGAAATAATTCTGTTCTACTTAATTAAATGACTTTGCAAACTCAAGGCTACATCAAAAAAAGAGAAATAGATGATTTTTAAAAATGAATATGATATTGTCATTTTTGCATAATTTGTTTTTATGCAAATATAACAAGTTTAAAAAATCATGATACTGCTTTGTATATGCTTTGTATTAAAAATATTTGAGAAACTAACATAATAGATGGTTTTAACTAAAACACTTGAAGATTTTACCTATGTATAGGCCAGGCGCGGTGGCTCACGCCTATAATCCCAGCACTTTGGGAGGCTGAGGCGGGTGGAACGTCTGAGGTCAGGAGTTAGAGACCAGCCTGGCCAACACAGTGAAACCCCGTCTCTACTAAAAATAAAAAAATTAGCTGGGTGTGGTGGCGGGCGCCTGTAATCCCACTACTCTGCAGGCTGAGGCAGGAGAATCACTTGGAGGTGGTTGCAGTGAGCCGAGATTGTGCCATTGCACTCCAACCTGGGTAACAAGAGCAAGACTCCATCTAAAAAAAAAAAAAAAAAGGTATGCTTGCAATTAATTTTAAATAGTTAACCTGATTTACTAAATATATGAGGGCAAGTTTTATGATGTTTAAATGCTTAAGAGAACCATATGGAAATGTGTAATTTTATTATTTGACTTATCCCAATTACTTATGTGTATAGAAAGGATTTCTTTATGGGATTTGTAATCTGCTCTTTTAGGTGCTTAAAGTTCTTGAGAAAATCCATTATATGAAATTGTGACCATAGCTGGAAACATTTATAGGAATATAATTAACCAAGTACATAAAATATGTTTAACTATTTAGAAACAATCATATTATTGGACTTAGACTTCCATTTCTTGAATTATATACCATTGACCTTTGAACAACATGGATTTCAATTGCAAGGGTTCACCTATACATGGATTTTTTTTTTCAATAAGTGTATTAGAAAAATTTTTGGAGATGTCTGACAATGTTTAAATATTCACAGATAAATCATGCCTAGAAATAGCAAAAAGATTAAGAAAAAGGTACGCCATGAATGCATAAAACATATTGATACTAGTCTATTTTCTTATTTACTCTATAAGATGTACAAAAATCTATTATAAAAAGTTAGTTTGTCTACACTTACACATACAGACACTTAAAGACTACATGGCACCATTCTCAGTTGAGAAAAATGTAAATAAATTGAGATGTACTATCAAAATAATAACTGCATAAAAACTATAATTAATTATAGTACATGTGGTACTTCTGTAATACTTTTGTAGCCACCTCTCATTGCTATTGCAGTGAGCTCAAGCATTGTATCTGCTTGAAATGTCATGTGATGCTAATCACCTCCAAGTGAGCAGTTTGTCTCATCCATAAATTGCGTATCCCAGTAAAAAGTGACCTTTTGAAGTTCTCACTCATTTTTCAGTGCAATATCATAAACCTTCAATAACACCATGGGACCCATACAAAGAGTCAGTAGTGCTGCTGGAAGTGCTCCCAAGAAACAGAGAAGAGTCACGACATTACCAAAAAAAGGTGAATTGTTTGATAGGTCCCATAGATTGGGGTCTGCAGCTGAAGTTTCCTGTCACTTCAGGATAAATGAATCTAGTATAAGGCTCATTGGAAAAGAAAAGAAAAAAAAGAGAAGAAAAGAGAAGATATGAAGCCATCACTACAGCTAGGCCAGGAAGTACCAAGACTTCGCACTTTTTGCAAAATACCTTTTTATGTCATATTGAAAATGCACCTTTTATGTGGGTGCAGGATTGCTATAAGAAAGGCATACTTATACACTCTAACATGATTCAAGAAAAAGCAAAGTCACTATATGATAACTTAAAGCAAAAGGAAGGTGAAAGATCTAAATCTGGAGAACTTAATGCCAGAAAGGATAGTTTGATAATTTTAGAAAGAAGTGTGGCTTAAAAAATGACAAGATAACAAGAAAAGCAGCTTTTGCCAACCAAGAGGCAGCAAATTTCCACACACCATTAAGAAACCCATTGAGGATAAAGGACATTTTCCTGAAGAGATTTTTATTGCAGATGAAAGTGCCCCATTTTGGGGGGTGGGGGAGAAATGCCACAAAAGATATTTACTAGTAAGGAAGAAAAGCAAGCACCAGGATTTAAGGCAGGAAGGGATAGGCTAATGCTATTGTTTTGTGCAAAAGCAGTTGGGTTTGTGATCAGGGCTGTCCCTATCTATAAAGCTACTAACACCCAAACCTTGAAGGAAAATAAAACACCAGCTGTCAGTCTCTTGGCTGTATTACAACAAGAAGGCCCAGAAAATGAGAACTCTTTTTCTGATTGGTTCTATCAATGCTTTGTTCCTGAAATTGGGAAGTACTTTGCCAGTAAAGGGCTTTTTTATAAAGTTATTTTGATATTGGACAATGTCCCTGGCCACCTAGAACTCTACGAGTTCTACACCAAAGGCATCAAAGTGGTCTATTTGGCCACAAACTCAGCATCTGTAATTCAGCGGAGATCGGGGGATCATAAGGACCTTTAAGGCTCATTATTCACGGTAGTCTATGGAATGATTGTCAGCACTATGGAGGAGAATCCCAATAGAGAGCACATCATGAAAGTTTGGAAGATTACCCCATTGAAGATGCCATCGTTGTTACAGAAAATGCTGTGAAAGCAATCAGGCCCAAACAAATAAATTT
Organism: Homo sapiens; assembly: GCF_000001405.40. Lineage (NCBI taxonomy): Eukaryota > Metazoa > Chordata > Mammalia > Primates > Hominidae > Homo > Homo sapiens. Next base: position 112,389,655 of record NC_000003.12, read on the forward strand.
TGCTGGAGAAAACTGTGTCCAGGTGTTGTGCATGATTTCACAGGATTTGTGGCAGGACCAGTCAAAGGAATCTTGAAAGAGATTGTGGATATGGCAAAAATGGTGCAGGGATGAGAGGTTTCAAGATATGAATCATGAAGAAGTTCAAGAACGCATAGGCACCACATCAGAAGAATTAACAGAAGAAAACTTGATGGAGATAAGGACTTCCAAACCAGTGTGAGATAGTGAGGAAGAGTACATAGGAGAAGCAGTGCCAGAAAACAAATTGACATTAGACAATCTGGCAGAAGGGTTACAATTATTTAACACTGCTTCTGACTTTTTGTACAACATGGAGTCTTCTATGATACAAGAACTGAAATTAAAGCAAATGGTGGAAGGATTGGTACTGTATGGTATTATCTTTGGAGAAATGAAAAAGCAAAAAAGGCAGACAGAAATCATGTATTTCTGTAAAGCTACACCACTGTGCCTGCCACTCCTCCTTCCACCTCTTCCACCTCTTTCAGTTCTGCCACCCCTGAGACAGCAAGACCAACCCTTCCTCTTTCCTCTCTTTCTCAACCTACTCAGTGTGAAGATGACAAGGATGAAGACCTTTATGATGATCCACTTAATGAATAGTAAATATATTTTCTCTTAGGAATAGCTTAATAACATTTCTTTTCTCTATCTTACTTTATTGTAAGAATACAGTATATAATACACATAATATATAAAATATGTGTTAATTGAGTGTTTATATTATCAGTAATTCTTCCAGTCAGCAGTAGTCTATTAGTAGTTAAGTTTCTGGAGAGTCAAGTTATATGTAGATTTTTTACTGTGAAGGGAGACAATGTCCTTAACATCTGCCTTTTTCAAGAGTCAACTGTATATTTAAAATATGAAATAATTTAAGCTTATATATAGTACCTAAAGATTTATATACATTTTGTTCGTGAAATACATACATACATATATATATATATATATATATATATATATATGCCAACCAAACAATAACCAAGGACAAACCGTGCTTAATTTAACTGAAAAATGTTTACATTTATAGATTAATACCAAATGTTTTTCAATTATGTTTAAAACCTTAAGAAAAGCAAAGTTTTCCGTTTATAATTGTAGTTGAATGAGTGTCAGTGACAACACAGAGTACTGTAAGTATTGTTTTCTGCACACAAAAGCCTCTATGAATCTTTTCCAAAAAAGCCCAATTGATGTCACCCTGGGACAGAGCCAAAAAATCTTTCTGATGAAAGTAATGCTGAGGTCAAAAATAAAGAATCTGAAAACGTGAGCCAAAACAGATTGAGACTGAGTAGAAGAGAGGGATAACATTGTTCGGGGAACTGCAAGAGCTTTAGTCTTGAAGCATGAAGGATAAAGTAGGAATTCCTAAGGAGGTAGATGCCAAAACTCCTTAGCTGGGAAGCTATGTAAGAGGCAGCTAAAAAGTAACTCCCCCAGATGCCTCTCACTTTCAACACACATACTCGGTATGGTAAAAATAAATCTCATTGGCTTCTTCTTCAGATCTCTTTTCTGTGGAGAGGCCTTAGTGGGCACTGCTGCTGGGAAACAAATAAAGCTTTTGTTTGTGCTTTCTTCAGCAGAGCCTGGTGCTAGCTCTGTCACTCAGGAAACAGAACTCAATTGTTTCTCTCTCCTCATCCCTCTCTTGTTAACCAAATATGCTCATTTCCTGACAGTCAGTGGTACCATGTAAGGCCTCCTCCCCTCTTCTGCCTTCAGCTGCAAGGCTTCCATCTGAGTTGAGGTCAACACATACGCAGGAATGAAAAGAAATGATAAGGAGGAAATGTTTCAGTGGAATAAAATGTAAACTATGTACACCTCTGCCCTGCCACTGGTGGTTCCTGGGGGCTCCTTCTCCTGCCTGGCCACAGGCATCTGCTTGTTCCCAACTCAAGGCTTTCACATTTGCTGTATTTTCTGCTTGAAATATGAACCTTCCCTGTCATTTCAGTGGCTTCTTCAGCATTCTTCATTTTAGTCCACCCATGGGGCACAGAGGACCTTCCTGGACAGAGCCAGACTTGTGTTAGCCTCCTACTCAGGAGAGGCCTGGCTGGTGCCCTTCAGAACCCAAGGCAGAGGAACTGGCAGTCTCTGGAAAGCTCACAATGCAGTCATCCAAAGGCACAGCTTCACTGAGTGTACTTAGTTCTTTTTCCTCATGCGGGGTGTCATAGGTCTTGCCCAAAGAAAGAGATCAGGATAAGGGAGTTCCAGGGTGTCACGCAAGAGCCTAGGATTGACGCTGTCTCTTCTCTTACTAGCTCTGTGACCTTGAGCAACCCACTGATCTTCTTTGTACATCTGTTTCCTTATATGTAAATGAGTTTTAAAAGCCTTCTTATAGATAAAGAAGGTTAACTTAAAAATAATAGTTGACCCATAAGGTTACATTTAGGAATGGAAAGAATATGTTTGCGAAGATTTAGTAAAGTTTCTCAAGAGGTGTGTCTTCAATTTATTTTGATTGTATTGTGGTTTTCAATGATATTATTAGTTATGAAATGAACGACAGTTTCACTTGGTGGGTACCAAACTCTTTCAGATGACTCTAAGATTTCTTAGAGGCACTTCAGGTTACGCAAATGTCTAATCCTATTTTTTAATAGATTTTGTTTTTTAGGTTTTAAAATAGATTTTATTTTTTAGTTTTAGGTTTATAGCAAAGCTGAGCAGAAGGTACACTGATTTTCCACATACTCCCTGCCCCCACATACTCATAGCTTCCCCCACTAGCAATATCCCACGTAAGAGCACTATATTTGTTATAATGAAACTCCATATGACATTGACATATCATTGTCACCCAAAGTTCATACTATACATTAGGGTTCACCCTTGGTGTTGCACGTTCTATAAGCTTTGCAAATGTATCATAACATGTAGCCATCATTACAGTATTATGCAGAATAGTATCACTGCCCTGAAAGTTCTCTGTGCTCTGCTGATTCATTCCCTCTTCTTCCCTAACCCCAGACAACCACTGATCTTTTTACTGTCTTCATAGTTGTGCCTGTTGCAGAATGTTACGTAGTTGGAACCATAAAGTTTGTAGCTTTTTTAGATTGGCTTGCTTCACATGGTAATTTTCACTGTGTGACAGTGCATTTCTTTTTAATGGTGAATAATATTCCATTGAATGGATATACCGCAGTTTACTTATTCATTCACCTATTGAAGGACATCTTGGTTTCTTCCACATTTTGGTAATTATTAATTTAGCTGCTATAGATATCTGCATGCAGATTTTTGTATGGATGTGTTTCTAACTAATATGAGAAAATTCCAAGGAGCATGATTTTTGAATTATATGTTCAGAAGAAACTACCAAACTGTCTTCCAAGGTGGCTACACAATTTTTCATTGCCATCTGCAATAAAAGAGAGTCCCGGTTGCTCCACATTCTCACCAGCATTTGGTGTTCTCACTGTTTTGAATTTTTGCCATTTAAATAGGTGTATAGAGGTATCTCATCATTTTGAGTCACATTTCCCTGATAATATACGATGGTGAACATCTTTTTATGTGCTTATTAGTCATCTGTATCTTTTTTGGTGAGATGTCTGTTCAGATCTTTTGCCCATTTGTTGTGGGCAACCAATCTGGTTGTTCACTTTCTTACTGTTGAGTTTTAAGAGGGTTTTTTCAGGGGGTGGGTATATTTTGGATAACAGTCTTTTTTTTTTATCAGATATGTGTTTTGCAAATATTTTCTCCCAGTCTATGGGGTCATCTTCTTATTCTTTGTTAGTGGCCTCGACAGAGCAGAAACCTTTAATTCTAATGAAGTCTGGCTTATGAATTAGTTTTAATGAATCATGGTTTCGGTGTGGTATCTATAATGTCATCACCATACTCAAAGTCACCTAGATAGGAGATGGCAAGGTGGAGGGACTTCCTTTCTCCATATTTTTTTAGACAAGACGAACATATATTATATCCTAAATATATCAACCAAATTGTTTAAATAAGCATGCCAAGTGTTATACAATAGATTTTCATGCCCCCAAAACCAAGTGTTACATAATAAACATTCATGGCCCCAAACAATGTAATTTTAGATTTACCAAAGTTATGAAAAGAAAAGAAAAAAGCTCTGTTTTTCCTTTTTAAAAAAATCAATCATTTCTAACTCAGTCTCCTAACTTGAAATTTTTGATACACATTTGGAAATTAATTGTGTGCTGCCTCATGAGATGCAGTTCAACGTTTAGAAACATGGTAATGGTTCTAAGAGCCAAATAGGGTCCTCAGGAATCTGGGAAGAAGGGCAGGAATTACTTTAGGATTAATGTAAGTTTTATAATACTGAAGTTGAGATTCCTAAGTGAAAAGGAAAGGAATGAAAACAAAACTTGTTTATGTCTCTAAAGTGGGAGTTGCAATTTCACATACCCGCAGAAGTCAGGAGAGGTAAATGAAAAAATAGTTTAACAAGATGCTTGTTAAAATATGTTAATAAATAGTTTTCTCTCCTGACTCATTCCCTGACCTTTGAAGGGATTCTTTATTTGGACACCTTGACTTTCAACTCCACTTTCCCCCAAGATTATGCCTTCAGTTTCCCCTTTGCCCTGCAGCCTATTCTTTTGTGAAACTCCATGTAACTATCAGACTCAGCGCCCCAGCCAAGAGCAAAGTTCTCCATTTGCTAATAAGGAAAGGAATTTAGACATGCATAATGTTGCAAGAAAACTAAGAAAATAGAAGAGGTAAGCCAAGTAGAGCAAGAGCTCCAATATGCATGTGTGAGTAGACAGAGAGCCTTCCCCACTTTGACAATGATGGCAGCCAGCAGAATTTGTTTTTGCAACAGTTAGGCTCAGCAATTCTCCAAGCAGCGGCAATGTTCCTGCACTCACACTGCACATGGTTTTGTTGCAGGAAAGGAGTCCCGATCCAGACTCCAAGAGAGTGTTCTTGGATCTCATGCCAGAAAGAATTCAGGGCAAATCCACAGTGCAAAGCAAAAAGAAGTTTATTAAGAAAGTAAAGTGGTGAAAAAACATCCTACTCCGTAGGCAGAGTAGGATGTTCCCGAAAGTAAGAGAATGCATCCACCCTAGATACAATACTTGCTTATATATAGGATAAAAAAAGATGATGAGGAGACATGCTCTGTTGCAAGGGTTTGTGATACAGGATTTTTTAATTACTATATTTTGCAACAATCAATATTATCTTTAAAGCAAAATTAAGAACGCTTCTGTCTGAAGATATTGGGATATTGACCGGGCACGGTGGCTCACATCTGTAATCCCAGCACTTTGGGAGGTCAAGGTGGAGGATTACCTGTGATCAGGAGTTCAAGACCAGCCTGGTCAACATGGTGAAACCCCGTCTCTACTAAAAATACGATAATTAGCCAGGCGTGGTGGTGCACACCTATAGTCCCAGCTACTCGGGAGGCTGAGGCAGGAGAATTGCTTGAACCAGGGAGGCAGAGGTTGCAGTGAGCAGAGATCCCACCACTGCACTACAACCTGGGCGACAGAATGAGACTCCATCTCAAAAAAAAAAAAAAAAAAGATATCGGGATATCAGGATACTCCCAAGTCTGAGTCTGATTAGTAAACATTATAAATCTGTTCCCTTAACTGTAAACATCTAGAGGTTGGAAATACCTAACTTTCTGGGAATGCAGCCCAGCAAGCTCCAGCTTCATTTTTCCTATCCCTCACTCAACATGGAATTGCTCTGGTTTGAATGCCTTTGATAGTTTGACTGTGTTTGAATTTCTCATTGAATGAGTCCATAAGAAAGTAAAGAGAGAGCAGCAAAATATACCTAAGAAAATTAAGCTCAAACACTTGACATAGTGAATATAAATGACTTCTAGACTCTCACTGGAGAAAAGGAAGGAAATTAAGAAGAGAGAACTCTGTTAAGTCGTTAGTGGAAGGAAACCACTGTTGAACATTACTGAGAATGCATGTATACTCTTTGTTGTCCTTCCCCTGATGCTGTACCCCAGGAAAGCAAGGCTACAGATGTTTCCTCAACAAAACACTGAATGTAGTAGAGCAATGCAGCTATTCTGGACTTGGAGTCAGACGACCCAAGTTCACATTCTGGCTCCACCGTCATCATGCTCTCTCTCACAAATTATCTCCCTAGACACTGGCCTCCTAATTTTTAAAAAAGAGATGACATAAAAATATTCATCTTATACTGCTATTAAAGAAAGGACAAGAGGTAATATATGTACAAGAATTTTCAAACACTAAAGTGCCTTATTAATTTGAGGTTGTTTAATGACTTTTTAATGCTTTAGCACTTATGGTGTTCATACTAAGTATTTGTGATTTAAATGATACAGATCAGAAAGATAATTCAGAGTTTTAATCCAAAAAAGAGTCTGGATATTAACAGAGACATTTGGCAGGATAGAAATAAGTAGTGTAAATAATATGAAGGGTTTCTAAGTCATGTAAAACATCAGTTAAAATCCAAGATCTGCAATGTACTAACTATGTGATCACAGAGCTATCACTTTTCATATCCCAATGTCCTCATCTGTGAATTATTCTTTGCATTTTTTTCGGTATTAAGTAAGAAAGCACAGCAGACCATAACATTACTTTTCTTTTCTTTCCTCCCTTCTACTTCTTGACATGCATTCTCAGTGTCCCAAGCTCATTAAAATCCAATAAAATAAATGTACCTCAATAGGTCCAAACAAAAGTAGTGGCATGGCATAAGGTGGAGAATAAATGTTTCTTTCATGGTAGACAATGTTGGAGTCTATTCAGCTTGTGATTCTATAACTATGTATCATTTATGTTCTCATAAACCCATAGCACCTAGGGTAAAGAAGTTTCAGGTGATGCAAGACTAACATTAGAGTGCGCAGTGGTCATTATAAAGTGGGATGCAGAGCACCGTGGGAAAATTATGTTTGTGACTGTCACTGTGACTTTATAGTTTTGGGGCTTTTTTTTTTTTTTTTTTTCCTGACTAGGCACTGTACCTAGGAGTGTGAAAGGAAAATAAAGCTTGGGGCCCCCAAATCACTAAGCTAAAGGGAAAAGTCAAGTGGGAACTGCTTAGGGCAAACTTGCCTCCCATTCTATTCAAAGTCACCCCTCTGCTCACTGAGATAATTGATTGCCTCCTTTGGAGAGGCTAATCAGAAACTCAAAATAATACAATCATTTTTCTCTTATCTGCCTATGACCTGGAAGGCCCCTCATGACTTCAAGTCTTCCTGCCTTTGCTTAAAGTTGCCCACCTTTCCAGATTGAACCAATGTTCATCTTACATATGTTGATTGACATCTCATGTCTCCCTAAAATGTATAAAACCAAACTATGCTCTGACCGCCTTGGACACATGTTGTCAGAACCTCCTGAGGCTGTGTCACAGGCGTGCATCCTCAACCTTGGCAAAATAAACTTTCTAAATTAAATGAGACCTGTATCACATTGTTTAAACAGAACAACTTAAGCAATGACACATTTCTCCAATAAATGAAAATGTGTATTAAAATATTTTAAGGCCAGGCGCGGTGGCTCACGCCTGTAATCCCAGCACTTTGGGAGGCCGAGTTGGGTGGATCACGAGGTCAGGAGATCGAGACCATTCTGGCTAACATGGTGAAACCCCATCTCTACTAAAAATACAAAAAATTAGCCAGGCGTGGTGGCGGGTGCCTGTAGTACCAGCTACTCAGGAGGCTGAGGCAGGAGAATGGCGTGAACCTGGGAGGCGGAGCTTGCAGTGAGCCGAGATAGCGCCACTGCTCTCCAGCCTGGGTAACAGAGTGAGACTCCATCTCAAAAAAATAATAAGTAAAATAATAATAGAGAAAAAAAAACATTGTAAACACAATGTAGTGGAAGTATGCCTGAGAAGGCGAAACTTAGACTGGTTTTAACATGGGTGTGTTAGAGGAGACACTTGCTTCAGAGTCCAGGCCTGTTTTGTGATGGAAGTGTCATCACAGTCTGTCACTTTCCTAGGGCAGGGTGAGGTATTTGTTTTTCTTCCTTCCTGGATATCTTGAGAAACCACTATAAGACAAACAAGTTGCAGCAAACAATGAAAACATCTGCCTTTCTGGCAGCAGTAGCTGAGACTCCCCACTTCTCCTTCAACAAAGTCTTGGCATTAGGTCTGACCTTGGAAATGAATGGGGACAAAGTGCTTGAAGCCAGCAATGGTAGCAACAGCTCAGTGCTCTTTACAGAGCAAAGGTTTCCCAGGAGCAAGCCAAAGTATGTCTTGTACATAGCCAGGGTCATTGCATTGCAGCAGGAGAGGCATCAGTGAGGAGAAAATTTCTTTGGAAATGTCCTTCACTTTAGGCTGTAAGTCTTGGTCCAGAATAATGAGTTTGTGGAGGCAGTTTCAGCATATTCCAGCCTCAAAGTGAGGTGTGTGGAGTCTCAGTTCCCTGAATATGATGAGTAGGTGTAAGACCTTGGAACATTTGAGGTTACCCTGAAGAAGATGACTAAAAGAGAGGAGAGAAGCCTAGTATAATGAAGGGTAATTCAATATGAAGTCTTAACTTGCTTTTGATTTGAATAATAAAATAATGAAACATTATTTGTCTCCTTATTTTAAATGGGGTCAATTGGTTGCCTTAGTAGTCATGATTAAGAATGCACTGAGGTGAATCTCATACCATCAACTAAGAAATGGAAAAACAATCAAATTTCTCATATTAAAAAATTTACCCAACTTTTTCTCCTGCTTCGAAATTAAAAATTATTTTATCTCACATAGAAAGAATCCCTGCTTTGGAGAGAAGGCTGAAGTTGAATCTCCTTCAACTTTAAAAAAATGTATATGATTATAATTCTAGAAAATAATAGAAATACCATACATATGATAAGTCATAATTATTCTCATCATTCTATGTATTAGCCTTAATGAAAATATTGAGGGTCACTTACAAGATAGGCAACTAACTTTTTAAAGTTAGAATCATACTGATTAATGCTATTATTTGAGCCATCAGAAATTTAGTTTGATTTTATTAATAGTATGACTTGGTAGAAAAATGGTTAAAAAAATAAGGAAAAATAAATACTGCAAAAAGTACAACAACAAATATATGAGAGAAACCAAAATACAAAATTAAATGTTTTCAATTCAGCAGTTAGGATAGTTTTAAGTATGGTTGGATAGCTCTTAGAAACCTGAGGCCTGCCACATTTTGGCAAAGGTATAGAACATACATTCATGAAGAGACTTTATTCCTAACAGTTTAGTTGTAATGTTCTTGACTGAGGTCCTTGATACAGAAATGCGACTGTGACAGATTCACTTAAGTGAATAACAAGCAGATATAATGAGTCAAAATGAATATTTTTGCAAGTTAAATTGAGTGTCTGTATTGAGAAAAGAGAGGAAAGATTACATTACTGGGTGGGAATTTTCAATGATACAAAAACAGATACTTTCTAAAGTAATTTTTAAAATTAATCTAGAGAGCTACTTCTAAATCACTGTATTGAGAGAAGCAACAAGGACACCTCAGGGAATCACCTCAGGAAATTACAGACATATGAATTCTCACCTGACTATGACCCATCATCCTGTCACAGGCATGGCTTCCCTAACAGGTTGTCAGGCTGTCAGAAAAATTCCCTGTCTTTCCCCAGGTTTCAGTTTATTGCTACTACCTGAGACTATGAGATGGGCCACTCCTCGCTGAACACTAAAGCTAACCAACTAACTATTCCCAATCGTGATCCATTTAAGGTTGTGAACTGTGAACCCCAACAATCTGAGACAGGTCTCAGTTAATTTAGAAAGTTTATTTTGCCAAGGTTGAGGACACATGCCCATGACACAGCCTCAGGGGGTCCTGACGACATGTGCCCAAGGTGGTCAGAGCACAGCTCGGTTTTATACATTTTAGGGAGACATGAGACATCAATCAACATATATAAAATGAACATTGGTTCAGTCCGGAAAGGTGGGACAACTCAAAGCAAAAGTGGGACAACTCCAGGCAAGGAAGGGGATTCCGGGTCACAGGTAGGTGAGAGAAAAACGATTGTATTCTTTTGAGTTTCTGATTAGCCTTTCCAAATGAGGCAATCAGTGTCAGACCTCTGAGCCTAAACCAAGCCATCGCAACCTTTGTGACTTGCCCTTATACACCTAGATGGCCTGAAGTAACTGAAGAATCACAAAAGAAGTGAAAATGCCCTGCCCCGCCTTAACTGATGACATTCCACCACAAAAGAAGTGAAAATGGCCGGTCCTTGCCTTAAGTGATGACATTACCTTGTGAAAGTCCTTTTCCTGGCTCATCCTGGCTCAAAAACTCCCCCACTGAGCACCCTGTGACCCCCACTCCTGCCCGCCAGAGAACAAACCCCCTTTGACTGTAATTTTCCTTTACCTACCCAAATCTTATAAAACAGCCCCACCCCTATCTCCCTTCACTGACTCTCTTTTCAGACTCAGCCCGCCTGCACCCAGGTGATTAAAACCTTTATTGCTCACACGAAGCCTGTTTGGTGGTCTCTTCACATGGACGCGCATGAAATTCAGGTATGCATTTATCTCAGTGAACAGAGGGATGACTTTGAATAGAATAGGAGGCAGGTTTGCCCTAAGCAGTTTGCAGCTTGACTTTTCCCTTTAGCCTAGTGATTTTGGGGGCCCAAGATATTTCCCTTTCACATTTCTTCCCTTTTCTTTCTAAAAAATCTTTTGGAGAAAACATTTCAGAAGAAAATGAGTCTCTGGTTCCAGCTTTCATCTGATCGCTCTTTCATGAGCGTCCGTGTGAAGAGACCACCAAACAGGCTTTGTGTGAGCAACATGGCTGTTTATTTCACCTGGGTGCAGGTGGGCTGAGTCCAAAAGAGAGTCAGCGAAGGGAGACAGGGGTGGGGCCATTTTATAGGATTTAGGAAGGTAATGGAAAATTACAGTCAAAGGGAGTTGTTCTCTGGTGGGCAGGGGCGGGGGGTCACAAGGTGCTCAGTGGGGGAGCTTCTGAGCCAGGAGAAGGAAATTCACAGGGTTAATCACTCAGTTAAGATGGGGCAGGAACAAATCACAATGGTGGAATGTCATCAGTTAAGGCGGGGCAGGGCCTTTTCACTTCTTTTGTGATTCTTCAGTTACTTCAGGCCATCTGGGCGTATACGTGCAAGTCACAGGGGATGCGATGGCTTGGCTTGGGCTCAGAGGCCTGACAGGTAGGTCCTGAGTTACTAGGAAAGCTCATTTGTAGAAAGTTGTGAAGTCTCAGGTTTTATGAAGAGAAAATAGAGGGAGGAAGGGAGAAAAACAACAACAAACAAAAAAACAATCCTGGTAAGTTGATATAGGCCACATGACTCTGAAGTTCATACATCAGTAGGCAGGTATGAAAGTGGCTTATCTATGTAAATAGGTTGTTGTTATTTACTTCTGAAGTTTAAGTTGTCTAGTTTCAGTTCACAGGGCTTTATGAGAGCAGAGCTTAGTTTTCAGTGATTCCAAATTAGGAAAAATTAGGGGAAAAAAAGAAGGAAAAAATTTAAAACATTATTTCTATGCCTGGTAGCCACGAAAAATTAGAATTCGGTTCAAACTGTGGAAAATAGTAAACATTAAAAAACAATAGGCCAGACTAGAATCTAACAACAGGTGTACTATAGTTTTTGAAACTATAGAGTTTTCTCTCTCTAGTTTCCCATTTTTACTAAAGACAAATCATGGTAGGACTGATTTGCTTTATTATACTTGGCCTGATTATTTGTATACAGTGCAGCAAGAATAATTATTTTTATATAGGCTTTTAAATTGGCGTTGATGCAACTTTGTTCCATAGAAGGAATCTCAGATAAAACTTTTTAAAAGCTGAGCCCAGCCATGGATTTGTGCCACTTTAATGCACATCCGTGTGAAGAGACCACCAAACAGGCTTTGTGTGAGCAATAAATTTTTTTATAAAACTTTTATAAAGTTTTATAGGATTTGGGTAGGTTAAGTGGAAAATTACAGTCAAAGGGGATTGTTCTCTGGCTGGCAGGGGTGGTCACAAGGTGCTCATTGGGGGAGCTTGAGAGCCAGGATGAGCCAGGAGAAAGAATTTTCACAAGGTAATGTCATGAGTTAAGGCAGGAACCGGGCATTTTCACTTATTTTGTGATTCTTCACTTGCTTCAGGCCATCTGGATGAATATGTGCAGGCTTGGGTTAGGAGGCCTGACACATCAAATACCTATGAGTTGGGTGATCCTCTCCTCTTGAGGTTCCAAGATAAACCTGGGGCTCCTGGGCCTGTCAGAAAGTGACATTCTTCACTTACTACAAGTCAGGAACCCTGTACGGGGGCTGTATAGACAAAGGTATGAGGCCAGTTTTCTAAGGGGCTTTTATTGCTCTATAAGTCAAGTTTGATTCCTTAAAGGAAATCATACCAAAAGCCTTGGTAAAATAATCAGTTTTTCCAATTGTGTCCTTTTACAAATGAAAACAGATTATTATTGCACTTGTGCAAATAATGGTATTGTCATAAGTTAAGAATATGCACAAATACTTTCCAAATTCTGTAGAAATCAGGTAGAAAGAAGAAAAATATGCTCCAAATTTTGGTCATAGGAGTAGACTTTACCCAACTGTTAAAAGCTGTAAATAGCATAAACAAAAGTCTTCTTGATCCGAAAAACAAAACAAAGGATCAGCAACATGTTAAGCAGAAAGCTAAAAAGATTACTTTAGTCTTCTATTAGTTCAGTTTGCACAGTTCACTCCTATTCTGCTTGATATTCATGAATATTTTAGCTTTCCATGAGAGTCCTGAAAGTTGTTCCTCTATTCTAATGTCGTAGTCTCCAAAGATATCAGAAACCTTCATTTAAGAACACCTGTTAGAGTTCTATGGCTGATTATAAAACCACCTTCTAAAGAGGACCAAAACAAGACAACAATTGTCCATGGATGACAAAATGTTTTAGGGCAGCCATAATCAAAGACACAATTGACAAGGAAATTTGTTTCTCTGAGGCAAACAATAATTTAACAATTAAAATTATTACTGATAATATACACTAAGTAATATCAGAATTATAGGAGGTTCTCATGATTTTGAAACACATACCAATAACATATTTATACAAATACAGCCCAAAGAAAACCAAACACCATTTCATATTTGACAATGCTTCCTATACAATTTTTATACCAAATATGCCAAATTTTGTCATTTTTGGACTTTAGGGAAGCTAATACCTTAAAGGACCAATAAGGTCAGAAAAAAGACATAATTTGTCATTTGGTTTTGGAAAGTTTGTCAAATATCAAATGTTTAAAATACTTGATATCATAGGTCATTGTAAAAGAAGTCATTCATTTGACCAAAGTGATAACTCAAGAATTTCAAAAAAAAGGCAAGGATCTTCATTATCTGGGAGAGGAGACTTAATTTTCAAAACAATAAGCCCTAATAAAACAGTATGAAGCCAACTAAATTTTTTTTCAAAATTTTATAAACAGTCTATAAAAGTTTAATCTTGACCATAAGATATAATTTTCATAAGCCTTTTATAACCTTTGTAACCTTTACTAAGGAGTCAGTTAACGCTTCAAGAAAACCTTGTTAATCACACACAGGCATCAGTGTGCCTTTGACATTAATGATTAACTTATAGAGAAACTGAACTATTTTGTCTCTCAAAATGGGCCCTTACAATCTCACAGGCCCACCTCTTCCATGATAGGCCTGGGGCCTTGAGGAATTGAATAGCTTTCATTTCCGGCTCTGTGTTTCAGAAATGCAGTTTATTTTGATGGCATCTTCTACAGGGCCTGAAGATGGGGCTTTAATTACTGTCAGTGTTTAAAATTTAGTGGATTTGGTGTCCTTTTTAGACCCAGGAGTCAGAGCCCTATAACTCAATGTCACAAGTAGTTTGAGACCAGCCTAGCCAATATAGTGAAACCCTGTCTCTACTAAAAATACAAAAATAATCCAGGTGTGATGGCACACGCCTGTAGTCCCAGCTACCTGGGAGGCTGAGGCAGGAGAATGGCTTGAACCCGGGAGGCAGAGGTTGCAGTGAGCTGAGATCGCACCACTGTACTCCAGCCTGGGTGACAGAGCAAGACTCCGTATCAAAACAACAACAACAAAAAATCACACACACATACAGAGAGACACACAGATGTAATAACCCTAATTTTTTAAAGGTTTTTCAACTCAGTTTTTTTCCTAACAAATCAAAACTTAATAATAATATGACAAGTTGATCATATAAAAGTTTTTGGGGCTTTGGGGGTATTTTAATCCTCTCATTGTGACTTACATAGACCATGCTTCGACTTTCTGGTTTGTCCTAAACATCCTCCTTTCTTAAACAACCAGTCATTTTACTCTAGGACTAAATTTACCATACAAGATTCTTCTCGTATAAAATTATTTCTCTTTAAGCTTTCTTACAAAAAAAAACCTACCTCTTTATTTTTATAACTTTCTTTACATCTCCTTTATTTCCTGGTTCCTTTTACCTTGTTTTATACAAGACCTCTAAATAAGCTTTGAATTAGACAAAATTGTTCACCTTTTTAAAGGGCACACTTTTTTCTTAGAAAGAATGTTTTTCTACAAATACAGTTTTATTGGAAAATACTTAATGAAATATCTATTATTTAATTTAATATAACTTTCTAAATTAAACCTTCAGATTATAAAGATTTGACCTACCTGACTGTATCTTGCTTTTAACCTCCAAGCTGTCCTTGCTCATTCCTGGGTGTAAGCCGAACTAACTTTGGGAAGAACCTGGTTTATAGTTTAGCTTTGAAACAAAGACAATAACAAACTTTATTGCCTGTGAACTAGACCGCCTAAAACCACAAGATTAGAAGTTATAGTAATCTTACTAAATTTAAGATGTAACTATTTTGATTAAATCAATACTCATGTCTTATTTATTAAAGATTATGAAAGTGGAGATCATTCTGTTTTGGGCTGGGTTAATAGTTTTGTAACCCCTATGCCAAGTTTTGACACCTTATAGTATTTAGGAGGAATAAGTATGAAAATGCTTGATTAATAAATGCCAACAAAAACGTACGCTGGCAAATTGTTAAGACATTTCTAATATTATTTTACCAATAATTTTAAAGCCAACTTATTTATTAAAGATTTTACTTAACTCACTTGAACTTGAAAAAGCATTTAACTAGTCTTTGTTCTTTAGTATCTGATTTAAGCACTTTTATTTTTTAATCCAATTAATCAGAGCTCGTTTATATATTTTTAATAGTGAAATATTGTGTACACAACAAATAAATATATAGATGTATTAGGCATGCTGATAGAAGTACATCTTATAGATTCATAAAGACCTCCTTTTTTTCCTTTTTTTTTTTTTAAGCTCACCCTGGGCAGTTGTCAGCTAAATAGCCTTAAATTTGCATTTTAGAGGAAACAACTCAGGTGAAAATCAGATAACAAAATTTACATCATAAGGTATGAAGAGGGCCCAGTGGGCCAGCAAACTCCTGTAATCCCAGCACTGTGGGAGGCCGAGGCAGTTGGATCACTTGAGGTCAGGAGTTTGAGACCAGCCTGGTCAACATGGTGAAACCCTGTCTCCACTAAAAGTACAAAAATTAGCCAGGTGTGCTGGTGCGCTTGTAATCCCAGCTACTCGAGAGGCTGAGGCAAGAGAATCGCTTGAACCCAGGAGGCAGAGATTTCAGTGAGCTGAGATGGCACCACTGCACTCCAGCCTGGGCAACAGAGTGAGACTCTGACTCAAAAAAAAAAGAGTGTAAGAAGAGAAAGCCTGGTGAGCTGGAGGGAAATTAAAATGGATTTAATTGCCGATTGAACATAACATTATAGAAGTCTATTATAAAGGCCTTCAAATATATACAAACACACATATACAGACACACACACACACACACACACACACAGCTTCTACAGCTTTTACTTCAGTACTTTAGCCATGAGATAAATACAAATTTGCCAGCTCGCAAAAAACAAACAAACAAAACCTGTTAGATCCAAACAGTGGTTTTTATCTCAGCAGAAACATAACAGCAGATTTAAAGCAGGCAGAAAAGAAAATACAGAAAAAGGGGACCTGGGAACTCTATAGTTTACAGGTCCACCTTAGGGCTCTTTTTCCTTAATCTAAATGTGCACAAAGACTGTATTACTTCCATTTTACTCTGGCAAGTAAAGGTGCCGTAAAACCTATGGAGTGCACAAAAGTGGGTCATTCTCCTTGTTTTCTCCTCATTCTTAGATTGTTTCCTGGTTTTATGTATATATTTATTTATTTATTTATTTTCTTAAAAGGAGGAACTGAGCTGTGGCCTAGGGTTTTTGGGTGATGCATCAGTGTGTGCTGCTTGTGGGCAGGACTCCTCAGTGTGTCACCACTGAGTCGTTTCCACCCTCTTACGTGTCTCAGTTTCTCTCTCCAGAGGTCTATGACCTCTGAAAGAGCTCAAAATGCCAGGTGATCAGCTCTACAAGAGACTCGCTTCACCTTTAAGGGCAGCAATTCTTTTTTTTTTTTTTTTTTTTCTGAGATGGAGTCTTACTCTGTTGCTCAGGCTGGAGTGCAGGGGCATGATCTCGGCTCACTGCAACCTCTGTCTCCCAGGTTCAAGCGATTCTCCTGCCTCAGTCTCCTGAGTAGTTAGGATTACAGGCATGTGCCACCACACCTGGCTAATTTTTTGTATTTTTAGTAGAGATGGGTTTCATGTTGCCCAGGCTCGTCTTGAGCTCCAGACCTCAGGTGATCCACCCACCTTGGCCCCCCAAAGTGCTGAGATTACAGGTGTGAACCACTGCACCTGGCCAAGGACAGCAATTCTTTTAGCCTCAAGGCATCTTCTGAGCTTTGTCTTTGATGGAGCCGGTCTCTTTGGGCACTAGTATCATTATCCTATGTTTGGCTCCTAGGGTTATCCTTTAAAAAAATATGTCTTTTCCTAGCACCTAACAGAGTGCCAACTACAACATAGAAGGCCTTCAGGCTTTCATAATACTGTTTAACTAATACTTTTTCCCACTTTACTGAGGTATAATAGACAAATAAAATTGTACATATTTAAGTTGTATAGTATGATGCTTTGATGTACATATGCATTGTGAAATTATTGCCAAAATTAAGTTAGTTAACACATCCCTCACCTCACATAGTTACCTTTTGTGTATGTGGTAAAAACAAAGGTCTGCTCTCTTATTAAATTTCAAATTTACAATACAGTATTATTAACTTCATTAACAATTATCAAATTAAATAAATGAGTCCTGTTGCTGTCACCCAGGAGATGGCACTCTTAAGAGACAGCTCAGTGATGGATCAATGGCTGATAGTTGAGGCATCTGCTTTTATTATTATTGTTTTTGATTCATATGGGAAACCAATGTTTTCTTTACCTGTTAATGCCCTTTTAATATGGATGGTCTTTCCTAATCAGCAGTCTATGTGTAGCAGGACAAGCCGCAGACAAAACATCTCAGACACCGAGTTGTAGAAAGAAGGGCTTTATTCAGCTGGGAGCATTGGCAAGCTACTGCCTTAAAATCCGAGCTCCCCAAATGCACAATTTCTGTCTCTTTTAAGGGCTCACAACACTAAAGGTTTTACATGAAAGGGTCGTGACTGATTTGAGCAAGCAGGCAGTGACAGGGGCTGCATGCCCCGGTGGTCAGAGAGAAACAGAACAGGGCAGGGAGTTTCACAGTGTTCTTCCACACAATGTCTGGAATCTATGAATAACATCGGTTTGTAAGTTATGAGTTGATTTTTAACTACTGGGTTTAGGCCAGGCAGGCCCAGGCCTGGTTTTGGGCCTGACGCCGGGCTGCCTGTCTTTGGTTTTACTTCCTTGTTGTTTTTTCTTAAAACAGGTACTGAGTATAAAACAATATAAAATAATATGAGAGGTCTCTCTCTTCCCTCATATGGGCATCTTTCCAAACATCAGTTTAATTCTCCTGAGAAAGGCTGCCTCTTTCTGTGAATTCCCCAAAGTGAATTTCATATGTACTACCGAGACCATACAATGTATCAGGACATCTATAATGAACATTTGTTGGGTTTACCACCTGTAATCAAGATCTCATCTTGTGGTTACAGAACTCTGATTTTGTTTTGGGGGATTCCCTTCTCCTACCTTTCTATATGTATAAAGTTGATTTCATACCTGGCTCTGGGAGTGCACTTTTGGCCAAATCCTCATTCTAACAATACATTTTATTAATCGCTATTTGTTCTGGCCACAGTTTGATTCCAGAATGGACACAGGATCCAAGTCTGTGAAATCAAGATCTGTGAGATTCTATTCTAAGACTTTCTTAGAACTTTCTGAGACAAGGACTTTCCCTTTTCTCCTGGGTGTGGAGTTTTAAAGATAAGTGTTCTAGAGCTGCTGCAGTCATCTTGCAACTACAAGGACAGAGCATAACTAAGAATGGATCCTAATTAGAGGTGAACAAAAGTAGACCTAAAGAAAACAAAAGTAGGACCTAAAGAAAAATTGTCTAGGTCCTGATAACAGATATATATAAGCTTCTCATCCAGCTGCTCCAAAAGCTAAATATTCAGATTTTTTAGTTATATAGGCTCATACATTTACTTATTGCTTAATCAGTTCACCATCTTAAACATAACTTCCAACCTGGTTAATACTTGTCCAGCTATTACCAAATGTAAACAAGCATGAACAAATGAGAGACAGAAAATTAATGTTGGTGATATAGATTATAAGTAATGAGGAGTGTTCAGATATCGAGATAAAACATGCTTGTATCAGTCATTTGTTTAGTACTTAAGATAGGTTTTACAACATTTGAGATATGGCAGATATCTCAAAATATGAGGTGTCCATAAAGTGTGCAAACAGATACATATAACAAACTGTTGATATTACATTACAGTTGAGTAAAATAACATTGTTTCACATTATATAGACAACACTATCAGACTTAAATCCCTCTAAAAATCTAGGTGGGAATTCTAAGACTAATTACTTTGCAACGATATTGAAAAATACTTGGGTATGTACTAGGCAGGAAAATACCTACTGCATACAAAGTATTGTTTTGGTGATTTAAAAGATAGACAAAGGAAATAAAGAGAGAAAGAGAGAGGGAGAGAACGAGAGAGAGAAGGAGGGAAGGAAGAAAGGAAGAAGAAATATTTTGTATTTACTCTGTGCCAGAGTTCTGAGAACATGGAGTCAAAAAAAAAAAAAGAAAACAAAAAAACAAAAAAAAATACAACTCACTGTTCCTACCCTCAAGGAACTCAGTGAGGTATAAAAGATGAACATATAAACAACAAAATTATATATAATATATAGGTTAGGTTAGTGAAATGCAGGTATATGAGCCAGATATTATAAGAACAGAGAAGCACATCAAGTCGGTTTTTGAGGGAGAAAGCTTACCAGCACAGACTGACAGATGCACAGCTGCAAGGACACCAGACAGGGGAGATAGTTTCCAAACAAGTGGAAAATAGGGCAGACATCTCTTGAGGGAGGAAGACAACAAGAGACTTCAGAAGGGGTGGATCCAACAAAATCCAGTTTCCTCTCAAACTTACTTACCACGTCAGACATTCCTCCTTTGGAGAGACTACTTGAGGAGTGACAAAGGCCATAAAACGTTGGGCACAGGTAATGTTTTTTGTTCTCTTTATGGTTCTGGCTTAATGATTAAGCCTAAGGGCAACCAGAGGTGCGGAATCTCTCTTGGGAAGGATCAGATAATAAATTTATATATTTTATATATAATATATAAATATTTATTTTATGAGGACATAACATATTTTATGAGGGCAATCTTATTTCTACCTTCATGAAATTGCTTCCTCCAAATTCTAACCACACTTCAAAGTGAGGGAAAATAAATAGGTAGATAAGTTAAATATTAGTGATGTCTTTACGACCATACTCAATACAAGGCAATATCTGCCAATCCAACCATTTATCAATACAAAACAAATATTTTATCTCATTTGCCCAAATCTGTCTGCCTCTCAATTGAATCCAGACTTGAGAGCTGAGAAAATGAGTATTTAATATCATCTTAAAATCCCAATAGGAACATTTCAAATGGGGAGTGACATATGGTAGGTTACATTTTTCAAAGATTGTTCTGGCTAGTGAAGAATGTATATTAAGTGGTCAAAAGGAGAGTAAGGAGGGTTGGAAAACTGCTTCCACAGCAGGATGAAAGTATAGTGGCTTGGGCAAGGGGGATAGTAAAGGAGATGGCGAGGACTGGGTAAAAAGGATACATTCTTGAAGACAGTACTAGCTGATGCATTTAAAGTGCAGAAAGAGTAAGAGAGAAGTCATGGATAATTCCTAGGTTTTTGACATAACTAAATGGATGAGTGTTATTTACTTAAACAGAAAACACAGCAGAAGTGGGCTTGAAAAAGGAAGGAAATTAAGAACTTTGTGTTAAATACGACAAGTTTGAGATTTACGTAAGTCAGACATCTTGGTGAAGATAATCGGGTACAAAGCTGGTTCTGTTCGTCTAAACACAGATTTAGATGTGCACTAGAGATATATGGGGTTTGGTAACAGGTTTCAGGCATCCACAAGGAGTCTTTGAACGCATCCCTCACCAATAAGGCATAACTGCTGTATAAGCTGGGGAGTCACTGGCATATGAAGAGTATACCTTTAGAAGGACAACTCATAAGCTATAAATCTAAGTCTCAGAATGTAGGAATAATGTGCACATTCAACACTTAAAGTCATTTCATGTGGAACAACACAAATGAAAAGATTTTCAGACGTTGTTTCTTTAAGAGAAGTTAGAATTTTTATCTCTCTAAACCTGTGATTCAGAGTATTTTTTGACAATATAATGACACTAGGAGGGGTTTTGAGCATTGCAATTGAGGATGAGATTAAAGGCAAGCATAGGTTGATATTTTAGACAGAAGGAAACACACACAGCTATATATGGTACATAATTGGCACTGTCTTACACATTCAATCATATTCACCTCTGCCTAGTCCAGACAGTACAAATGTCCTCAACCACCTAGCTGAGATAGCTTAGCTTCACAGAGAACAAACATCACTAAACCTACATGTGGTTGTCACATGAATTGTGCTATTGTATTCTTGTTTCTTTTTTTTGATGGATTCTCACTCTGTCCCCCAGGCTGGAGTGCAGTGGTGTGATCTCAGCTCACTGCAAGCTTGGCCTCCTGGGTTCACGTCATTCTCCTGCCTCAGCCTCCCGAGTAGCTGGGACTACAGGCGCCCGCCACCGCGCCCGGCTAATTTTTTAGTAGAGACAGGGTTTCACCATGTTAGCCAGGATGGTCTCGATCTCCTGACCTCGTGATCCACCCGCCTCGGCTTCCCAAAGTGCTGGGATTACAGGGGTGAGCCACCGCGCCTGGCCAATTGTATTCTTGTTTCTAATTTAGGATTTAAGTGTCTGTAACAAATGCTGAAGGGTGATTTTGATTTTAGGAATGAACAGCTAAAAATAACTAGCTGAAATTCATGTTGTCTAAAGGGCCTCTAATCTCATGAACCTGTGGGTAAAAACATGGTAACATTAACCTTGATAATCTAAATTTTGCCAATTGTTCATCTCCCCATGCCTGACTTGGAACTTGGTCAGACCCTGCCTCCCTGACCCCCAGTCAAGATTTCTTCTAATTTCTTGAAGCATATCTAGAAGGTTTCCCAGGTATTCTTTGAGGTTGATATATCTCATGCCTGAGATCCACCTGTAATAAATACCTCCACATGACCATGTTTGCCAATACTGACTATGAGAAGAGCGCCTTCCTATCTAAAGTGCTGCTGTGTCCTGCTGCTCCCAAAGCTGCAAAGTTTTGGGGTATTAAACTAATCCCCACATGCTTCAGTCTCTTTGCAATGCCTAAGCCAGGCAGCAGTGCCCACAGAATCAGTGCTGTATTTCAAATACTTCAACTCACTGGAACTTCCAAGCATATGATGACCTCATGCCTCGGGATCTAATTCTAGAGCCTTCTGAAGCTATTCCTGGGGCACAGTGACATTTCCTCTGTTACTGCCATTCTCACAAAGGAATGCAGAGCAAGACGTTTATGTCCCCAAAGCAGGAGGACATGCCATGGTAGACACATTCAAGCATAGGCACAATCACATTTTTCTCTTCTTCTCCTATCCTCTCTTCTTTCCCTCGATTCTGAGGATGGCCCTTCTCCTTTCGACAGCTCACTCCTAGTCCCCATGTGTCTCTGTTCCCCTTATTCCTTTTCCTGGGTTTTATAGCAGTCTCTCTACTGGCTTCTTTTCCTCAGGCTCCAGACATGTCTAAGTCACCTTATAAAACAATTACTGTTTAACAATTATAGTTAAGCATATTTAATTTTATATAAAATAATATCAGATAAAATTTAATAGAGCAATTATTTAAAAAACTAAACACTACATAAAATAAATTTAATTGTAAAAACATAATATTGAAATATTTGATTATCAAAAAAGGGTTGGTCACATGTCAATGGATCACATGTCAATGATCAATTTTAAAATGGTCAATTTTAAAAATTTTACAGAATTATTTTTAAAATAGCCTTCATCTTTTAGAACAGTTTTAGATTTACAGATAAATTGAGAAGACTGTACAGTGTTCTTATATATCCTGCATCCAGTTTCTCCTTTTATTTACATATTATTATGGTACATGATATATGGGTGTTATGAACATTTTAACAATATTAATTCCTCCATCGAAGTATGTCTTTTCTAGAGAAATGTTTCTCTATTCAAGTCCTTTGCCCATTTTTTTACACAGATTATTTGGTTTGTGCTATTGAGTTTTAGAAACTGCTTATATATTTTTTTAAAGTAGCCCCGTATCACATACATAACTTGCAAATATTTTCTCTCATTCTATAGGTTACTTTTCACTCTGTTGATTGTTTCATTTGTCATGCAGCTTTTTCATTTTATGTAGTTCTGTTTGTCTATTTCTGCTGTGTTGCCTGTGCTTTTGATGTCATATCTAAGAAACAATTGCCGAGGTCAACATCTAGAAGCTTTTGCTCTCTGTTTTCTTCTAGCAGTTCTGTGGTTTCAGATCTCATAGTCAGAACTTTGATTCGTTTTGAGTTGATTTTTGTGTATGATGAAAGATAAGGGTCCAACTTCATTTTTTTCAGATGTGGATGTAGTTTTACCAACACCATTTATTAAAGAAACGAGCCTTTCCCAATTTTGTATTCTTGGCACTCATATCGAAAAATGCCCTTGGAATTTTGATAGAGATGGCATTGACTCTGTAGATAACTTTGGGTGTTATAAACATTTTAACAATATTAATCCTTCCATACCACGAACATAGATGTCTTTCAATTTATGTGTTTCCTCTTTCATTTCCTTTGTCAACATATTATAATTTTCAGTGGACGTGTCTTTCACCATTTTGGTTAAGTTTATTCCTGTGTATTTTATTTTTTCTGTTGCTAATTGTAAATGAGATTGTGTTCTTTCCTTTTTTCATTGTTTGTTGTTTGTAAATAGAAATGCTGCTAATTTTTGTATGTTGATTTTGTATCCTGCAACTGTACTGTACACTTGAGGAAGTGATTACTTCTTTAGACTTTGTAGATTGGTTTTGTCAGGGTCAGACCTTTTCCACATAGTTCAGCGTGGAGTTTTGGCTAAGCCAGCTGGTAGCATATAGGATCAGGCATGCTGTGCCACCAGGGTCCCTGGTCAAGCAGGACCCACTGCCAGTGCTCTGTGGCTGAGTGGTGCCCACTGATTGTGCTCTGCTACCTGGCAGAATCAGCTGGCTGGGCACCATGGTCAGTTGGGGCTAGTTGGGGGAATGTCCGAAGTTGAGTATGGCTATCTAGGGGGATTTCTACAGTCAGACAAGGTCAGTGGCTGGGCTCCAAAGTCAGGTGGGACCAGTTGGAAGAGCCCTGTAGTTAGACAGGGACACTGGTGGAACTCTACAGTAAGAAGGGACATCTGGCTGGGCTCTGTGGTCTGACAGGGCTGCTCTCTGGGCTCTGCATTCAGGTGAGCAGGGCTTCTAGCTAGGCTCTGCATTCAGTTGGGGCTGCTGGTCATGCTCCCTGATTGAGCAGGGTGCTGGAAGTGCCCCCTGATCCGGCAGGGCTGCTGGCTGGGCTCCCTGGTATGAGAGGGCTACTGTCTGGACTCTCTGGTCAGGTAGAGCCACTGAGTGTGCTCCATCATTGGGTAGGGCCAGTTGGAGGACCTTCACACTTAGGCAGGGCTGGATGAGTGGACTCTGGTTGGGCGAGGCTGCCTGTTTGGGTAAGGCAACTGGTGGAAATATGGAGACTCCACAAAGATCTGCATACTGCTGCTGAAATTCCCACAACTCTTTTTCTTTGTTCATAACTCTCTCCTGTCAGTCTATCCAGGCCAATCCCCCGAGTATTCCATGTGAAGTGAAACTGATTTGGGGCTCTTCTGTATGTCTCTGATATGCTGGGGAAATTGAACAGCCACCTCAGTCTCCTTCTCTCCCACTGGAGAAGTTATAGGCCAAGGGGATCTTTCTTGGCATGGCTCTGTGCTGGCTTGCTGGAGGGGCAACACGGGCCAAAGTGAAATCATTCCTCTTACCTCTTTTAATATAGCTTTTCTGTTTCTATGCTCTACTGGGTGCTGCAATTTTATCCCAGTGATCTAGACTTCTTACAAAGGCATTCTTGTCTATGAATAGTTACTAACTCTGTAAGAAGACTAGAGAATTTCTGTGAAGGGTCTTGGACTGGGGCCCTCTCATTCTGCCATTTTGCTGAAACCCATGTATGTAGTGATTTTTTGTCAAAAAAAAGCAACTATCAAAAACTCTTTTTGGGGAAATAAGACATTTATAAGCTATTTTAATATTTTCCTCTGGTTAATTCACCTTCTTGCTAGAGAAGTTTGAGAAGATCTTTTTGAAAGCTTTTATTTTTTTCAGTAATTACATTGAGAGCAAGCCATAGTGTGTGTGTGTTTTTCAAAGAAAATGTTTTTAGTTCCTTTATTTTCTAGAAACTGATTAACATCTGAATTAATTTCAACTTTGTCATGTTCATATTTCTCTTGTTTAGAAAGTTTTTAAACCAGAGTAAGAATTTTTATGTTTATGATACCATTTGTATGGTCAATTGACTTTTGTTGTGTTTGTTTAGAGGAATTTTGGAAGTATAGAAGAATGTTTTATAATAAATCAAATGTCTTATTAAACATTTTGGTGTAGTATATTAAGACATCTAAAGATGTTAATGGTTTTTTTTAATCTTAATGTTATTATATCAAAAGAATATCAATGTCTTGTTGGTACCTAGAAACACCATGGTCTACCAGAATATTGAAAAATAGTATTGTGATCTCAGTTTCTTATCCAGAATTCTTCAATTAGATAAGTCATACAGAATCTGGAATTGTTACTCTAACTCTCTTCTCTTTGAGAAAACAAAATAGAAATGTTCTTCCTTCTATGGAAAAATGAAGAAGGTAAAGTAGTATTCCTCTCTAACACCTTTTCATCTCTTTAAATAAAACACAGGCTGGGCGTGGTGGCTCACACCTGTAATCCCAGCACTTTGGGAGGCCAAGGCAGGTGGATCACGAGGTCAAGAGATCGAGATCATCATGGCCAACATGGTGAAACCCCATCTCTACTAAAAATACAAAAATTAGCTGGGCATGGTGGCACACTCCTGTAGTCCCGGCTACTCGGGAGGCTGAGGCAGAAGAATCGCTTGAAGCCAGGAGGCGGAGGTTGCGGTGAGTCGAGATTGTGCCACTGCACTCCAGCCTGGCGACAGACCAAGAATCCATCTCAAAGAAAAGAAACAAACCCACAAACTGTTTACTTTCTCATCAGCAGCCCCCTACTTACCTCTTCAACAACATTGAATATCATTCATCTCCTTGTCATGACACTTTGGCCACACTGGTTTTCTTTTTGGTTCCTGAATTGCTATGCTCTTTTCTACCTGTGGACCTTTGCATAGAATGATATCGTTGCAAGAAATGTTTTTTCTCTAGAGCTGTGTCAGCTGGTTTTCTTTTTTAACTTTTAATTTTCATGGGTATATAGTAAGTGTATATACTTATGGGGTACATGAAATATTTTGATAAATGCATGCAATGCATAATAATTACATGGGAAAATGGGGTATCCATCACTTGAACATTTATCCTTTGTGTTACAACCTATTATACTCTTTTCGTTATTTTAAAATGTATAATTAAACTATTATTGACTATAGTCACCCTGTTGTGTTATCAAATATTAGGTCTTATTCATTCTTTCTAATTATTATTTTGTATGTATTAACTATCCTCACTTCCCTCCCACAATCCCCCCTCATTCTTCCCAGCCTCTGGTAACTATCCTTCTACCCTCTCTATCTCTATGAGTTCAATTGTTTTAATTTTTAGCTCCCACAAATAAGTGAGAACATGAGAAATTTGTCTCTTTGTGTCTGGCTTATTTCACTTCACATGATGACCTCCAATTTCATCCATGTGGTTACAAATGACACGATCTCATTTTTTTAATGGCTGAGTAGTGCCCCCTGTGTATATATACATTTCTTTATCCATTCATCTGTTGGTGGACACTTAGGTTGCTTCCAAATCTTGGCTATTATGAATACTGCTGCAAAAAACAGTGGAGTGTAGATATCTCTCTGATATACTGATTTCCTATCTTTGGGGCTGTGTAGAGAAAACTCTTTAATCATATTTTTCCTCTACTCTCACACCACAATAGTCATCAACACAGAAGACTTCTGTGACCATTTGTGTGGGATTCTTTTCCCCACACACCAAGCAGCAGACATCAGCTGTTAATTCCGTTCGACGCTACCCAAAGATAGTGTCATATCCCCCAAGTTGAGGGCTCAGTCCCCATGCCCTTCCCCCACCACACCAGTCTGGGCCTCTGTAACTTCTGACCAACCAGCTTCAAGTTGGGGTTCGTTCCCATGACCCTCTCTTTGAGTTCAATTAATTTGCTGAAGTGGCTCCGAAAATTCAAGGAAACACTTACTTACATTTACTGGTTTACTATAAAGGATATTGCAAAGAATAAAAATAAAGAGACATGTGGGATGAGGTGTAGGGGAAGGGGTGTGGAGCTTCCATGCCATCCCTAGGAACACCACCCTGCAGGTACCTCCATGTGTTCAGGTATCCAAGAACTCTCTGAACCATGTGCCCTTAGATTTTCATGATGTCAGCATTCCTTCCCCCAGGGTATAGGGTGGGACTCCCGTCATGGGAGGGCCGTAAGACCCACAATCAGAAAGTCAAGCTAAGATTAGAGTCTTGCTTTGGGTCAAGTGAAAGGAGGGCAGAAGAAGGTTAGAGGCCCACCCCTGAGGCCTAACATACCCAACATTGTAACAAAAGATTGTAACAAGGGCTTTGGGAGTTATGAGCCAGAATCCATCCATGAAAACCAATACACTTCATAACACCATGTGGGTACACACCCAGCAGCGGGATTCTTGCCATTCAGGTGACAGGTGACTTCCTATGTCCCCACAGAGGCCTTCCCTGACCACTCCATCTATAGGAACTACTGGTCACTCTCTGTTTCATCACTGAATGTATTGATTCATTGTCTCAATTTCACTACTGAATTTTATTTCTTCATCATTTATTTATCTATTTATTCCTTTCTGTTGTCTCCATGTCTGCCTCATAAGTGAGCCATGAAAGGGGAAACTAACTACCTTGTTCATTACTATATCCTCAGCACCTAGAACAATGCTTGGGACATAGTTGTCACTCAGGTAGTATTTGTTATATGAGTGAATGAATGAATTAATTAATTCTCTTTCATATTAATTGTAGTAGGAAGAAATTGTCAGAGTAGGCAGATAGCTAGACATAAGCAGCAAGAGGAGGGGAGCCACTGAGGAAAAGGGAAGTATGGAAAATCTCACACCCCAGGGACCACCCAAAACATGTAGGCTGGATATAAGCAAAGAGATGGGGAAATACTTATGTGGGAAGAATCGCCCCCTTAAGACACCCAGTAATCACCCACTCTGCAATTAACCTGTCGGAATGTAGCTAGCTACATGCTAATAAAGAGGGAAAGAGGGTGAAGGAGAAATTCCTAAGAGATATGCAGGCATAAAAAGTACAGATTTAACTGCCATACAGCCTTCCTGGGGTGATGGTAATGAGCAATGTAGCCATTAGGTAGAATTTGTGTCCAACACAAGGTCCACACATGCACGCCAACTAATAGACAGAATCCCACAAATCTGAGGCAGGAACTAGGCAGGGAAAAGGCAAGGACTTAAGGCAGCAGCAGGAAAAACTAGATGAAGGAAAAAGGTGGAGACTTAACACAGAGATGAGAACTTCAAGAAAAAATCCGTCATAAAAACCCAATGCAGAACTCTTGAGGCTACTGCTGGCTCATTCTCTGTTAGTAGCCCACTGTGCCTCATCTTTTGGAGTGTACTGTCTGTCTAAATAAACTCTGTGCTCTAATTTTGCTTCAATAAATTCTCTTTTTGGGCTAAGTGGTCTCTTGGTAGGATTCTTTCTTACAAGTAAGCCTAAGAACAGAGGACTCTGCTCTTCCCAGTAACAAAATCACATTAATTATTTCCATGAACTTGTCACCCAGGAGTATCTGGCTTCCCATCCCTGACACCTTTTAATCTCTCAAAAAACATTTGTCTGGGGTTATTCTACTCTTTTAATACTCCTATTAAACTCTACTATTAAAAAAACCAAACTTATTCATTTCATGCGCGTCCGTGTGAAGAGACCACCAAACAGGCTTTGTGTGAGCAACGTGGCTGTTTATTTCACCTGGGTGCAGGCGGGCTGAGTCCGAAAAGAGAGTCAGCGAAGGGAGATAAGGGTGGGGCCGTTTTATAGGATTTGGGTAGGTAAAGGAAAATTACAGTCAAAGAGGGTTTGTTCTCTGGCAGGCAGGAGTGGGGGTTGCAAGGTGCTCAGTGGGGGTGATTTTTGAGCCAGGATGAGCCAGGAAAAGGACTTTCACAAGGTAATGTCATCACTTAAAGCAAGGACCGGCCATTTACACTTCTTTTGTGGTGGAAGGTCATCAGTTAAGGTGGGGCAGAGCATATTCACTTCTTTTGTGATTCTTCAGTTACTTCAGGCCATCTGGGCATATACGTGCAAGTCACAGGGGATGCGATGGCTTGGCTTGGGCTCAGAGGCCTGACATTCCTGCCGTCTTATATTAATAAGAAAAATAAAACAAAATAGTGTTGAAGTGTTGGGGTGGCAAAAATTTTTGGGGGGTGATATGGAGAGAGAATGGGCGATGTTTCTCAGGGCTGCTTCGAGCGGGATTAGGGGCGGCGTGGGAACCTAGAGTGGGAGAGATTAAAATTTTAGTTTCCTGACTTGGGACATGTTGAATAAAGCTAATTTGCCAGTCCTGGGTGGGGGCAAATCCTCGAGCTTGATGTGTAAGGAAGGGAGGGGGCCTGAATAATCCCTGAGGAATAGTAGAACAGCAGATGGAACACTGAGAAATTATTTCCTTGAGGATAGATTTCCACGATGGAAAGGAAATGAGAGGTTCTGAGAGGCAGGCTAGTGGCTTGTACTATAGCATAGCCTGCCTTTGCTGGTGTGTGGCGATTAGGCCTGGTGGAACCACCATCAATAAATCAAGCGTGATCGGGGTGAGGAACAGGAAAGAAGGAAATATGGGGAAATGGGGTGAATGTCAGGTGGATCAGAGAGATAGTCATGGGGGTCAGGTGTGGTATCAGGAATAATGTGGGAGGCCAGATTGAAGTCTGGGCCAGGAACAACGGTAATTGTGGGAGACTCAACAAGGAGTGAGTACAGCTGAAGGAGCCGGGAAGCAGAAAGTATATGTGTCAGGTATGAGGAAGAAAATAGATTTTGGAAGTTATGAGAACTGTAGAGAGTGAGTTGAGCATAGTTTGTGATTTTGAGGGCCTCTAAAAGTATTAAAGCAGCGGCAGCCGCTGCACGCAGACATGAGGGCTAGGCTAAAACAGTAAGGTCAAGTTGTTTGGACAGAAAGGCTACAGAGTGTGGTCCTGGCTCTTGTGTAAGAATTCTGACCACGCTAACCATGCCTAGGAAGGAAAGGAGTTGTTGTTTTGTAGAAGGTGCTGGGGTTTGAGAGATCAGTCGGACACGATTGGCAGGGAGAGCACGTATGTTTTTATGAGAATTATGCCGAGATAGGTAACAGATGAGGAAGAAATTTGGGCTTGATTGAAGTAATGGGGGCTGTCTGTGAAGCTTTGCGGCAGTACAGCCTAGGTAATTTGCTGAGCTTGATGGGTGTCAGGGTCAGTCCAAGTGAAAGCGAAGAGAGGCTGGGATTAAAGGTGCAAAGGAATAGTAAAGAAAGCATGTTTGAGATCTAGAACAGAATAATGGGTTGTAGAGGCAGGTATTGAGGATAGGAGAGTATATGGGTTTGGCAGCATGGGGTGGATAGGCAAAACAATTTGGTTGATAAGGCGCAGATCCTGAACTAACTTGTAAGGGTTGTCTGGTTTTAGGACAGGTAAAATGGGGGAATTGTAAGGAGAGTTTATAGGCTTTAAAAGGCCATACTGTAGCAGGCGAGTGATAACAGGCTTTAATCTTTTTAAAGCGTGCTGCGGGATGGGATATTGGCGTTGAGTGGGGTAAGGGTGATTAGGTTTTAATGAGATGGTAAGGGGTGCATGATTGGTCGCCAAGGAGGGAGTAGAGGTATCTTATACTTGTGGGTTAAGGTGGGGGGATAGAAGAGGAGGACGCAAAGGAGGCTTTGGATTGGGAAGAAGGGCGGCAATGAGATATAGCTGTAGTCCAGGATAGTCAGGGAAGCAGATAATTTAGTTAAAGTGTCTCAGCCTAATAAGGGAACTGGGCAGGTGGGGATAACTAAAAAGGAGTGCTTAAAAGAGTATTGTCTAAGTTGGCACCAGAGTTGGGGAGTTTTAAGAGGTTTAGAAGCCTGGCCGTCAATACCCACAACAGTTATGGAGGCAAGGGAAACAGGCCCTTGAAAAGAAGGTAATGGGGAGTGAGTAGCCTCCGTATTGATTAAGAAGGGGACGGGCTTACCTTCCACTGTGAGAGTTACCCGAAGCTCGGCATCCGTGATGGTCTAGGGGGCTCACGAGGCGATCGGGCAGTGTCAGTCTTCAGCCACTAAGCCGAGAAGATCTGGGAAGGAGTCAGTCAGAGAGCCTTGGGCCAGAGTTCCAGGGCCTCTGGGAGTGGCTGCCAGGTGAGTTGAACAGTCCGATTTTCAGTGGGGTCCCACACAGATGGGACGCGGCTTAGGAGGAATCCTGGGCTGCGGGCATTCCTTGGCCCAGTGGCCAGATTTCCGGCACGTGTAGCAAGCTCCTGGGGGAGGAGGTTCTGGAGGAACGCCTGGCCACTGCGGTTCAGGTGTTTGGAAGTTCTTGTGTGCTGGAGATGTGGCTGGGGTTTGTCTCACAGTGGAGGCAAGGAACATTGCAACTTTTTTCTATTATTGTACGCCTTGAAGGCGAGGTTAATTAAATCTTGTTGTGGGGTTTGAGGGCCGGAATTTAATTTTTGGAGTTTTAGTGTCAGGAGCAGATTGGGTAATAAAATGTATTTTGAGAATAAGACGGTCTTTTGCCTTTTAGGGTCTAGGACTGTAAAGTGTCTCAGGGTTGCTGCCAAACAAGTCATGAACTGGGCTGGATTTTTATATTTGATGAAAAAGAGCCTAAACGCTATCTGATTTGGGATAAAGAAAAAGGAGCATTAATCTTGACTATGCCTTTGGCTCCAGCCACCTTTTTAAGAGTAAATTGCTGGGCAGGTGGGGGAGGGCTAGTCACGGAACGAAACTGTAAGTCAGACCAGGTGTGAGGAGGGGAGGTGATAAAAAGATTATAGGGTGGAGGAGCAGAGGCTGAGGAAGAATTGAGACCTAGCTCAGCCTGGCGAGGAGCAGGCTGGGGAGGAAGGGAGAGGTCAGATGGGTCTGTAGAAAAGGAAGATTAGAAAGACTCAGCAACACTTGGGGTTGGTACTGAGCGGACAGGCGGGAGGGAAAGAAGGAAGATTTGGGACGAGTTGCACTGGGCACAGAGACTAGGATGGGACTGATGTGTAAAAGAATGCCTGGACGTCAGGCACCTCAGACCATTTGCCTATTTTACGACAAGAATTATTTAGATCTTGCAGGGTGGAAAAATTCAAAGTGCCATTTTCTGGCTATTTGGAACTACTGTCGAGTTTGTACTGGGGTCAAGTGGCATTGCAGAAGAAAATAAGGCATTTAGGTTTTAGGTCAGGTATGAGTTGAAGAGGTTTTAAGTTTTTGAGAACACAGGCCAAGGGAGTAGAAGGAGGAATGGAGGGTGGAAGTTTGCCCATAGTGAAGGAAGGAAGCCTAGAGAAAAGAGAGTAGAGAAATGGAGGGAAGGGGTTCGGGGGTTCTTACCTTCCAGAAAAGTGGGAAAAGGGGTTGGAGCACAGAGATAAGAGGTCAGGGCACAGAAATAAGGGATGGGGCGCAGAGATATGAGGTTGGGGTGTGGAAATAAGGGATTGGGGCACAGAGATAAGAGGTTGGGGTGCAGAAATAAGGGATTGGAGCACAGAGATAAGAGGTTGGGGTGCGGAAATAAGCGATTGGGGGGTTCTTGCCCCCTAGGAAAGCAGGACTTGCCGCTAAGGGTGAAGGAGAAGGGGTTGAGGGGTACTTGCCCCTGCCCCAGGAAAGCAGAGAAGGGGTAGAGACAAGGAGAGAAGGGGTTGAGGTACGTGCCCCTTCCCCAGAAAAGCGGGACTTGCCGTTAAGGGTGAAGGACCAAGGCAGGCGTCCCTGCGTGTTCTGACACCCTTGAAACGTGGGTGTATAATCAGAGAGGCATCCCTGCAATGATTAAACACCAAGGGAAGGCTGCCTTCCCAGTCTGTGACCGGCGCCGGAGTTTTGGGTCCACGGATAAAACGTGTCTCTTTTGTCTCTACCAGAAAATGAAAGGAATTGAAATTAAGAGAAGGGAGAGATTGAAGTGTAGCGCCAAGATTGAAAGGAGAAAGAGGTTGAGGGATAGTGAGGGAAGTTGGAGAAGAGAGTAAAAAGAGGCCGCTTACCGGATTTGAAATTGGTGAGATGTTTCTTGGGCTGGTCGATCTCAGGACCTGAGGTCGTAGGTGGATCTTTCTCACGGAGCAAAGAGCAGGAGGACGGGGGATTGATCTCCCAAGGGAGGTCCCCCGATCCGAGTCACGGCACCAAATTTCATGCGCGTCTGTGTGAAGAGACCACCAAACAGGCTTTGTGTGAGCAACATGGCTGTTTATTTCACCTGGGTGCAGGTGGGCTGAGTCCGAAAAGAGAGTCAGCGAAGGGAGATAGGGGTGGGGCCGTTTTATAGGATTTGGGTAGGTAAAGGAAAATTACAGTCAAAGAGGGTTTGTTCTCTGGTGGGCAGGAGTGGGGAGTCGCAAGGTGCTCAGTGGGGGTGCTTTTTGAGCCAGGATGAGCCAGGGAAAGGACTTTCACAAGGTAATGTCATCACTTAAGGCAAGGACCGGCCATTTACACTTCTTTTGTGGTGGAATGTCATCAGTTAAGGTGGGGCAGGGCATATTCACTTCTTTTGTGATTCTTCAGTTACTTCAGGCCATCTGGGCATATACGTGCAAGTCACAGGGGATGCGATGGCTTGGCTTGGGCTCAGAGGCCTGACAATTCACATATATAGCATTGATGATTCTAAAAGCCTTATTTGTTTATCTTTCACATTGATATGTAATTGTTCTGAAATTTATTTTTGTGAGGAAGAAGTTGATATGTGCTTTTTCCATGTGAATATCCAATGGTCCCATCCATTTCTCACTGCACCGCTATATCATATTTTTCATAAATCAGATGAATCTGCTTCTGAACTCTCTATTCTCTACCATTGGTAATTTTAATCTATATTTGAGCCACACTGTCTTAACTACTAAATATATATAAGAGTATAATTAACTATGGTTTTTAACAGATCTTTATGTTTAGTACAAGTCCTCTAGTTTTTTTTCTTCTTCTTCCTCAGGCTTGCCTTGCCCATTTCTAAACTTTTACATTTTCATATAAATTTCAGATTAATGTTATCCATTTCTGAAAAACAAAAACTCCTGCCAGTATCTGATTGAGATTGATTTAGTAGTTTAAATTAAAACTGTATGACAAAATATTTTGTAACCATTAAAATTATACACACAATGAATTTAGGAAAACTCAAGAAAAACATTTTTAGTAATATTAATAATAGCAACTAATATTATCCTAAGCATCATACATGAATAAATTTATTGAATTGTCATGATAACTATTTCAGAAATGTATTACCCTTACCATTTCCTAGTTGAAGAAATGACAGCTCAGATATATGATTTAGATTATGCAGTGTCACACAGTGAGTGACAGAGCTGAAAAATAAATCCTAGTCTGTACTCATGAAAAAGTCAAACTTTTAGTCACCTAGATTTTTAAAAAGCGTATTGAATGGAATTCTTCCTAAAATAAATTATAAACCTGTTTTGCCTTTTTGCAAACCTAAAGAATACAATCATATATTTTCATTTCCATTTCTGGTCATTATTATGAATATTAGTGATTTGCTTAAACCACAATACAGTGTTATCCTAGGGCTCTATTATCATACCTAGGATTATTTTCTGTTGCATTAAATTGTCTGAAAATAATGCAATCTTTCTTTTTTTAGCTTCTCTTTTGGACTTTTCTAACTTAAGTATGTTAACTTAACTCTTTCCACTTGTTTCTTGCTGTGTGTTTTTAAGTTGATTTAATAAACCATGTAATTCAAGCATTTTAATCTGGTCCATGAGGCTTTCTGGTATTTCTGGTCTGGAATAGCTTTCTTGAAACTGTACTTGAAGGCAGTCATCACATGAAGGTAATTTCCTGCAGAACAGCTAAGTATAGCAAAGAAAATAAATAGAAAGAGTGGAGTCTCTGATGACGCAGTTTGACAGGTGAACCAAGCAATCTACTTGCCAAACAGGATAAAAAAATCTTTCTCTGAGCTGGCATATTACAATATTTAATGAAATATTTGTATCTGATGACAAATGAATAAATTTTAAAATATATTTTATGTTAACCAGATGCCTCAAAACATAACACTTTGCCCAACTTTTGAAATAACTGATAGATTTATCTTGTATTCATGAACTGTTGTACTAATATTTTCCAAATATTCTGGCTTTAGAAAAATTTAATAATAGGCTTCTATTTCAAGATGAAAGACTTGCCATACATGCTTATCTTTCATAATCCCTGAGTTTCCACTGAAATAATAAAATAGCTTAAAGTATTATAAATATGCAACCAAATAAGGAGAAAAGACAAGCACATTAAAAAAAAATGAAAGTTTTTAAAAAGTTATGACAGATAAAAAGTAAATAAAGGAGTAAATGATGTAACAGGATGAAGAAAACGTGGCCTAGAAGAGAGATGGCTCTAGAAGAGAGGAATGCAATGAATTTTGAGGCAGAACTCTGGAGAGGCCCAGAATTCAAACTCTGAAGTTGTCTAAATGAAACTCTGAATCCAGGACAATTGAGCTCATACTACATTCCCCAACTTTTCCAACCACATGTAGAAACATGGACAGTCAGATAACTGTATCCTATGTAAAAACATAAAAATAAAATTAAAATTTTAAAAAATCAAAGTGTTCTTTTACAAAGAAATTGAATGAATTATCTGAGATTACCTAAGGCAGAGTGATCGGACATCAATTTTTCCAGAGCAAAGACCTCAACATGTGGGCACTGGGGGTCTTGAAACATACTTGGCCTGCTCCCTTTTATTTCTGTAATGTGAAGACTATCAGTTAATAAGCCCACCTACCTTTCCAGAGCAGCCAAGTGTCATGCATTACTACCAACTATTTGAGGAAATACGGTAACATGAAAGAAAGATACAGCTAAAAACAAAAAGAAGAAAAGCCTCTAATCACTTAACTTAGGAGAAAGAATGATTAAAAAAAAAGAAAGAAAACTTAAGAACAGACAAAATTCTAGTTAGTTTCTGTAAAGAAACTTGAAGAGTTTTCATTTATATAAAATAAACAGTGGAGGCCATGAAGAAAGACAAAAAACTGTTGGAAATTAAAAGTATGATAAAAACAAAAAGAAATAAAAATAAAAGAAGAATGAATTAAAAGAAAGATAAAACCTAAGAAATATCTGGATAGAAGAAAGAAGAGATTAAAACTGAGCAAAACATGAAAGAAAAAGAAAATTAATTTAGAAGACCCAGTGAGATACCAAGAAATTTCAAAAAAAAAAATTGACAGAAAGAACTTATCAAAGAAAAAAATCATCAAAAAAATTGAGACACTAATTTTGCAGAAGTGAAACACTGAATGCTACTACTGAATGCCAAAAACAATAAATGAATGAAAGCCCATGCAATACCCTCATGGATGTTAGCATACCAGAGAAATGGGTAGAAAATAAAATAAAATGAGATTACCTAGTAATAAGAATAAGACGGTGTCTTAGTTCATTTGTGTTGCTATAAAGGAATACCTGAGGCTGGGCGATTAATAAAGAAAAGAGGGTTACTTGGCTCACAGTTCTGCAGGTTGTACAAGAAGCATGGTATCAGTATCAAGCATGGTATCAGCATCTGCACCTGGTGAGGGCCTCTGAAAGCTTCTCTTTGGGGGAGAAGGAGAAGTAGAGAAGGCATAATATGAGAGAGAGGAAGCAAGAAAGAGGAGGAGGTGCCAGGCTCCTTTCAACAGCCAGTTTTTCCAGAAACTAAGAATAAGAACTCACTCACTTTCACAAGAATGGCACTAAGCCATTCACAAGGGATCCACCTCCATGATCCAAACACCTTCTACCAGGCCCCACCTCCAATGTTGGGGATCAAATTTCAACATGAGACTTGAAGGGGACAAACAAACTATATCCAAATCTTAGCAGAGGGCATCAAATTTCTTAAAGATCCCCAGGATTTGTAAAGCACTCCAAAGTCAGGGTAGGAATGGAGTTAGGAAATAATGCAATTATAGGTGAGGGAAACAAAAATAATAATTAATCAAATTCAGAAATAAATCATAGAAAATTTCCATGGAGTCAATAACAGCAATTCCTAAATTTCTTTACATTAAGTCAAAATATATAATCCATTAATTTTAATTTTTTTTTTTTTTTTTGATACAGAGTCTCACTCTGCTGCCTAGGCTGGAGCGCACCTCCACCTCCTGCATTCACGCCATTCTCCTGCCTCAGCCTCCCGAGTAGCTGGGACTACAGGCGCCCGGCTAATTTTTTGTATTTTGTTTAGTACAGATGGGGTTTCACGGTGTTAGCCAGGATGGTCTCTATCTCCTGACCTCATGATCCACCCACCTCGGCCTCCCAAAGTGCTGGGATTACAGGCGTGAGCCACCACACCCGGCCAAATTTTTTTAAATATATTTTCAATTCTGCTAACTTGGTACCCTATGTCCCCTGACAGATCTTCTAGTTTAGAACAGTTCAGGTTACTACTTTGGTTTAAATGTGAGCCCCAAAATTCAAGTGTTGGAAAGTTAATTCCTAATGCAACACTGTTGAGAGATGGGTCGTTTAAAAAGTGATTAGGTCATGAGGGCTTTGCCCTCGGCGGTGGATTAATATTGCTGAGTGAGCTAGTTATCATGGGAGTGGGCTTTTGATAAAAGGATCAGTTCTGCCCTCTTCCCACTCTCTCATGAATGCTCTCTTGCCTTTCTACCTTCCACCACGTGATAATGCATTAAGAAAGCCGTCACAAGATTTTAGCCCCTCAGTCTTAGACTTGTCAGCCTCCAGAACTATGAGAAATACATTTTTATTCATCGTAAATTGCCTAGCCTTTAGTATTCTGCTAGAGCAGCATGAAACAGACTAAGAAATTGGTACTGAAAAGTGGGGCTGTTTTTACAAAAAAAAGTCTGAAAATGTGGAAGTGGCTTTGGAACTGGGTAATAGGGAGAGGCTGAAATAATTTGGAGAAGCAGGCTAGAAACAGCCTAGATTGCTGTGAGTGGAGTGTTAAGGGCAACTCTGGTGAGGGCTCAGAAGAAGACGAGCACTATAGGGAGAGCCGAAATCTTCTTAGGAATTACATAATTGGACATGATCAGAATGTCGGTAGACCTGTAGACAGCAAAGCCACTCCAATTAGATCTCAGATGAAAGTAAGGAACAAGGTATTGGAAAATGGAGCAAAGACCTTCCTTGTTATACAGTTGCAAAGAAATTGGTGGAATTTATGTCCGTGTTTTAGGACTTTGTGGAAGACAGAACTTAAGGATAATGAACTATGTGATCTTGTGGCCCAGTGGTAGCGCATCTGACTCCCAGAACAATGAACTACGGTACCTGACAGAAGAAATATCTAAGCATTGAAGCATTCAAAGTGCCACATGACTTCTTTTGGCTGCTTACAGTAAAATGAATAAAAAAGAAAAATAGTTTAAAGAAGGAATTTATAATTAAAAGGGAAGCAGAAAGAAAAGATTTGGAAAATTCTCAGCACGGCCATGTACAGAATAAAAAGGTGTGTTCAGGAGAGAATATTAAGGGTTTGGCCAATCGACCATTTGCTAAAGAGATTATTGACAGAAGGAATTCAGGTTCTATTTACCAAGATAATGTGAGAGTGACCCCAAAGGTATTTCAGAGATCTTCTAAGCAAGCTAGAATCTTGAGGACAAGAGAGGCACCAGTAAGACCTTAGCATCTGCTGCCCAGAACAACTTTAGGACTTTGCTCCCCCATTCCCCAGTGCAGTCTCCTCAGCTGCCCCAGTCATGGCTCAAGCTGGCCCAGGTGGAGCTCAGCCTGCCACCCTGGAGGATGCAATATGTGGGTCTTGGCAGCACTCATGTAGTGCTAATTCTGCAGGCTTGCAGAGTACATGAGTTGTGGGGCCCTGGCTGCCCCCATCTAGATTTCAAAGAATGTTGTGGCTGCCTGTAAACCCAGGAAAAACTTGCCAGAGGGGCAAAGCTACTGCAGAGTCCCCACCAGGGTAATGTCTAGTGGATTCATGGGAGTGTGACCACCTCTAAGTCTGTAGATCTGTAGACCTACCAGTATGCAATGTTAGTCTGGGAAAGCTGCAGGCATGAGAGGTGCTGCATGGGCTGAGCCCAGCAAACCTATAGGACCAGGCTGTCTGTGGCTCTGGAATTCAATCCCCACCCAGTGTGTCCTGGAATCTTAAAATTTAATGTGTACTTTTGGGGTCTGGGGCTTGTTTGGGGTCTGTTATTTCTTCTTGGCTATTTCTCCCTTTTGGAATAGAATTGTCTATCTTATGCCTGTTCCACCATTGTACTTTGAAAGCATGTAACTTGTTTTGATTTTACAGGCTCATAGCTGGAGGAAAATTTGTCTGAGGTTTTATTGTGCTTTGATTCTTAAGCGTATGTCATTTGGTGAGACTCTGGACTTTGGACTTTGAATTGGTGCTGGAGCTAGTTAAGACTTTGGGGCTATTGGGATGGAATTAACGTATTTTGTATGTGAAAAGGACATAAATTTGGGGGAATGGTGACAGAATGCTACGGTTTGAATGTGTCTCCTGGCATTCACATATTAGAAACTTAATCCCCAATGCAACAGTGTTGAGAGGTGGGATGTTTAAGAGGTGACTAGGTCATAAGGGCTCTGATGTCATGAGTGGATTAATGCCATTATCTTGAGAATGGATTAGTTCTTATGGGAGTGGATTCCAATAAAAGGATGGGTTCAGCACCCTTGCTGTTCTTTCTTATATGTTCTCTTGTGCTTCTGTCATGTTATAATGCAGCAAGATGTCCTTCAGAAGATGCTGGCCCCTCAATCTTGGACTTCACAGTCTTCAGAACTCAGGAAATAAATTGCTGTTCATTATAAATTACCCAGTCCAGGGGCCAGAAGCAGGAGCTGTAATCCCAGAACTTTGGGAGGCCAAGGCAGGAGAATCACTTGTGTCCAGGAGTTTGAGACCACCCTGGGCAAAATACCAAGACCACCCCCATCTCTACAATTAATCAATCAATAGCCCAGCCTTGGGTATTCAGTTATAACAGCAAAAAATAGACAAAGACTTTTATGCTTTTAATAAATTATGATAATTATAAGTGTCTCAAAACAGAGACAAGAGATATGAGTAGGGGAAAACTACGACACAATTTTTCTCTTTTAAGTTTAATTAATCTGAAAACAGAATGGATTTACTTTCCTAGTATCACTTCCTTATTGTTTCCCTCTTCTATATTTTCTTTTTCCACTCCTTCCTCAACTTTACAAAAGTTTTTCAGAGTCTTTTTATGATTCTCATCCACATTAATTAATTGCCTGCTGGGGAAAAAAGGTAGCATAGTATACGATATAGAATAATTTGTTTCTGCAGCAGTCACGATCTCTTAAGCCTAGCTAGCCTTGGCTCTCTTGTCTGTTGCATGAGAAGCATGAACCAGATGAGCCCAGTTGATCTTCTAGCTTTAACATTCCTTCTCTGGATATTATTCCTAAAAGTTTCAAGGCCCAGAACTTCAGAGGGTGCTATTTGCACTCTCTGAAAGATATTTATCTTCTATTGTATTCTCAGAATAGTAAAGCATGTTTGTTTTCCATGGTTGCCGTGTAGAAACACATTAAAGGAACATTTTTCATAGGCTTCATCCTGAAAAATCATCTCATATGGCTATGTAGAAACACATTAAAGGAACATTTTTAATAGGCTGCATTCTGAAAAATCATCTCATATGGCTATAAACTGGGTTCAATGTTCTTGCAATGCAGTCAATTTCAGTATGGTTGAAGAATTTCTACACATATTTATATGTGCATCATTTTTATCTAAGAAGATGCTCTCCTCCCAGGACATTTTGCAGATCACTAACCTTGTCAAATTGCAGAAAAGAATCACATTCTCTTCTAGCATATATGAAAATCTAAAAAGAAAAAGAAAACCCTTAATTATCAAGGAGCTATATATTTCTACCATTCTCCGGACTTAGCCGTGTTATATCACTTATTAAAAGAGTTGTATAACAATCTTTTTCCTTGACTTTCTTCTAGGGTTCCCAGATAAAATACAAACTTCTGAGTTAAATTCAAATTTCAGAAAAAGAACAGAAAAGTTTATAGTATATTCCAAATTCTACATAGACATATTGATATGGTTTGGCTGTGTCTCCATCCAAATCTCATCTTGAATTTCCACATGTCATAGGAGGGACCCAATGGGAGGTAACTGAATCATGAGGGCAAGTCTTTCCCATGCTGTTCTCATGATAGTGAATAAGTCTCATGAGATTTGATGATTTTATAAAGAGGAGTTCCCCTGCACGAACTCTCTCTTTGCCTGCTGCCACGCATGTAAGATGTGACTTGCTCCTCCTTGCCTTCCACCATGATTGTGAGGCCTCATTAGCCACATAGAACTGGTTATTAAACATATTTTTTTCCCAGCCTTGGGTATGTCTTTATCAGCAGTGTGAAAACAGACTAATACTGTAAATTGCTACCAGTAGAGTGGAGTGATGCTGAAAAGATACCCAAAAATGTGGAAGCAACTTTGGAACTGGATAACAGGCAGGGGTTAGAACAGTTTGGAAGGCTCAGAAGAAGACAGGAAAATGTGAGAAAGTTTGGAGCTCCCTAGAAGCTTGTTGAATGGCTTTCACCAAAATGCTGATAATGATATGGACAATGAAATCCAGGCTGAGGTGGTCTCAGATGGAGATGAGGAACTTGTTGGGAACTGGAGCAAAGGTGACTCTTGTTATGTTTTAGCAAATAGACTGGTGGCATTTTGCCCCTGCCCTATAGATTTGTGGAATTTTCAACTTGAGAGAGATATTTTAGGGCATCTGGCAGAAAAAAATTCTAATCAGCAAAGCATTATAGAGGTGACTTAGGTGCTGTTAAAGGCATTCAGTTTTCTAGGAGAAGCAGATCATAAAAGTTCAGAAAATTTGCAGCCTGACAATGTGATAGAACGTAAAATCCCATTTTCTGATGAGAAATTTAAGCCTGCTGCAGAAATGTGCATAAGTAACGAAGAGTCAAATGTTAATCCTCAAGACAATGGGAAAAATGTCTCCAGGGCATGTCAGAGGTCTTCATGGCAGTTTGTCCCATCACAGGCCTGGAGGCCTAGAAGGAAAAAGTAGTTTCGTGGGCCCAGTCCCAGGGTCCCTGTGCTGTGGAAAGTCTGGGGTCTTTGTGCCCTGTGTCCCAGCTGCTCTATCCGTGGCTGAAAGGGTACAACATAGAGCTTGGACCATGGCTTCAGAGGATACAAGTCCCAAGCCTTGGCGGCTTCCATGTGGTGTTGAGCCTGTGAGTGAACAGAAGTCAAGAACTGAGGTTTGGGAACCTCCACCTAGATTTCAGAAGATGTGTGGATGCACCTGGATGCCCACGCAGAAATTTGCTACAGGGGTGGGGCCCTCAAGGAGAACCTCTGCTAGGGCAGTGCAGAAGGGAAATGTGGGATCAGAACCCCCACACAGAGTCCCTACTGGGACGCCACCTAGCAGAGCTGTGAGAAGATGACACTCTCTTCCAGACCCAAGAATGGTAGACCCACCAACAGCTTGCACCATGCACCTGGAAAAGTGGCAGACATTCAACCCAAGCCTGTGAAGGCAGCCAGAGGGAGGCTGTACCTTGCAAAAAGCTGTACCACAGGGACAGAGCTGCCCAAGACCATGGGAACCCACTTCTTGCATCAGTGTGATTGG
This sequence comes from Homo sapiens, assembly GCF_000001405.40. Classification (NCBI taxonomy): domain Eukaryota; kingdom Metazoa; phylum Chordata; class Mammalia; order Primates; family Hominidae; genus Homo; species Homo sapiens. Next base: position 112,432,410 of record NC_000003.12, read on the forward strand.
ATGTGAGACATGGAGTCAAAGGAGAACATTTTGGAGCTTTAAGATTTGACTACCCTGCTGGATTTTGGACTTGCATGGGGCCTGTGGCCTCTTTGTTTTGCCCAATTTCTCCCATTTGAAATGGCTGTATTTACCCAATGCCTGTACCCCCTTTGTGTCTAAGAAGTAACTAACTTGCTTTTGATTTTACAGGTTCATGGGTGGAAGGGACTTGTCTTGGTTGAGACTTTGGACTGTGGACTTTTGAGTTAATGCTGAAATGAGTTTAAGACTTTGGGGGACTGTTGGGAAAGCATAATTGGTTTTGAAAGGTGAGGACGTGAGATTTGGGAGGGGCCGGGTTGGAATTATATGGTTTGGCTGTGTCCCTACCCAAATCTCATCTTGAATTCCCACATGTCATGAGAGGGACCCAGTGGAGGTAACTGAATCATGGAGGAAGTCTTTCCGTGCTGTTCTCACAATAGTGAATAAGTCTCATAAGATCTGATGATTTTATAAAGAGGAATTCCCCTGCACAAACTCTCTCTTTTCCTGCTGCCATCCATGTAAGATGTGACTTACTCCTCCTTGCCTTCTGCCATGATTGTGAAGCCTCTCCAGCCACGTGGAACTGTAAGTCCATTAAACCTATTTTTCTTCCCAGTCACAGGTATGTCTTTATCAGCAGCATGAAACAGACTAATATACATACTAAATATTTATTTATTTAACCTTAAGTTTACTTTTTTATTTTTTATTTTTTGAGACAGATTCTCACTTTGTTGCTTAGGCTGGAGCTAGCGGCATGATCTCAGTTCACTGCAACCTTTGCCTCCCAGGCTCAAGCAATTATCCTGCCTCAGCCTCCTTGAGTAGCTAGGAACTACAGACATACACCAACACACTCGGCTAATTTTTGTATTTGTAGTAGAGACGGGGTTTCACCATGTTAGTCAGACTAGTCTCAAACTCCTGACCTTAAGTGATTCACCCAACTTGGCCTCCCAAAGTGCTGGGATTACAGGCATGAGCCATTGTGCCTGGCCTTAATCTTAAGTTTAAATTTAACTGGGCATCCTGCATTTTTATTTGTTAAATCTGGCAGCCCTACTTTCTTCCCAACAAAATTCTTAAAGAAGAGCTACTATCTTGTTCACTTCTGTGTCCCCACTGTAAGCACAGTATCTTTACAGGCTATTCAATTTTTGCTGAACTAATTAATAAAAAATATGGACTAAACAAATATAATATGTGTAGTGTTTGCAAATATTATTTATAATTTAGTTGATAACATGAAAGTTAATTATTCAGCTGAGCTTAGTTTATGATTAGAACTAAGATTCACTCTAAGTTTATGATTAGAGTGGACTTGGTCATAAGACAATCATAAACCATAAGATGATCCCACACTAATTTTGAGTTTTTAATCATATGTGAGACAAATTACTCTGATGTCTAGTTCAAATACTTTATGAGGCCTTTAACCTCTAATAAACTGTTAAAATTAGGAATGGCTCCAATATACTAATTATACCACTTCTAAAAGAGGGAAAATACATGACTAACATAAGTAGGAGGGTTATGGAAACTCAACTGAACTGAGAATTTTTACTTTCTTTTGTAATATTTTCCCTTGACATCATGTACTAGTAGTCAAGGATATAATTTGGTTAATACACTGATAAAATGAAACCGTTTTCCATGGCAAATTTTAAATTAAAAACATTTCCATTCAGTAGCAAAAAAACATCTTGTAGAGATTTGACCATGAACTTCACATAAGCAAATACTACGTTAAAATCAAAAAAACAAAAAATCTAAAATTGCCTCTATGTATTATATTTTATTTTGTCTGTTCACTGATTTCTTTCTCTTTTCCCTCTTTTTTTAAAATTGATAAAATTTTGTTTTTAATCTTTTATTAAACTTTTGCTATCTGCAGTAGACCAGTGTTTTAAGGAATAGAAAAGCACATATCCATCTTTTTATGGAAGATGGTACACTTAATTTGCTCCCGAAGATCTGTGTCCATCAGCTGCTTTCCAAAACATGTTCTTGTACCAGTCCCCTCTGAGCCTCAGTTTACTCAACTGAAAGATGGAGGTCAGGACTTTTGCCTCAGATGGTGGTTGTAAGGACCAAATAAGAACATGTGTATCAAAATACAACTTTTGAGCATTACAGTAAATTTGTTTCCATGTATTATCAATATGGACATTGTGTTGGGAAGACAAAACATAGGTAGATAGGAAAGTTAAATCACTGGAATTCAAATTGGAAGCTTCCCTTAAAGCATTTATCTTGTAAATGGCCTGATTTCCCATGGCAGAGAATGACTGGTCCACTCAATTACATTTATTTCCAAATCTACAACCACGTTTTGAGGAGCTACTGTGGAAGAAACTAGAAATACTGAGATAAAAGAGTTATAGTTTTTGGCCAGACACAGTGGCTCATGCCTGTAATCCCAGCACTTTGAGAGGCTGAGGCGGGCGGATCACAAGATCAGGAGATCAAGACCATCCTGGCCAATATGGTGAAACCCCATCTCTACTAAAAATACAAAAATTAGCTGGGCGTGGTAGCATGTGCCTGTAGTCCCAGCTACTCAGGAGGCTGAGACAGGAGAACCACTTTAACCCAGGAGGCAGAGGTTGCAGTGAGCCGTGATCACACCACTGCACTCCAGCCTGGGCAAGAGAGTGAGACTCTATCTCAAAAAAAAAAAAAAGAGAGTTCTTGCCAGAAGTGGTAAGATAGATAGATAGATAGATAGATAGATAGATAGATAGATAGATAGATAGATGTGTTTGTATAAGAGTGTGAGTAAGCCATAGCTACACTTGAAAATAAGAATGCACCTTCTCTCTCTCTCTGTCTTTCTTTCTCTCTCTCTCCCTCAGAGGACCAGAACTGGGAAAAATCCTTAAAGGACAAAAGTCATAGGAATCAAATTGATTTTTTAAAAAGCCACAATCCAAAATCTGTACATGATTAAACTGTTAAAAATGTGAGATCTTATACAAAGAAACTTTATACCTGTAGATTGATGAGTAGAAGAGGCAATAAACATGGTGATTAGCAGGAACAGCCAAGCTGACCAACCCCTACCCTATTGACTAGTCATGCAATGGGAGTGATTGCTTACAATATGAGGAAGAGTAGATTAGAGAGAATGGAGAATGGACAATGTGCATGTGACTGTGATTTGTAAAAGAAATGAGGAGCAGCCATGCTCAGAAAAATACACACCGAGGTGCTATCCTGTCAGCATGCTGTACTTCCCACACACTTTCAATAAAATAATGCCCTCGTGGGCTGCACAAACACCTATGACACACAATCAAAAATAAAGTCTTCACTATGGGAATAATGAGATGTTTGAGGGAAGCCAACACATAGAGAAAGAGTAAAGTCAATAAACCCAAGAACCTACAGAGGGAAAAATAGAATTAATAGAGCAACCTGAGCAGAGCTTTTTTTTGCAGGGGGGTGGGGTTGGGGAGGAAGCACAATTAGCATTCTCAGAATAAGTAAAAAAAATACAAATTATTGATTGTGAAAATTAAAAATGTGGTTGTTGAAATGACAACCTTAAGAGATAGTCTAAAAAGTAGAGCAGACCCAACTGAAGGTTGATGTAGTAAGCTAGCAGAGTGAGACAAAGAATTGCCCTAGAATGCATACAAAGAGTCAAAGAGCGGGAACATATGAAATAAAACTTAAAAGACTTTGCAGACTAGACCCAGAATTTCGACAGCCATTTCATGGGAGTTCACAAAAGTAAGAGTAGACCAAACAAGGAGGAGATGATATTTAAAGAAATAATAGAAGAGAATTACCCTGAGCAGAGAAAGACATGAGTCCTGAAACTTAAAATTTCTACTAAAAGCCAAACAAGAAAAAATGTAAACACACTACCTATAGTGTTATTTCAGAACCCACAAAATTATGGGGAGAAATTCTAAGAGCTTTCATATAACAACAATAAAAATTACCTACAAATGAATAAGAATGAATTGACATCAATCTTCTCAGAAACTCTGAAGGCAATAGATAATGAAAAAATATCTTCAAATTTTCCAGAAAGCTACACTAGAATTTAATACTAGAATTCCAATCAAAGTCAAATTAGGAAGATAAAATAAAAATATACATGTAAAAATTTAGAATATTTATCACCAAAACTCTTTCTGTACGAATTTTCTGAAGATTCATACCAGAAAAAAAATTCCTGAAGTGGTTCAAGATGGCTGACTAGCAGCAGCTAGTGTGTGCCACTCTAACAGAGAGGAAACAAAGTAGCAAGTAAATACTGACTCTTTAAGTGGATCATCCAAGAATCCATGTCAGGATCCATCAAGGGAGAGAGAGGACACAAAGAGAACAGAAAATAGTGAAGCTGGGCATCTGCCCACCCAGGACTAGCAGGGAGCCAAGAGAAGCTTCCGAATACAGGGACAGGGTGAGGGAGTAAGAGCTCCCAGGGAATCCACACTTATCACAGGAACCTGTGCAATTCAGGAAATGGGAGAACACCCTTGACCCCCACCCTACCCTGGGCCTCTAGACTGATACAGAAAGTTGCCAGAGTTTTTGCAGAGGTACCACTCAAAACCATGGGGAGCTCCTTAGGCCTTAGACACCTGAACAACCTGGCACCAACAGCCGTAACACCAATAGAGGCCACAGTTGTGGTGTTGGGGAGCAGTCAGATTGCTTCACTCCTACCTGCCAGACAAGGCTTGACGACTCCTTCCACTACAGCAGACCCAGCCCTGCCTGAACTCTGCCAGTGGGCACAGCTCTGTGTCCCCCCAGGAAACACTCAGGTGATGAATTGGGAGATTTCTCTGACCCACACTGCTGCTAGCCAGATGGGACTCACCAGCTTGGGCTTCCAGCACAGCAGCCCCTCTCCTGCCTGAACTCTGCAGGTGGGCAAAGCCCCGTGTTCCCCTAGAAAGCATGCAGATGGTGGTCCATGCCACTCCACCCACCCCCACTGCCTCTAGCCAGACAAGGCTCACTGGCTTTGGCAGTGCCCAAGCAGGAGAGGTGCCCTACTCCCAGAACACTTTGAGGGATGAGATACTCAGGTTCTTGGGCTGACGGGAATGAGTTGTGCCTCCTTCTACAGGGCCGATCCAGGAAGGGTGTGACCTGAATGCCAGCCACAGCCAGTACGTGAGGAAACCCTGCTGCCCAGAGTGCCTAACAAAGGAAATATGAATGCGGTGCCAGTAATCAAAGGGGGCTTCTCCAAGGCCCTGGAGCAGACCTTGTTGGGGGGTCACCTATCTTTCTCACTGCCATCACAGAGTACTACTGTGAATGTGCTGAAATACACAGAGAGCTGTATGGCTAAGAGCCTATCTGCTGGCCAACACCCTGAAGCTCCATCTACTGGTTCACACTCCAAATTACAACACCAAAAATATTTTGCCAGTATACAAAGCCTGTCAGACCCTAGGCAAAAATCCAGCCACAATTAAAGATCCTACACAGAGCCTTGACCCTCTGAAAGCACCCAGAAACAAAGACAGATGATGATGCTCATTTGGCGCCACAGTTAAAGGAAGACCAGCCTTCTCAATGAGAAAGAATAGGCAAAGAATTCTGGCAATTTAAAAAACAGAGTGTCCCCTGACCTCCAAATGAACAGACTATCCCCTCAGCCAGCTAACAACCACATAACAGCATGATGACAGGGTCAAAATCTTACATACCAATTCTAACCCTGAATGTAAATGGTCTAAATGCCCCACTTAAAAAGCATAGAGTGGGCCAGGCGCAGTGGCTCAAGCCTGTAATCTCAGCACTTTGGGAGGCCGAGGCGGGCAGATCACGAGGTCAGGAGATCGAGACCATCCTGATTAACATGGTGAAACCCCATCTCTACTAAAAATACAAAAAAATTAGCCAGGCGTGGTGGCGGGCACCTGTAGTCCCAGCTACTCAGGAGGCTGAGGCAGGAGAATGGCGTGAACCCGGGAGGCGGAGCTTGCAGTGAGTGGAGATCGCGCCACTGGACTCCAGCCTGGGCGACAGAGCGAGACTCCGTCTCAAAAAAAAAAAAAAAAAAGGCATACAGTGACAAGCTGGATAAAAAGACAAGATCTAATTCTCTGCTATCTTTAAGAGGCTCATCTCACATGTAATAACTGACACAGCCTCAAAGTAAAGGGATGGAGAAAGATCTACCATACAAATTAAAAACAAGGAATGGCAGGAGTCACTATTCTTATACTAGATAAACAGATTTTAAGTTAACAACAAGCAGAAAGAACAGAGAAGGATATTACATGATGATAAAGGGATCAATTCAACAAGACCTAACCATCCTAATTATATATGCACCCAACATTAAGGCACTCAGATTCGTAAAACCAAGTTCTTCTTGACATACAAAAAGATTTAGACAGCCACAGAAAAATAGTGGGGACTTTTAACACCCCACTGACAGCATTGGACAGATGATTGAGGCAGAAAACTAACAAACAAATTCTGGACTTAAACTCAACACTTGACCAACTAGACCTATAGACAGCTACAGAATATTCCGCCCAACAGCCACAGAATATACATTCTTCTCATTCACACACAAGACATATTCTGAGATCAAACACACGCTCAGTCATAAAGCAAGTCTCAATAAATTCAAAATCATAGAAATTATACCAAGCACATTCTCAGACTACAATGCAATAAAAATAGAAACCAATACCATGATCTCTCAAAGCTACACAACAACATGTAAATTAAACAACTTGTTCCTGGCTGGGTGCGGTGGCTCACACCTGTAATCCCAGCACTTTGGGAGGCCGAGGCAGTCAGATCACAAGGTCAGGAGATCGAGACCATCCTGGCTAACATGGTGAAACCTGTCTCTACTAAAAATACAAAAAATTAGCTAGGCATGGTGGCACGTGCCTGTAGTCTCAGCTAATTGGGAGGCCAAGACAGGAGAATCGCTTGAACTTGGGAGGCAGAGGTTGCAGTGAGCTGAGATGGCGCCACTCTACTCCAGCCTGGGTGACAGAGCGAGACTCTGTCCCCCCAAAAAAGAAAAAAACAACTTGTTCCTAAATAACTCTTGGGTGAACAACAAAATTAGGGCAGAAATCAAAACAATTCTTTAGAATTAATGAAAACAGAGATACAACTTACTTAAATATTTGAGATACAGCTAAATACAGTGTTAGGAGGAAAGTTTATATCACTGAATGCCTTCATCAAGAAGTTAGAAAGACCTCAAATTAAAGAACATCATACCTAGAGGAACTAGAAAAAAATAGAACAAACCAACCCCAAAGCTATTAGAAGAAAACAAAACAACTAAAAGCAGAGATGAACTGAATGAAATTGAGATGTGAAAGCCCATAGAAAAGTTTAATGAAACCAAGTGTTGGTTTTTTCAAAAAATAAATGGGATTAATAGACCACTAGCTAGACTAACAAAGAAAAAAAAAGAGAAGAGCCAAGTAAGTGCAATAAGAAATGGCAAAGGTGACATTACAACTGACTGCATAGAAAAACAAATGATGCTTAGAGACTATTATGAACACCTCTATGCACACAAATTAGAAAATCTAGAGGAAATGGGTACACTCATGGGAACACACAACCTCACAATATTGAACCAGAAAGAAAGTGAAACATGAACAAACCAATAAGAACCTCTGAAATTGAATCAGTAATAAAAATCCTACTGAGCAAAGAAAGCCCTAGGCCAGACAGATTTACAGCTGAATTCTACCAGATGTACAAAGAAGTGGTACCAATTCTACTGAAACTAGTCCAAAAAATTGAGAAGGAGCTCCTGACCCTAATTCCTTTTCTGAAGCCAACATCATTCCGATACCAAAATCTGGCAGAGATACAATAAAAAAAGAAAACTTTAGACCAATAAACCTAATGAACATAGATTTTTAAAAATGCTCAACAAAATACTAACAAATTGAATCCAGCAGCATATCAAAAAGCTTATTCATCACTATCAAGTAGGCTTTATTCCTGGGATGCAAGGTTGGTTTAACATATGCAAATCAATGAATGTGATTGACCACATAAACAGAATTAAAAGGAAAAAAGCATATGATTATCTCAATAGATGCAGAGAAAGCTTTCGGTAATTCAAACTTCCCTTCATATAAAAACTCTCAACAGACTAGGCATCAAAGGAACGTACCTCAAATTAATAAGAACCATCTATGAAAAACCCACAGCCAACACCATGCTGAACAGGAAAAGCTGGAAGCATTCCACTTGAAAACTGGAGCAAGACAAGGATGCCCTCCTATTCAACAAGTACTGGAAGTCCTAGCCAGAGCAATCAAGAAAGAACAAGAAATAAAAGACATCCAAATAGGAAAATAACAAGTCAATCTATCTCTCTTCACTAATAACATTATTCTATACTTAGGAAACCCTAAAGACTCTGCCAAAAATTTCCTAGAACTGAAAATTTAGCAAGGTTTCAGGATACAAAATCAATGTACAAAAAATCAGTAGCATTTCTATACACCAATAATATTCAGGCTGAGAGCCAAATTGAGAATGCAATCTCATTCACAAAAGCCACAAAGGAAACGAAATACCAAGGAATATAGTTAATCAAGGAGTTGAAAGATTTTTTACAAGGAGAACTATAAAACACTGCTGAAAGAAATTAGAGATGAAAAAAACACATGGGGAAAGTTTCCATGCTCTTAGATTGGAAGAATCAATATTATTAAAATGGCCATTCTGCCCAAAGCCATTTACAGATTCAATGCTATTTCTATCAAATAACCAGTGTCATTCTTCACAGAATTAGAAAAACCTATTATAAAATTCATAGGAAACCAATAAAGAGCCTGAATAGCCAAAGAAATCTTAAGCAAAAAGGGCAAAGCTGAAAGCATCACAACATCAAATTATACTACAAAAGTACAGCAACCAAAAACACCATGGTAGTGGTACAAAAACCGACACGTAGACCAGTGGAACAGAATAGAAAACTCGGAAATAAAGCTGCACACCTACAACAGTCTGATCTTCAACAAGGTAGACAAAAACAAGCAATGGGGAAAGGATTCCCTATTCAATAAATGGTGTTAACTGGCTAGCTATATGCAGAAGAATAATACTGGACCCTTACCTTTCACCATATACAAAATTAACTCAAGATGCATTAAGTGTTGAAATATAAAACCTTAATCTATAAAAATCCTAGAAAAAAATACTAGGAAATACTCTTCTCAATATCAGCCTGGGCAAATAATTTTTGACTAAGTCCTCGAAAGCATTTGCAACAAAACCAAAAATTGACAAGTGGAACCTAATTAAAGAGTTTCTGCAGAGCAAAAGAAGCTATCAACAGAGTAAACAGACAACCTACAAAGTGGGAGAAAATATTCATAAAGTATGCATCTGATAAAGGTCTAATATCCAGAATTTCTAAGGAGCTTAAACAAATCAACAAGCAAAAATAAGCCTCATTAAAAAATTGGCAAAGGACATGAAGAGACACTCCTCAAAGGAAGACATACAAGTGGCCAACAAACATGAAAAACTGTCATCAGCACCAATCATTAGAGAAGTGAAAATTAAAACCATGAGATACCATCTCACACCAGTCAGAATGGCTTTATTAAAGTCAAAAAACAACAGATGTTGGTGGGGCTGCAGAGAAAAGGGAATGCTTATAGACTATTGGTGGGAATGTAAATTAGTTCAGACACTGTGGAAAGCAATTTGGAGATTTCTCAAAGAAGTTAAAACAGAGCTACCATTATACCCAGCAATCCCATTACTGGGTATATACCCAAAGGAAAATGTATCATTATACCAAAAAGACAGAGGTACTTATATGTTCGTCATCATGCTATTCACAATAGCAAATACCTGCAGTCAACCTAGGTCCCCATCAATGGTGGACTGGATAAAGAAAACGTGGTTCATATACACCACAGAACACAGCCATAAAAAAGAATGAAATCATGTACTTTGCGGCAACATAGATAGAGTTGGAGGTCATAATTCAAAGCAAATTAATGCAGGAGCAGAAAACCAAAGACTGCATGTTCATAAGTGGGAGCTAAACATTGAGTATACATGGGATATGAACATGGGAACAATAGACACGATGGACTACTAGAGGGCAGAGAGAGGGAGGGGGGCATGTGTTAAAAAACTACATGTGGGGTACTATCCTTCCTATATTTTAGATATAGTTGGTACATATGCAGGCTTGTTACATGGGTGCAGTATACCCACGTAATATACATTTTTAAATGCATCAATTTTCTTGTTTTGTTTAATTGGAGGATGTAGCTACTAATTAGACATTTTTAGAAAAAATATACATTTAATTACATAGGCCAAAAAGTTAATTTTATAGGACAGAATGAGAATACAAAACATGTATATAAGTTGAGGGGAATAGAAAAAAGGCAAAAAAAAGGGAAAAAACAAAACATGCTAAATATGAAGTATGAGATAAGAAATAAGTTCAGTGAAATAAACATTAAAAATGAATGAGTTATATAGCTTCAAGACAGAAACTCATTTTTTAAAGACCCAGGTATGTACTAGTTCATATTTATGGTGAAAAAAATAAAAACTACAGTTGTCTCTGGGGATATGGAATATTGGCTGGGAGGGGACATAAGGAAATTTATGGAGTGAGAGTAGTGGTTCATATCTCAATATGAGATTCATTTACCCAGGTATATGCATTTTTCTACTCAACAAATGCACCTTTTATTGCATGCAATTTTATATTTAAAAGCTCTAAAAAGTGTTACATTTAGTTAATGTTGACAACGTGAAACTATTTAACTGGAAGAATATTTTTGATGGATAAATTGATATTTACAAATTACCTTGAAATATATCAGTAAAATAAATTGACTGTTGGATGGATAGATATGTGATAATGCAAGTATAGTTTAAGGTTAATGACAATATATGTTGTAAGCAGCAATATTCAGATAGCCAAAAAGTAGAAACAATTCAAATGTCCATCTACTAATGAATGAACAAAATATGGTAGATCCATACAATAGAATATTATTCATTCATTAAGAGGAAAGAAGACTGATATGTGCTACAGCACAGATAAACCTTGAAAACGTTATGTTAAGTGAAAGAAGCTAGACTAAAAGGTCATATCTTGTATGATTTCATTTATATGAAATGTCCAGAATAGGCTAATCTGTAGAGACATAAAGCAGATTGTACTCAAAGCAAATTATTGGCTGAGGCTTTTAGAATCGCCAATAGAGATGTTTTTAATAGTATTGAGGTCTGGGATAGATAGATAACCCTCTTCTTTTCCCTTTTAAGTTGGGCAGTTAGAATTAGACTCATAGCTCGACTGATAAAAATCAAAAGGTCAGCCGGGCGCGGTGGCTCACGCCTGTAATCCCAGCACTTTGGGAGGCGGAGGCGGGCAGATCACGAGGCCAGGAGATAGCGACCATCCTGGCTAACACCGTGAAACCCTGTCTCTACTAAAAATACAAAAAATTAGCCGGGCGTGGTGGCGGGCACCTGTAGTCCCAGCTACTTGGGAGGCTGAGGCAGGAGAATGGCCTGAACCCGGGAGGCGGAGCTGGCAGTGAGCCGAGATCGCGCCACTGCACTCCAGCCTGGGCGACAGAGCGAGACTCTGTCTCAAAAAAAAAAAAAAAAAAAAAAAAATCAAAAGGTTAATTTATTACAATCAAAAGCTAGATTGGAGCATGTAGCTTAAATACAGAGCCACAATGAATTTTCTAATACTTTATGTAGAATTAAACTGAGATCCTCCTATATTGTCTCACAGACATGTGCACACAGAGAGAGAGAAGGGGGCAAGGTCTGCTCCACTACCACCAGGAATAGGAGAGCAGACCAGAATGATCCTGTCACAGATCCAAAGTGAGAGCAAACCCAGAAGTTTGATTCCATGTCACAACTTCACTGGGCAGTTGTATCACTTCTCTTCCCCTTTGGTGAGAAAGGAGTAGAGAATTATAATTATTTTTCACGTAATATTCAATGTTGAATGGAGTGGAGTGAAAATTCATTTTCATTTTCAGGCACATTAATAATCAGAGATTATGTGTTTCTCCCATTGTATATCTGTCCAAAATGATTTCTTATAATCATGTATATGTGCATAGAATTTTGCAGTTTACAAGAGATTTTCTCATAATTATCTTATTTGACCCTCACGGGGTCCTTCTGGGATGTAGCAAGCTGCGGGGCTTAAAACAGGAATCCTGGAAGTAACTATGAACCTTGTAATTCTAAAATCTACATAAAGGTTCCCATGACACTATTGTTATAGGATTTTTTGATTATAATACATGTCTCATTTGCCATAACATTTCAGACCCATTTTACTTTATTTTAGGACACAATGGTCCCTAAATAATGAGAGGTATCAAAAGGCAGAAAATGAAAAATAAGTGAAATTAGATAAGCATAAACAACCAAATGAATCGTTTCCATCCTCAACATTCTCCTTGTCCATTAGCATCACTTACCTTGTTCAAAACCTGAAGAGTCCTCCTTTATTTCTCCCTCTTCCTAGTCCCACAAATCTAGCGGCCAAGTTCTAACGAGTGTACCTACATATCACTCATATATTACCTCCTTTTCAATACCCATCACTGCATCCCCTCTCCCCACACAAAAGTCTGTTAACTGGTTTCCCTAACTCCAGTTCTGCATGTTCCTCGTCCATCATCTATGCTACAGATAAAATGACCTTTCAAAAATATACATCTGATCACCACCCCTTCCCACCCCGGTGGAAGATGCTGTCAATGGGGCAAAACCACAGCTATTTTCAACTCTTTTTTCTTAATGCTACTAACTAAAGAATGTAGTTGTGTTCTCACAACTCCCTTGCACCTAGTAACAACTATAGTGCTCATTTTGGGCCACAAGCTATAAGAAATTCTGTTGAGTGGCTTCTGAGAAAGTTTTACTTTTTAAATAAAAGAATCCATGTGCTAAACCTTCCTAACACGAGCCAGTGCTAGTTCTGAAAGAGATAGCTAAGCGTATTATTCTTTTGCTCTGAAACACTCTAATGGAAATAGCATGATTGCATTTCTCCCTGGGATTGCAATCCGTTTGCAAGTGCCCTTTCCTTCCACTATGATCTCTCATTGTTTCCAATTATTGCCTTTTAACACACACATTTCCCCCTACCATAGCTAATTTTTTTTCTCAGTAGGTGTACCATTTACCCACATAGTTGGTAATAACAGAAGCTATGCTAATATTAGCTATGCTAATATTTCTCTTTGGCCCCACAACCAGGGAGACTTCATAGTATTTGAAAGGTAAAGAAAAATAGGTTTAGTCCTGCCTCTTGGTAACAGAATCACATTTATAGTTACCCAAATTTGGCTACATGGGATAAAGTTATGATCCAGCCAAAAATACCTGTAAAATTATATATTGTCAAGATAAATGGCATATTGTGTCTTATTCATTTATATCACCTTTCTTGGGCACATGTAAATTTCAACCCAGGCCTGGTATCCGTAGATAAGGCAAAATGAAAAAATTTTGTGAAGTGAGAAATTTACAAAGTTGTGTAATTTCATTTCTCCCACCCCTCCTTCTCACATCCAGATCTTTTGGAATAGTTCCAGTGAAGTCTTCACTTTATTTCCTGTAATATTCAATCATTTGAATGAATAACTCTGAAAATATTTTTTCAATGCCTGTTGAGAAACAAAGGATTCAAATCCCATTTCAATTTTTCAGTGAAATCACTGCTCTGAGCATGAAAGAGAATGTGGTATAACGATGTAACATTATTTTTCTTTCTTGAGATGGAGTTTCACTCTTATTGCCCAGGCTGGAGATGTTCACTTCTATACATTGGTAGAAGAAAAGCATGTACCTTAATCAAAAGAAATATATTTAAGTGGGCAAAATTGATGGATACTTTGCTTTTCTGGAACCTTGCAAAGTATTCTCAGAGGTTGCTTCTCTTACCAGACAAGCAAACCCATTGTAGTACTCTCTCAATCCAATTAAAGCCTATCTGTGGTCTCCTGGGAATACCAGTAATGAAAGAATGGAATCCACTTGCCAGCTTTGTACTTGCCTCTGTCCTCAAGTAACCTTACTCAAACCATTCCAAGAGATTTCTGTTTTTGTAGATGAAGCTACAGTTTCTTATTGCATTAGTCAGGTAGGGGTGCACTGGAGCATAAATTGCACAACAGAGATGGTTCCTCCTTGACGCAAAGCATTGGTCTATCATACCTTAGCATCAGTTAGTCAGTCATTAGCTGTAGGCTGTGGTGGGAGAGTAGATCTTAAATATCTTTTTACTTTATTCCCAGTATAGGGCCAGAACACTTATGTTGCATGAACATCTGGTGGCCATCATCTGAGAGCTATTCTCCAGGAAAGTACGTGGGTAGACACCTGTGATCCATTAGCTGCCAGCACTTACAACAGCTTGGGGATGGGTGTAATTGCTGATAAGAGTGATTTGGGAGGGGCACCAACATCATCTCATATACCTGCTATATCCCACCTATAATCTCACACACACACATAATTGGTTTGAGAACTCTAACTAAAAATGTATTAAAGAGGAGGCTGAAAAATAGGTTAGAAATATTATTGATAAAGCAGTAGACGTATAGTATGAAGGAAGTTGATGGTGTGTATTGTAAGAGGAAATAATTGCCTACTATCTGGGTCAATTCAGAAAGATAGACACAAACAGATTTAGTAAGGGTAAGCATACTGATAAGCATGAGTGCTCACCAGTTAGAAAAGAATTTTTAAAACTCTGGTGGCAGAAAAATTGTTGCAAGACATTTATATAATTTGAACTTTTACCAGCCGTTCCTTTTGAATAATTATTACCTGCGCCTGATCAGAAATGGACTTGGATATAAAACTTGGGGCCAGCACTTCTTTGTTTCTGTATAAAGATGAAAAAACTAGGCTGCAACATACACATTTGTAATACGTTTTCCATCACTGCACCTGGAATGGTCTTATACTAATTTGTCTCCATATTTCTCCTCCTCTCTTGGTCTCTAACCTCACTGAAGGTAGAGGGTGGATCTTAAATATCTTTTTACTTTATTCCCAGTAAAGGGCCAGAACACTTATGTTGCATGAATGAAGAAATGAAAGGAATACTAAGAAAATGGTCTAAGGAGCTACAATCTCATCTGGAAAAGTCACCACTTCAGTGGTAAAAGAATAAGATACTTTCGGGTATCTACCCATTATAGTTCATGGAGGCAGTTTTAGGCTTCAGGTTTGTTTGGCTCACCCATTTTCACTCCCTCAGGGTTATTAGAGTGAAGTTAAGTTCTAATTACGGCTTGATTCTTAAATGCCAAGGGAAAAGAGTAAGATCAGGAAATAAAAAGTCAATAAGAATTTCCAGCTCAGGCAAAAATAGATTCTTTAGGAAAACAAACAATATTTAACTTATTCTTTGACTGAAAGATTGAGAAGTTGAGTATAAACCTATTCATGTAATGATGACAGAATAGGTTTTAGAGTTATTGACACTGTATTATACTTGAGTAGAACCTAAGAGATCAGAAATTCTAATCTTCCAAATTCAGAAATTATGTAATAATATTGGGTGTTTTTTTTTTTTTAACAATAAACTTTGGTTTTCCTTAGGCAAAGCAGGAGCTTCCTTTAAATGCCAAGGTGATTTGGGCCAGTTATGCAGAATTTGCCTGTATTAGTTAGGGTTCTCCAGAGAAACAGAACCAATAGGAGGGGGAGAGAGAAAGACAGGTTTTTTTTGTTTTTGTTTTTTGGTTTTTTGGGTTTTTTTGAGATAGAATCTCGCTCTGTTGCCCAGGCCGGAATGCAGTGGCATGATCTCAGCTCACTGAAACCTCTGCCTCCCGGGTTCAAGCAATTCTCCTGTCTCAGCCTCCTGAGTAGGTGGGACTACAGGCGCCCATCACCACACCTGGCTAATTTTTGTATTTTTAGTAGAGATGGCATTTCACCATATTGGCCAGGCTGGTCTTGAACCCCTAACCTTGTGATCTGCCCGCCTCAGCCCCCCAAAGTGCTGGGATTACAGGTGTGAACCACTGCACCTGGCTGAGAAAGAGAGATTTTTAAGTAATAGGCTCATATGATTATGGAGGCTAGCAAATCCAAAATCTGCAGGGTAAGCCAACAGGCTGGAAACCCAGGGAAGAGTTGCAGTATGAGCCCACAGCAGTCTGCTGGCAGAATTTCTTCTTCCCAAAGGAAGATCAGTTTTTTTTAAGGTCTTCAGCTGACTGGATGAGGCACATCCACATCATGTAGGATAATCTGCTTTACTTCAAGCCTACTGATTAAATGTGAATCTCACCTTAAAAATACCCACACAGAAACTTCTAGAATGATGTTTGACCAAATAACTGGGTACCATGGTTTAGCTAAGTTGACACATAAAATTAATCATCAATTGGCCCAATCCTTTGCAAACCTAACAAGTATTCTGCTCCATTTGTCCCTCATAATTCACAGTATAATTTCTCCTACTCTGAGTCTTGTGCATTCATTCACTAGTTCATCATTTAATTCTTATCCCTAATTTTTCCTGGTGGCTTCTGCATATTTTAAATATCAACCACATCCTCCTCTGAATTAGTTGAGAAGTAAAACTTTCTGTGCTTTTTTTTCCCCTCAATAGGGACTTTTATTCATACTTCCTTTCAAGACTTGAGAGTAAGATCACAGCAATGAAGGAGAATAATAATGAATGAGCAGTTACCCAGTAATCTGGCATTGCAAGCAAATAAGTTATTCATAAGATAAAAGCTCACATCACAGGTTACCACACATTACTAACCAAGAGAGATATTCAAGCAATGCTTCGAAAGATAATTTCAATGTTTTCTCCATTCTAAGAGTTTGGCTTAGGAGTTTGTAGGATTTTTTTAAAGGCATAATATAAAGAAAATAAATTTCTTAGGATAATATGTTTCTATTTCACTGAACAGTCCACGCAGACCAGACAAATCATCAACTGTGAATATGCTCAGCGCATTCTTGTTACATTACTTTGGTCATTCTCCCCACTGACTTGAACTTTCATTTGCCAATTCCAACCCCTCCATCAAGGCATTAAAATAAAAAGGAAGAAAGAAAAAAATGCAAAACTTTATATGAGACTATCTTTATCAACTGAGACTCTACATCAAATTCATTCCATATAGTTGATGTTGCCAAAGATAAACAAAGCCAGATACCAGTTAAGGTGGTAAACTTTTTAAACCACCTTAGAAAACTGGCAAGATCTGTTAAAGCTGAATATATGCATAACCAATAATCCAGCAATTATATTTGGAGGTATATACCTAACAGAAATGTAAACAAATATGCATCAAAAAATGTGCAAGTTTACTTATTGTAATATTATTTATAACAGCCCCAAACTGGAAACAAACCAAATTTTCATCAACAAAAGAAACCACACTTAAATTGTGAGATATTTATGCATTGGATTACTATACTACAGAAGAGCTAATTATTGCTATAAGCAAAAACATGGATGAATACCAACATATAAACATATAATGTGTGTCTTAATCCATATTCAAGCTGCTGATAAAGACACACCCGAGACTGGGAAGAAAAAGAGGTTTAATTGGACTTATGGTTCCACATGGCTGGGGAGGCCTCAGAATCATGGCGGGATGTGAAAGGCACCTCTTACATGGTGGCAGCAAGAGAAAATGAGGAAAAGCAAAAGCAGAAACTCCTAATAAACCCATCAGATCTCATGAAATTTTTCAATGTCATGAGAATAGCATGGGAAAGACCAGTCCCCATGATTCAATTACCTCCCCCTGGGTCCCTCCCACAACATGTGGGAATTCTGGGAGATACAATTCAAGTTGAGATTTGGGTGGAGACACAGCCAAACCATATCAATGTGGAATCTCTCAGATACTGGGAGACAGTTCTCCATGAGGCTCTCACTTTCTGCATACCTTGTAAAGCAAAACATTAAATACTTTGTTTCAGATTCTTTTCCAGGATATTTGTATAGCAAACAACGTTGGAAGATAAAGATAGTGTCTCCCTTCAGAGCAAAGGAAGGCATGCTTACTACCCTTTATAAAAGATTTAGGTTCCCTATGTTTGGAGTTTTCTCCTGTAATGTAACCCACCATTTGAAAAGGCATTTATCTGAACCCATCTGTATCACCCCACGGGACTTGAGGGGCAAGGCAAACTGGCACAACTGTGCTGATGGTTATGTTACTTGCTGGGCTGTGAGGAATGATGTCCTTTGTCTCAGTCCCAGGAGTCTCATGTCTTCTACCAGCATTCATGAAATTATGAGACCCCAGTTTGTCAGCTTACAAGCAGGGTAAAAATCTCAGACCTTTAGGGGTTCTTGATTTTAAACTCAAAAATTACATACTATATGATTCTATTTATGTCAAGTCCAAAAGCATTAAAACTAACATATGATGTTAGAAGTCAAGATAGTTTCCTTGGGGAGCAGGGATGTGGCTTTAAGGAGGCATTGGGGAGTTCTGGTCTTCTAGTTGCTAATCTGGAAGAGTACTGATTACATAGGTTATCCCATTCAAATTCAACAATCTGTGCACCTGTTATTTGTGATTTTTCTCTATAAATATTTATTTCCATAAAATTTCTAATTAAAAATTTTTTAAAGCAGAAGAAGAGTTGGTGACCAGAATACCACAGATTGCCAAATTAACTAATTAAAAAACATGTGCAACTAATTATTTAGAATTCAAAATAGAAAGGATAAAGAACTGAACAACTAAAAGGTTAAAAAAAATGGAGGAAAGATCCAAGAGGAAAAGTATGCTTTTAGTTGAGATTCCAGATGTAGACAAGAGTCAAGAAATTGACATGTTTAGATATATGCTGTTTGAAATTCAGAATTGCAAAGATAATAAGTGATTTCTACATAGGAAGAACAAAAACAGAAACAAAACAACAGGGTACCTAAGATGAAATATATATATCTCTTATTTAGAACAGACTTTATGATGCTCAATTGCAGAACTAAATAAAACTAGCTACAACATTTTGAAAGAGAGAGAAAAAAGTTACCTTATCATGTATATGTGAAGACAATGGAAGTATATTCTCAGATGTAAATGTACTCAAAAGATACATGACTCACTTAACTCACTGGAAACAAAGTAGGGGAACAAATACTCCAGCTGCCTGATAAAGGAATCTAAATCAATATCCAAGAGTAGGAAGACATGGTGCAGAAGAGAAACAGCAAACCATAAAAACAACCCTCAGTACTCTTAATATAGTTATATATTACTCAGAGATGCATACTCATAGTTAAGCCTTATATTTGACAAATATGTACAGTTTCTCTTAATTTATTTTATTCTTTCTTTTTAACAAAATTGCATGTTCCTACAAGGCAGAAACCATGGTTTATATGACTTTTCTGTCCTTCCTTGGGCCTGTTGTAGGATCAAAGACATGAAATATAGGAATTGGAGAGAACCAAATAGCCACCCAAGTGCTTGGAGAGAACCAAGTAACGATACCAAGCCCCAGTATGGCATGTAAATTTTGTCTTGAAGACAAACTCGTCAACAGAAGTGGCTTTTTGGAATGTCATATAGATTGATGTAACTGAGTGTCATGGGCATGATAGGAAGGTTATCTCTACAACTAGTTTTTGTAAACCTTCATTTTTCATCTGAAAAGTTGGTACCCCAGAGAGGATGAGGTAAATGCCTTATTTGCAAACTATTCAATCTCTCCCCCGTGCTTATTAAATATGTTCCATATTTGTCAGCATGACAGTTAAGACCCAGTGTAGTCTTCCTAGGGCTAGGGATATGGGAAGATCCAATAATATCTTTTTTCAGGTATAATTATTTTCAGACGTAAGGAATTCATTTCTTTTCTTAATTTTCTCCAGAGGCCATTCCAGGTACTTCATTTCTCTGGAAGTTACAGGCATAACCCACACTTGATACCTTGAATCATTTCTCTCTAACACACATGCAGATGCATGGGTTAGGTTTGTGAGAACATAAGCCTGTAGATTAAAATGGGGACTAAGAAATTAAGAGGAAACAAAGCTTAAGCCAAAAGGCTCTCTAGACCAGATCAAGACAGAATCTAGTCTGGAATGTCTATTCGGTCAAACTTTAAGTAAATGATCAAAAGTAATTCTATAGGTAAGCTTTAAAAGTTGAGATCGTGGACATGTCAAGTAGAAATAGGAACTCAGTTATGGAAGACCATAGAATAAGTATAGAAATTCCATACCCTTGGTACTAGGAAATAAGGATAGATTGTATTGAAAAATTAGTTAAGGCCAGGCACAGTGGCTCATGCCTATAATCCCCACACTTTGGGAGGACGAAGCGGGCAGATCATGAGGTCAAGAGATCGAGACCATCCTGACCAACATGGTGAAACCCCGTCTCTACTAAAAATACAAAAATTAGCTGGGCCTGGTGTATGCCCCTGTTGTCCCAGCTACTCGGGAGGCAGAGGGAGGAGAATCGCTTGAACCCTGGAGGTGGAGGTTGTAGTGAGCCAAGATTGCACCACTGCACTCCAGCCTGGGCCACAGATTGAGACTTTGCCTCAAACAAAAACAAAAAAAAAAGAAAGAAAAAGAAAAATTAGTTAAACCAGATTATACCTAAATGTAAGAATAAATAATGTCAATTTAATGGAAATTGTTGATTCAGTGGATTTCTATATAAAATAACATTTATTTAAAAATAAATATTTGTGGTGTTTCCAGTATGTATCAGGCATTATTTTGGAAATGAATACATATACATGAAGAATACAATCCCTGACTTCAAGGGATAAGTGAATGAAAGGGTCAGATTACTTTCAGAACACAAAGAAATAATCATAATCCATAATTGTGAGGAAACACAGAATGGGGTAGAAATAATTCTGCTGGAGAACCTATGGAAGAATTTATAAAAAAAAGTGACACTTGAATTAAATCTTAAATGAGTGGGAATTGTCCAGGATGCAAAATGATGGTGGAAAACATGCAGTCAACAAATGGAAGAGAATGCATGTTCAAAGCTACAGAGGTATAAAATATTATGGGAACATAAAGAGCTTACAGGCTGTGAATTAGCAGGAAGCCTATGGAGAAGAGTATCTTCTTGTTTCCCCTATGCACATGCTGGAAAAGTAGAACTCAACACCAATTTTACAGTGCTATGATTATAAAGACTTAATTTTAAAGACATGCTGAATGCAGTGTGAAAGCAAGCATTACTGTATTCAGGATTTGACTGAAATATCAGTGACCAAACTATTGTATAGAAAGACAATCAAGCTGGGCGCGGTGGCTCACCCCTGTAATCCCAGCACTTTGGGAGGCCGAGGCAGGCGGATCACGAGGTCAGGAGGTCGAGACCATCCTGGCTAACACGGTGAAACCCTATCTCTACAAAAAAACCAAAAAAAACAAAAAAATTAGCCAGGCATGGTGGCAGGTGCCTGTAGTCCTAGCTACTCGGGAGGCTGAGGCAGGAGAATGGCATGAACCCGAGAGGCCGAGCTTGCAGTGAGCCAAGATCGCGCCACTGCGCTCCAGCCTGGGTGACAGAGCAAGACTCCGTCTCAAAAAAAAAAAAAAAAAAAACAGACAATCAAATGGTGATCCCCATTTATGTGCTTGCTATCTCTGCAAAGATGCAAAGATTCAGGGACTCTAAGGCTAAGATGATTTATGTTTTCTGTTCTTAGATACTGGCTATGCTTTTCTGTCTATTGGATATGAAAGAAAGTGGCAAAGATAAAGCTGGGGGTGTAAACTGGAACCAAATTGCAAAGACTTTAAAATGTCCTGCTGAAGAATGCGCAAATTATTATCCTTATCCGTGTTGATGTTTAGGAAAAGAGACTACAGAGAGTTGGCTCTGTGACATACAGAGAGAAGGGAGCCAGAAAGCACAGGGGGCTAACAGAAATATGAGAACTTAATGAATCACATTGATAAAGTAAATCCCTATGTATAACAACACTTATTTTGTGATAACATTTATTAAAAACTTTGGAAGAGTCTAGTTACAAACCAGGGCAGAGAAAGCATCCCTGGCAAAGGCACTGAGAATCTGCACTTAAACCCAAACCAATATAAAGCCAATATCCTGCAGTCCCAGGCTGAAGTGTTTACCCAAACAATGTCCTAAAAGGACAAGAAGAGTGGAGCTGTGGCTATAGATATCCAAATTAGAGAGACCGAAACCATCAGGCAGGGCCAAGTCCTGTGAAGAAACTTTCCCCAAAATAGGGCAGGGAGGTCTGGGAATAGAGACCAGCTCCAGGAAATTGGGCTGACCAGAATAAATAGGAAAATAGCCCACAGAGAGGTGACCAAAATAATAAGGCAGGGCCCTCTTCCCGCTATTCCCAGGGTCAGAAGTGAGAGTGGGTGGAAGGAGAAATGTTTTGTAACCAAAGGATATGGGCAAATTGGCTTTTCAGAGTACAATATTTTGACAGACTACTGCCTCTATTGCTGAGTGTTCACAAATTCATTTCTCAGTCAGGAATTAACTAATACTGCGTTTCAGCCTAGGCAAGAGAGTGAGACCCCATCTCTAAATTTCTTCTTTAAAGGAATTAGCTAAGACTGCGTCTAAGCCAAGTTGAAACACTTCAGGAAATTCTCTCAATAGCCAACCGCTCTTGATTTTCTGGGTGTCAAGGGGTAGTGGAGTCACTAGGAATGTTTTGAACTTCATTGTCAGGAGGTGGGATGATGCAGAGGTGAAATAACTATACAAGCAAGGTAGTTCTCTCCCTGACCAAGGATGTAGCCAACAGGGCTCTTTAAAACCCAACCATACACATAAAAAAAAGTCTCCTATTCTGGCTGATATTCACTGGCAATGTGTACATTTAACAGAGACCTCATCAGAAATGTTGATTGGAGCTGAAAGCCATTGTCCTCAGATATGATTTAAATGTAAAAAAGAGCCAAAGGTTGAGGAGCCTGAAGATCCGAAAGCTTCTGGGACTTCATTAAGAATCTTCTAGGGATGAACACCTTCACTATGTTTCTATAATACAAAGTTTTCCTCAAAGCTTCTTCACTTATCCTTTGCTTCAAGCATGCCACCCACTCTGACCCAGTTTCTTCCCATTTCCATTTCTCTCCATTTATTCCCTTCAGTCAGACAACCTGGTTGGACCATCTGCCTGGACATGGATTTAGATTTGCTCTGCATACTACTTCTCTGATGTACCATTTTAGTTGCATATCCTATGACCCATGGGCACCCCACTTGCAGTGCCATGGGCAGCTCGAGCTCTCATGACAACACAGCCTTGGTCTATCCTCCTTTGCTTCCACATCTTAGGTGGAAGATCTTACAGGCAAGGAAAAATTCATGAAATGTTCCAAACAGAAAGCATCATTAATTGGACCTGCTTTAGTAAATACATGAATTAACATTTTTTCTTGCCAATGACAGAATTCTAACTTTAACTGGCTTATGCAAAAGAGCAACCTCTTTAAGCACTGTTTCTCATCAACTGAGATTTTCATTGGCTCCTACCTCATAGGGATGTTGTGAGGATCAAATGAGATAAACTATGCAAAACCTGTAGCACACTGCCTGGCACATAGCTGGAATTATATAAAATTAGCTACTTATATATCCAACTGTATTCTGATGGATGGCCAATGATTTTGGAATGTTTGAGAAAAGTAGCTTTTCTCTCACATTAGTTTTCATGCTTCAAGACCTCTTAATTAAAAGCATCTGTGAGAACCAAATTGTAGTTTCTGTCCTTGTTTATAGTGTCTTGATTTTGTATCTTATGAGAAAAACTGCTTCTGAACATGCTTGACCACACTAAGGCCAGATTGATGCCCTTCCATGTTCTCAGAGCACTCAAATGACTGTTAATCTTCACAGTTATCATTAGGTGAGACAATTGCCTATTTATGGCTCTTTCACAGGCTACAAGCCTTCTAAAAATTTGTTTGAACCCCACAGAGCTTAGCACAGGGCCTGGCATGTAACAGACTTACACAAAAATATGTGTTGGGTGAATTAATGAATGACTAGAAGAGCAATTTTTTAGCATTCTGGATATGATACAGAGCTGTAGGGTTGTTTTTGTCTTTTACCTACTGGAGGTATTGTTTTTGTTGTTCCTGGAGATGCGTTTCACTTAGTTCTAGTACATTATTCTTTAAATATTTTACTGATTTTCATTCGGAAATATTTCATTTAAGGCTTTAAAAATCATTAATGATTAGAGAAATGTACATGCCCTTTTTCTTTCAACTTAATAAATAAAATTAGGAATTTATGTATATACTTCATATACATAAATTCAAAACTTGGATTTCAGGGCTCTTAATTAAAATCTTTAATTCCATACTTCTGTTAATTTTTAGCATACAAGAAAGCCATATTTCTAAATATATTAACATACATACTTGTTGTATACTATATTATCCACATATTATTTTTAAACAATAATATCACTAGGCATGGTGGCTCCTTCCTGTAATCCCAGCACTTTGGGAGGCTGAGGTGGAAGGATCACTTGAGCCCAGAAGTTCAAGGCTGCAGTGAGCTATCAGCACGCCACTATACTCCAGTATGTACAACAGAGTAAGACCCTATCTCAAAAGAAACAAAGAAACAAACAAAATAAAAATAAAAATATCAATATTACCATGACAAGCACAAAATGAAGATTAAAGTATCTTTATGGTTCTTTCTGTTCTTATAATATATCCCTGCAAGTTTGTATAGTCAAAACACTGAAGTCACTTGACATAATTATTCTATGTGGTATGCCATCAGTCTAATATACATTTAAGTTTGTTTCAGTTTGTTTTCAATTTGAGGAATTGCGTTTTATTTATGAAGTATTATTATTTAATTGTGCAAATAATTTTCATTATTTCTAAGTCAAACCCTATACCAAAGTACATTCACTGGAGTCTCCTTTCCATCCTTAATCATCGCACACTATTCTCTCCTCCCTCTAACAGGCAGCCATTTAAAAATTTTTAGTTTTCATTATTTGAACTAAGTGTATATATACACCTATTAATTTTTATGTCTGTATGTATACGTGTGTGTGACTGTGTGGATAAGTGTGTTATATCTACTAATAGTACCACTTTTTGAGATTTCTGAGATGCTTTAAGATATTCAAGATACAATGCAGAATAGGCAGTTTTGTTTTGTTTTTTTTAAAAAAACAGATTGTTTGAACTTGGAGGTTGTTCTGGGTTCTTGTAGAATCAAATATACCACAAAGTCAGTATATTTTAAAGCATTATCAGCGAAAAGAGTTTAAAACTAGGACATTTTGTGTGATATGTGGGTTTTAACAAATGGAAGACACTCTGGTTTTCCCAAGACCACTAAGGTGCATTTTTAGCTTACAGATGACGAAACTTACCCTTAACTGCAATTTTGGTTCAATGGTTTATTCCTAAGTCCTTGAGTCTCTTCTTTCTTTGACTTTGTCACTGTTTCTCCTGTTTTTCCAACATATCGATGCTTCTCCAGGGGCAGGGAGCTGTGGTGAAATATGTCAGGTCTGCCTAAGCTCCATAACTTCTCCCATCACTGTTGTTAGGAACCTCTAGATTCTCTAATTCTTCAATTCTCTTCTCCTGACAAATCTGAATACTTGTTTTTATCTGGAGATTTAAGCCCATCTCAGTCTAGGACACAGTCTGAAGGGGAATTATGTTAGAGACTCCTGCATTAAAATGCAGTTGGCTCAGAATCCAGCCTTTTTCATGCTGTTGGGCTCTGTGCTAGTTTCTCATACTACTTGTCTAATCTCTGGACATTGTCATTTAGATTCCTGACCTCCTGATTGTAGACTGCTCATTTTTGTCTCCTCCTGTGCATAGTCAACCTGATGACCATCTTGTACTCTGTCCTTGCCATGAGCGTATTATTTCTCCAATGTAGTGCCATATTTTTGCCTAGTTCAATTCCTTCCTTCTACTGATGGCCCAACGCTGATAACTGGGCAATTGCAAGCATCACCACTCTTAAGCAGGGCTTAATGAGACAATCCTGAGATGGTTTCAGCACAGATCCAAGGCTTTCTTATGCATACTACAGAGTCTAGAACAATCCCAAATTCTTCTCCATTGCTCCTCAAGTTGGTGCTGTGGTAAGAACATAGGTTCTGGAATCAGATTACTAGGTTGGGATTTAGTTTCTATCACTTATTAGTGATGAGAACTTGGACAAGTTACTTGATGACTGTGTGCCTCAGTTTCCTGATCAGTAGAATGAGAATGATAACCGCTTACTTCATAAGGTGACTGTGAGAATTAAACAAGTTGTACATTTAAAAGACTTAGAGCAGTGTTTGGCACATAGACAAGCAATAAATAAATGGTAGATATCAATTGTTATAAACATTTTATTATTGTCAAGGGATCATCAAGAATTACAAGAGGTAAAATATTGTGGAGTGCTTATAAATATATGATTACGAGCCATAGAAAGCCCTAAAGCATAGGTCTCAATTTCATATAGCAGTTAGTCAATCTGTGGGCCAGCTCCACTATTACTTGGAATACTTCCTTGGAAGAGATTGACTATAATACTTCTTAATTTGAACTTTTTAACTTTTTTTTTGAAAGATGCATAATAAACACCAATATTATTCAAATAAACTTAGGAATCATATGTTGTCCAATCACATTATAGCATACTATTCAAAGAAAACACACATTTCCAAAAGTTTAAAGAACAACGCAGTCTGTCATTATCCAGTTTGGAGCTAACATTTTTAATTGTTTTAAGGTAGATTGTCAATGGCAAATAAGAAAGTTTGAGGTTTCTAACCTCTATTTGGTTGTGACCTCATAGGGTTTGCTAAAATTCTACTCAATACTGTTCTTCCTTGTATTTAACCCCAAATAAAATCATTTATCAACTGTTAAACATAAGACTTGGATAAGTTTTAATAACATTGTCTAAAATAAAAATAAATTTTATGCCTTTATCAGCATGTCAGTTGTGCACATCTGTGATAGCCAAGAAGCTTAAAGAGAAAATCGTTGCCAATAGATCTTTCACAATGTTTTGTATAATATACAGGAAAGAACTTTGGCTACCTACATTGTATTTAAGTGGCAATTACAACCAAAATTGGTGTTATATTTTGTAATTCCCTCCCCATAACCTACTCTACAGCCACTGGCTGCCTGGCCAACAATCTCAGAATGTGCCATCCTGTTTTGAATGGCTCTTTTCTGCACTTAAAATTCTCTCCTCCCTTTTTTCTGGCTCTAAGAGAAGGCACAAATGACATTTTTTGACTTCCCTGAAAGAAGTAGTTGTTTCTTGTTTTTAATTCATTCAGTTCAGTAATTTAACATTCAGCAATTACTTACCATATTCCCAATCTAGGAAAAAGTCA
Source organism: Homo sapiens (assembly GCF_000001405.40). NCBI lineage: Eukaryota > Metazoa > Chordata > Mammalia > Primates > Hominidae > Homo > Homo sapiens. The sequence goes on from NC_000003.12 coordinate 112,459,809, forward strand.
TTGTTTCTCTTTCCTCATGTTCTCACTTTAGCTTTGATATAAGGTCCTCCTATGATCTGCCCTCTTGCAGGCTTCTCCTTACAGAAAGAGGATTGATTTAACATACTGGTGTGATGGGCAGAGCTTCTCACCCTTTTAACCACATTAACCTCTGAAAGAACGTCTTGCATCAAAGGCAAGGAGGTTGTAGTTATATCTCTGACCCTCATCTGCAATCAAGGAAACTTGAAGCAGGCTGACATTCCCCACATGACTGGCTAGGTATCTTTCTGTAGACATAACTCTCCTATAAAGGGGTCCCAAAGTCAAGCAAGTTTAGATGGGGGAATGGGTAGGAAACACATTTTGGTTTGGGGCCCAAGCTGTGCTTGTCAATCCATCTTTATTATTAATATTATCCCCAATCTGACTCTTCCATTTTTCAGTTGGCTAACAATCTGTAGAGCCAGAAGAATGTGATTATTTAGGGTTCCCTCAAAACCCTCAGTCTCAGAAACATGAACTCTACTACAGTGAACAATATACATAGTTCTTATACTCAAGAAACTTAATATTCGATGGTGTTTTCACAACATTTTGCACCTATCTCCACAACAGAATTCAACAATGAGATTATAATTTTTTGTTTAACTTCTACTTCTTCATCTATACCATAAGCAGTGTCAGGCAGGAATGAAATCTTTCTCAACCATACTAACCTCAGAACCTAGCAAACTGGTAGGTGCTAATAGGTGGTTATAAATTGGGTGCAGATAAAACAATTGCCATGGAATGTTTCACCTGACCAACTTCAAAATAAGGGCCTGATTTTAAAGATTAACCCACAGAACTTATTTTTGAAACTGTAAGTTGATTTCTAGCACAGGACTTTCAGTTCTCATGTTCTCAGGTTTAGCAAAACTTCTATAAAATAGTACTGTGCTCTCTCACTTGTCATTTTTACTTTGTGGCCTTTCCTGTTTCTGCCTAAAATAGAACTTTCTAAATTAGTCTATCCTATAAATGTGACTTGGAGTCCTACCACACCTGACTTTGGGTGGGGAAAGATGGGTTCATAAAGGTTAAGTGGAACACAAGATTCACAAACATCAAAGTGCATACTGATTATCTGAAGATCTTGCTAAAATGTCGATACTTATTTAGCATGTGAAGGCTGAGATTCTACATACTAACAAGCTCCCAAAGGATTCCCATGTTACTGATTTGAGGGCCATCTTTTGAGTATCAAGAGAGTAGATGACTCACTTTGCAAACACAGTCATTCATTAATTAAACATTATTTAATCATAATATGCGCCAAACACTGAGCTAAAAAACTGAGGAAGAATGTGACATAGTCCTTGCTCATAAGAAGCCCACAGTCTAATATTATAGGAAACATAATAAGAAATAAGTGCTATGAATTATACTGAGAGGAAGAGAAGCCACATACTGAAATAAATTGTTTGCCAGTGGGAGCTAAACAAATGGCACACATGGATGTAAAGATGGAGAAAATAGACCCTGGAGACTGTGGAGATAGTGGGGAGGAGCTGAGGGTTGAAAAATTCCTACTGGATACAATGCCCAGTGTTTTGGTGATGGGTATACTACAAGCCCAACACTCACCATTATACATGTAATACCCATGTAACAAACATGCACATATACCCCTTGAATCTAAAATTTAAAAAAGAAAAAAAAAAAGACTACATGCAATCTAGAAAAAGAGACATATTTGATAAAGGTTGTTATCAAAACTATACAGAGAACTCTTAAAATTCAACAAGAAAATGAACAACCCAGTTAAACAATGGGCAAAAGATCTGAACAGACACCTCACTAAAGAGGATACATGGATTACAAATAACTATATGAAAAGATGCACAACAGTGTATGTCATTAGGGAATTCCAAATTAAAATAATGAGATACCACTACACACCTATTCGAATGGCAAAATTCCAAAACACTGACAACACTAAATGCTGGTTAGGATGTGAAATAACAGTAAGTCTCATTTATTGCCGGTGAAAATACAAAATGGTACAGTTACTTTGGAAGATATTTTGACAATTTCTTACAAAACTCAACATACTCTTACCATACAATCCAGCCATCATCCTCCTTGGTATTTACCCAAAGGAGTTGAAAATTGAAATGTGAGTCATAACCATAACAATGCTGTCTCACACCTGTCAGAATGGCTACTATTAAAAAGTCAAAAAATAAGACACTGGTGAGGTTGCGAAGAAAAGGGAACACTTATACACTGTTGGTGAGAGTGTAAATTAGTTTAACCATTGTGGAAAGCAGTGTGGCAATTCCTCAAAGAGCTGAAAACAGAACTACCATTTGACCCAGCAATCCCATTACTGGGTATATATCCAAAGGAATATAAATTGTTCTGTTTTAAAGACAAATACATGCTTATGTTCACTGTAGCACTACTCACAATAGCAAAGCATGGAATCAACCAAATGTCCATTAATGGAAGACTGGATAAAGAAAATGTGGTACATATACACCATGAAACACTATGCAGCCATGAAAAAGAATGAGATCATGTCCTTTTCAGGAACATCGATGGAACTAGAAGCCATTACCCTTAGCAAACTAAAGACTATTGCATGTTCTCACTTATAAGTGGGAGCTAAATGGCCGGGCGCAGTGGCTCAAGCCTGTAATCCCAGCACTTTGGGAGGCCAAGGTGGGCGGATCACAAGGTCAGGAGATCGAGACCATCCTGGCTAACAGGGTGAAACCCCGTCTCTACTAAAAAATACAAAAAAAAATTAGAAAATTAGCCAAGCGTGGTGGCGGGTGCCTGTAGTCCCAGCTACTCGGGAGGCTGAGGCAGGAGAATGGCGTGAACCCGGGAGGCAGAGCTTGCAGTGAGCCGAGATCACGCCACTGCACTCCAGCCTGGGGGACAGAGCGAGACTCCGTCTCAAAAAAAAAAATAAAAAATTAAAAAAAAAATAAGTGGGAGCTAAATGATGAGAACACATGGAAATATAGAGGGGAACAACAGACATTAAGGCCCACTAGAGGGTGGAGAGTGGGAGGAGGGAGAAGATCAGATAAAATAACTAATGGGTACTAATAGGCTTAATACTTGGGTGATAAAATAATCTATACAACAAACTTTCCATGACACTGGTTTACCTGTATAACAAATCTGCCCATGTACCCCTGAATTTCAAATTGAAGTTTTTCTAAAACCCTGCACACAAATGTTTAGAGCAGTTTTATTCATAATTGTCAAAACTTGGAAGCAACAAAAATGTCCTTCAGTAGATGAACAGATAAACTGTGGTACATTCTGACAGTGGAATATTATTCACCATTAAAAAGAAATGAACTATCAAGCCATGATAAGACATGGGGGAAACTTAAATGCATATTACTAAGTGAAAGAAGCAAATCTGAAAAGGCTACATGGGGCATGATGCCAACTGTACGGCACTCTGGAAAAGGCAAAGCAATAGAGGCAGTGGTTGTCAGGGGCTTGGAGGGAGTGATAAATGAGTAGAGCACAGAGGATTTTTAGGACAGTGAAACTATTCTGTAAATCACTATAATGGTGGATACAAGTCATTATACATGTCAAAACCCAAAGAACTGCAAGTGTGAACCCTCATGTAACCCATGAACTTTGGTTGATAATGACATGTCAATTCTAGTTACTGATTGTAACAAAGGCACCACTGAAGTACAGGATGTTGATGATGGGAGAAACTGTGCATGTGTGGGGGAAGACGGTATAGAAACTCTCAATGCTCACCGCTTAGCTTTGCTGAACCTAAAAGTGCTCTGAAAAAAGTTTATATATTTAGCAAAATAGATATGATCGCGCCAGAGAATTCATTCTGGGGACTAGATAGTTTTGGTTGGTGCACAAAACTGATCAAATAAACCACATATACCAAACCTAGCCTCTACTAGTTTTCTCAAATTGTGGACACTGGGAAACATATTAAAATTGGTTGGCATGTCTTTTAAAGATGATGATTAAAGAGCCATTTTCTAGACCTCCTGAATCAGAATTTCTTAGTGCTGCAAGTTAATAGTCTGCAGTTTAGCAAGTTATTCGGGTCGCTTTTATGTGTCAGGGGGTTTAAGAATCAGTATTCTATTCATGTCCACACATTTTGGGGTACAAAATCAGATGCCAAATTGATTTCAAATAAGTTTTAATAACTTTACCTTCTCATTGAGCACAATCACAAGCTTAAAATTTGTGAAAAACCATTAAATTATCTACATATTCTTTTTCTCAAACCCTCTATAAACTAATGAAATAAGCCATGTAAATAATAGTGAAGTAGAGTCATTTGGGAAAATGCATGTATGTCTCTGACACCATTTTGAAAAGGAATAAAAACATAAATGATTTGTGATTTTGGCAAACAGTACAAATATATTAATACATCTTAGAGATGAAATCATTATCAGCATTATCTTTACTATAAGACATACTAAGGATATTTTAAATAAGACAGAAATATTTTGCTTTTAAGTTTGAGAGAATCATGAAGGAACTGTTCAATTTCGTGTGTTCATCTGATAAGAGGACAGCTAAATGTATCCTCCCCATATTTCCTGTTTCTATTTTTAAGAATACCACAAGCAGCTATTCTAACATGTCTTTCTTACATAAGTTGTCCACAAATGCAGCCTGGCTAAAACAGCCTATCTCGAATTGGTTGCTTGAAATTCTAGGTGTAATTGGCAAAATAACAGTGACTCAAAAGAATATTTGCACCCCCAAATCTAAGGAGCTAAAACTTAATGCCAGTGTTACTTAAGAAAATCTCTCCACCACAAAACCTCAGTTTTGTCTTTTTGTATATATACCCCACTTGTATTCTAAACTCCATAATTTCACATATTATTTTCTTTAATGACCCATTTACTCTAGTATTTTGAGCTTCATAAGCAAACTGAAAATATAATGTCAATTTGATCAGTTTCTCGTGCACCATTTCTGTTGTCACCCACCCCACCTAACACACACACACACACACACACACACACACATCACATTCCTTTGTGCAGCAGCTCAGCTCACATATTTGTTGAAATGGATTTTAACCTTTGCTATCCACTTTGTATGAAGACTATTACATTATTCAGTAGCAGCACCTGAGAATTCGAATAGCCTCAAACTGTTGAATAAAATTATAGGCTATTTTTGAAATAGTTTAACTCAAGTACTTTGGAAAGTCCAAAAATCTGAATCCATCTTTTGCTATACTCTTAAGTGGCTGCAACCTCAGTATTTTAAAATAAATGATTAGCAAACTAAAATATGTCACTACAGATGATTTGCCCTGATTCCTTAGTAAGAAGAACAGCAAGATGCAGATGTGGTGAATGAAAGCAAATTGACCCCTACAGACCAATTAAATATTCTGGGTTTTCCTCCATTCCATTAATTGCACTTTAACTTGCTATCAAGTCAAGCATGAAGCAGTTTAAGCTATCTTCACTTGCCCAGTGATACCTATTCTGACTAACTTTTAAACTATTCAGATGCCCATAAGTATATTAATTCAGCAGCATTATGTCACATTCCTATCCATTAGTCTATGTGACCCAGTGAGTCTCTACTTTCCTCATAAATGTGCTATACGTTGACTGCTCCATTAATACCTATATTTGCTTATCAATCTAACAGAGTAGATATAAGCATTTGTTTGCCAGGTATGTGGAACATCTACCCTATATCCAATTGGTATATTCTATATTTTTATTGCACCATTTATTATTTTCATTTTCTTACATCAAGCCTAAAATGATTTCTCCTTTGCATTTAAGAAACACCATTCTTAGACTGACACAGCAAAAATTTCTTATTTTGGAAGACTGACTTGAAATATACAATCATTACTGTATTTATGGTTGGTTAGTCAAATTGGGACATTTTGTTTTCAAGAGTGTGTAGTGAACTGATGCAGGTAACACAAACCTCTTTTCCCTACAAGTCTTTCCAATAGCTTCAAAGGCAAGATCGAGTTTGTATATTGGGTAAAATGTAGCTAAGTTTAAACGTTCTACTATTCTGCTACTCATGATGTCAACCAGTTTTGGAGAGATTTTGTTATTCAAGGCTATAATATAAAAAGCTCCCAAATAAGTTTCTGAGAGAAATTTTAATCATTTATCCTATGGACCCTTAAGACCCAAGCACTAACATGAACATTTCTAAAGTAAAAATTCTCAAATTGAGAAATATTATTTGACATCCTGTTGAGCCCAGACAATGATGTCAACATGCTGATCATTCAATGGTCCCTGTTGGAGTCAGAAACAGACTTAACTCCTCACACATATGGATGCATATTCTGTTGGTGCTTCTTTTACATTTCTTGCCAGTCTTGAGTTCGGTCCAATGACAGAATGGTTCAGGGAAGCATAAACAATGCCTGGTTTGTTTTCTTCCAGGCATGGATTAGAATAAACTTCAGACCCTTCCTGCATCCTGAAACAAAGGTCAGGGTCATTATCATAAATTCCAGTTTCTGATAGCAGTACTTGGGAATTTTGCCTGGTGCTTGCTTCTGTTTGCTCACTCTTAAGGTGAGCATCAACCTACAATAGAAAAAAAGATGGTTTTAAGTGACACTTACGGCCATGGTAGTGCATATTCATTAGCAAACTATGAATGAAAAGCTTAAATGGAGTCATGTCCATTGTGAGAAATAATCTACTGTTCCTCACATACTCTGCTGACATCTACACTTTCAGCTAAATTTCAATTATTAAAGGATGAAAGGCTTGAGAATCACTATGTCACCCCTAAATAGTTATTTTGTGCTTTATTACTGGTCACTTTTGAGGTCACAGAACATTTTTTAATCCCCCTTCAAGATAAAAAGCATAGCCCAAATTGATGGAAAAAGCAAAAAATATCCTATGAAAACTTCAGGCAGTTTATAACATGATGAATAGTATTTAATGCAGTTTAGAATAAAAAGATTAAGGATAAAGCAGAACAAATACCCCCTAAGAGGGCAGAAACAATAAATATTATGAGTTAGCCAAGATATATTATTATAATTTGAGACCTTAAATTAAAAAATTGATGTCAGTTTTGGAAAGATAAAGCTTAGAAAAAGTTCCAAAACAGTATTCCAGTTGTTATTCCTATCAAAAGAAAATTCTTCTTTTTTTTTTTTTTTTTTGAGACGGAGTCTTGCCTATAGCCCAGGCTGGAGTGCAGTGGTGCGATCTCGGCTCACCGCAAGCTCCGCCTCCCGGCTTCACGCCATTCTCCTGCCTCAGCCTCCCGAGTAGCTGGGACTACAGGCGCCCGCCACCTCGCCCGGCTAATTTTTTTTTGTATTTTTAGTAGAGACGGGGTTTCACCATTTTAGCCAGGATGGTCTCGATCTCCTGACCTCGTGATCCGCCCGCCTCGGCCTCCCAAAGTGCGAGGATTATAGACGTGAGCCACCACTCCCGGCAAGAAAATTCTTACCGTTTCAAATATAGCCAAATATCTTAGAGCTTCTAAGAAAGAGGTGAATTTGTAAAAACAAAAAGTAAAATTAGTCCTGATGTTTTCTCACTCTTCAGTTATTTATTAGCCGCTCCTACCTATACAAAGGTTCACCTGACAAAGAAGATGTGTTCATTCTAGGGGCTATTTCAGTTTTTTAAATTCAAGTTTTGCCCATCGATTTCCGTTCTTGACATCTGGCCTAACTCCTTTAAGGTATCAAGTCCACTGTCTTTGAAAGTCAACATACTTTGTCTGGTCCTTTGTCATCCTCATTGTGATGTGTGCAGTAGGATGTCTATGGCAGATTTCCTTGGCAGAGCTCTATCATGCAAGCATGTCTGGCTTTACCCTGAGAAGCTATGTAAGAATTCCTGATACAGTGCCACCCTCTGATGTGGTGGCTGCCCAAAAATAACAGTAAGGCTGAGCGACTGAAAGAGGCAGAGGCTGCTTGGCTAAGATAAAAAGTACTCCCAACTCCACTGAAAAGAGCCTGGTTGAGGTCAGTAGGTGGCACACTAAAGAAGACTGTCAAGTGAACTGAAAAATAGCCTTTAGTCCTCAATATATCAACAAAGATCCTGTGATACTTTTCAATCTGTTTAAGCCTGTCAATTGGGTTCCCTGTCTCTCATCCCAAGAAATGGCTCATTTCCATGAAAAATTTTGTTAAAATGAATGGAGCAAAAGAAAATATAGTGCTCTGCAGCACCCCTGCTGTGGCACCCCGTCAAAGTGGCTGGGTGCCACAAGGCCAATGCACCACAATGTGGTGGATAGAGATGATAAAGCCAGAAACAGCAATCCCACCTTACATTCCTATGGCAGGTTACAGTATACAAAGCATTTTAAAATTTGTATTTATAGTATATGTTTAGATGTAATTCACATGCCATAAAATTCACCCTTTTAAGTGTACAATTCAGTGGTTTTTATTAGGCAAGCACTTTATACCCTCAAAGGACCGTTTTGGATTAAGATCAGAGCTTTGGCTTTTATATGTACCTGTTACATTTGTACCAGTTCCTTTCCTGTCATGTTTATACCAGTTCCTTTCTGTACTTTGATTTCTCCACAGTTCCCAAACTAGTTTTATGTTAAGAAATATTTAGCCCCAAGGGTATAATATGGTATCCTTTTGATTATTTTCTGAAATGCTAGACAACTGAAATGGGGCAAAAATCTTCAAATTCCTGTTAATAGCAAAAACGCTTTAAAACAAACTTCCCAGACAATTGCACATACAGAAAATACCCTTTTGAATTAAGCTTCAAATCATAATTTATCCAGCCTACCCAGGAAGAACAATGTCCACAGCTTAACCAACCTGGGTTTTACTTGCACAGTAAATTATTTAGATTTTTATCTTAAATAATTTCATAGCTCCCTGGCCTTATTGTAATCAAGTGAAATTTTTATTATTATTTACTATAGAAAGAAAATAATATTTAAGAAAATTTCCCTATTTGAGGGAACAAAGCCTTAGCACCCTACACAGTGCCTACTGATGCTAATGAAAACTTAATAGAAGTTTGTCAAGTTGAGTGTATTTGGTCTGGTTTAAAATTAAGCAGCTTGGTGGGGAATGTTGAATGCCATTTAATATTATATATAGAATTATTGGCTGTATCGATTTTGTCTTTTGTGGAATTTTTAAGAGGGTTACTACTTCTTTATCACTATTCCTCCTTATTGAAACACACACACACATCAAGTTCCTTTGCAGTATCTCATTTATGACTGTTTAGTTTTAATTAGAGAGCTTCAGAATGCTTTTCCACAAATATATTGCCTCATCTTGCATTCTTTTTTAGTTCTAATATCTCCACAACATTCAACTCAAAAGAAAAGCCTACATTTACATTCCAAACCTTATAGGAAAGATTGACTCCAAAATTCCCTTCCTTTAGTCTGAGTGGTCCCTTCCTTGATGAGCCCATACACATTGCCAGGGACCTCTGTGTAATAACTAAGCCAAAGATCATGTCTCTATTTTGCTGGTGCTATTTATGAAGATATCTAATCATTTTATGAGGTTATTTGTGGGTTCATTCTTTCATCAGCTCCCTACTCTCTTCCAGAAAGACCTTAAGGTGTTTACATAAAAAATAAATGAATAGCCTGAAGCCACATAACAGGCAAGAGCAGAGTCAAGTTTGTATGGTTCAGTCTCTGACTTTTCTGTCTTGGATCTAGACTGCCTTCCATGAACTTCCAAAGAACCACTTATTACGAGACTTGTTAACCCTAAAGAGTCTTTGCTGCATAGAGAGCAGAATGCAAAATTCACATTTTTAAAAATGGGTCTATGTATATATATATATATATATATATATATATATATATATATATAGTACATAGAATAATGCCTGGCACATGGTGTTATATAAATTCATTGAATAAATAAATAAACACAGTATAACACAAATTGCATTTGTTTCAACAGCTACATCAAGCTTACCAGGTTAATTTCCCTTCCTGCTGTGTCAGAGAGTTCATTTTGCTTTCCTGGAAGACAAAAAGAAAAAGAAGTAATCAAAAGGAGTAAAGAAAGCAGAAGTAAACCACCTTGCCACCCATGCTTATCCTGTTGAATGCCAGGGATAGTGTTGTTAGTTTTGGCTTGTTAATTTGCTTTGCCTAGCACACACTTGTTTGTGATAATTCACACTGACCAGCTCTCTCTCTGGTTCATCACTTTTCAGTCCACATAGCCCCATGGCATATCTAAAAGGAAGGGGAGGGATCTAGTATATCACTTGGAAGAGACTGGAAGTCCTTGCTCTGGGGACATTCCATACTCAATGCCAGAAATGCTGCTGTCCTGTCACCTATGTAGCCAAGATCTCCTACTACCTAGTTCACTTTGGATGTGGTAAATCAAAAGATTTATCCCTGACTCCTTTTCTGAAGTTCTGAGAGAGGTTCCAGCAGTCTCAAGAAAGATGATGAAAGATACAGAGAGGCCATAGAAAGAGCCATGGAGTTGCAGATGAAGAATTGGGGTAAGAGAGAATTCTTCAGAATCCAGAGAAGGTTCTGAACTCCAGAAGTTCTCACTCCAAAATACCAGAAGCACTTTTGCCCAGTCAAAGGTTATTCCTGTGTCACACAGAATAAGTGTTGCTCTATCTAGCTCAGTTTCTATAGCTACACTGTAGCTGGTGTTGTGAAAACAGGAATGTGAGAGGATGGAGGAGAAGAAAAAGGAAAGAGAAAACTGAAGTAGTTCAGGCCAAAGCTAGATCAGAATTCTCTATGCTTTCCTCTCTTACTTAACATATTTGGTCATGACATTGAGAGAGTTCTTGCAAAAGTAGAAAGGAATTATTTTCAAAATATCACACCATTCCCATCATAGCCAAACCCACATTTTTCATATGCATTATTGTTGGGTAAGAATTCAGGTCAAGCATATGTTTATAATGGCAATAGAAAATACAGACATATTAATTTTCTCTGGGGACATTGGTTCTTCAGTTACATAAGGGTGTGTGTGGGATTGGCATGATGTGGTGTGGCTGTGAAAAGAGGATAATACAAAATAAAGCAGATATCTTGATCTGAGAGATTGTTTCAACTTCCAATCCTGTTAAGGTTTAGAAGAGCTCTTTCTCACACAAACCTAAGATTGATGCAAAGAGAATGATGAAGTCTCAGCAATGTGCTATGCTCGCCACAACTCTAGCTGGAATACTGTGCGTGGTGAGCATGCCTCTCCCGTGACTCAAGGGAGCCCCAACCAACCTATTTAGCTTTTTAGCGCAAATATGAGTTGTCTTCTAGGAAATCATTATCCATGGTTTACAGGATTGGGAAAGAAAACAACAGGAAGAAACTAAAAATCCTTTAGCCCCAGAAATAAGAATGGCCCCAAATGTGTGGTACTGGGGGCAGAGGGAAAATAGAACCCACCTTGGTGCCTTCTCAGGCAGCAGAACAGGCAGAAACAGGTAGTGATGAGTAGAGGCAATCCCCCCAAAGGAAGTAAACGATACAGGAGCCAGGGTCTGCTTGCCATTTCGTCCTTGGAGGGTCGTTCTGAGGCACTTTTTACATCTGGAATGTTAGTAAATGCTAAAGAGAGTTAGGAAATCTGAGATATATTGGGATCAGCGGCACCCCTCTGCATTGTCAGAACTTGAGTGAAGGAGATTTCAGGCCAATGCCTCCATTTCCCCTTCAGAGGCATTCCTCAAGAATCCCAGTGCCCTCAGCCACCTCTTGCTTTCTTGCTGAGCAGACGTGGCTCTGCGATAATTTATCTTTTGCAGAAATTCTTTATTCTGATAGAGTTAATCTTCCACAGAACAATCTTCATGATAACTGTCAGAAGGTACTTCATTAAGCCTTTCTATTTACAGTATCTAACTCTCATATTCATCACTTAAGTAGGAAAACCATTGTCTTTATTTTGTCCCAAGAGTTGCTCCAAGTCAGATAGCTAGTGAGTGGCAATGGGAACTCAAGCCAACATGTTTGTAACAGGAAATTCAAGTTTCTTCAACACAATGTCCTTTCCTTGTCTCGTAACTTATCAGAATCTCCAAATATCAAATACTTTTGATAGCCTTAAAAGTGCTCTGCATGGCACACAGCTAATGCGCATTACTATTGATCAATGTTAATACGCATTGAGGCCCTGTTTGTCTGCAGTTGTTCACAGCTCATTAGCAGGTTGTGAAACAATTTAGTATGTCACAAATAGCATTTTAAAAAATGAAACAGAAGAGGATAGAAATCATCAGAATGCATCACACACACTAGAGCAGTGGTTCTCAAGCAGGGAACATGTGTGGCAATGTCTGGAGACATTTTTGGCTGTAACAAGGTAGGGGGAGGGAGGCTGGCAACCAGTGAGTAGAAGCCGGGGATTCTGCTAAACACCCTACACTATACAGGATGCAACCCCCACTTAGTGCAACAAAACATTATCCAGACCAAAGTGTCAATGGAGAAACTCTGTCTTATGGTTAAGTATGACCTTATGAAACTTTTTTATATTTGTGTGCATTATGGGTTGTGATGTAAGATCTGGTTGTTGTTGTTGTTGTTGTTTTTTTTAATTTTGGGTTACAGTTAACACAGTATGAAAAATACTGGAGTAAGATATTCTAAGGTCTGGCCTGGTGGCTCACACCTGTAATCTCAGCACTTTGGGAGGCCGAGGTAGGCGGATCACTTGAGATCAGGAGTTCGAGACCAGCATGGCCAAAATGGTGAAACCCCGTCTCTACTAAAAATACAAAAATTAGCTGGGCGTGGTATGCACCTGTAATCCCAGGTACATGGGAGGCTGAGACAGGAGAATCGCTTGAACTCGGTAGGTGGAGACTTCGGTGAACCGAGATGGTACCACTGCACTCAGCCTGGGTGACAGAGTAAGACTCCATCTCAAACAAAAAAAAAATTCTATTAATTATATTATAATGTTATTTTGTTTGGCTAGATGCTTAGGTTTGGGGTAAAAATGATTAGAGGCAACTGAAGTTGCACAAAAAGTGGTTTGGTTATTCAGAGTGGTAACAAATGTTGTCTATTGATGTTGCAGCTGCTGTTTAGGTTAGCGAGCAGCCAAACCACTGCCAGGAGTGCCAGAAACAGCTGCCTGGGGGAGGGTCTTGGATAGCAATGGGGACTAAGGTTTCTACAACAGATACCCTAATACAAACAGATCTGCTGGATCAAGAAGATCCAACTTCTGTTATTTCTTTAACCACCAAAAAAACCTAATTTCCTTAATTTTACTTGATTAGTTTGATCAAATAAAACTAATTCAGAACAAACTGTTTCTCTATTTCAGAACAAACTCAAAACTCCCCCTAACTTATTTTGAGTTTGTTCTGAAATAGAGAAACAAGGTAAATAACTGAAATTGATTGAGAAAATGATGAGGGTGTACTCTCACGTGTCCAAAACCAGAGCTAGCCTTGGGGAGGATTCCAGTGTTTGCACACTACCAGAGAATCCAACAATCTATCTCAAGATCAGTAAGCACAATTTGTGGAACATCAACCCCACGATCATTGACACAAAGTAAATATCTGGGCTTATTTTGAAGCTCACTGAAAGACTGTAAATACAACGCAATCTTTGTCTGTCTGCTTTGATCACCTCTTCCCCATTCCTTAAGCATAAGGACACAGTATAGTCTGCACAATGATATCTCTGGCACCTGGAATAAGAAGAGGCACATTCAGCAGGTGCTCCAAATCAGGGTGGAAGCCCACAAGGACTTCCTGCCCTCTCACTCCACACCCACTTTCCTGCCACAGATAATGATCACATTTTGGGGAAGTTCTTTTTTTCTTCTTCTTTTTTTTTTTTTTTTTTTTTGAGATGGAGTCTCGCTCTATCACCCAGGCTGGAGTGCAGTGGTGCAATCTCGGTTCACTGCAGCCTCCACCTCCTGGGTTCAAGTGATTCTCCTGCTTCAGCCTCCTGAGTAGTTGGGATTACAGGCGCCTCCCACCGTGCCCAGTTTATTTTTTGTATTTTTAGTAGAGATAGGGTTTCACCATGTTGACCAGGCTGATCTCAAACTCCTGACCTCAAGTGATTTGTTCGTCTTGGCCTCCCAAAGTGCTAGGATTACAGATGTGAGCCACCACGCCCAGCCTTGGGGAAGTTCTTAATCTGAAACTGACCAAGGGAAGTTTGGGAAGGGTGAAGTGGCAGGCCAATGGATGTTTCAAGGGCTGTTCCCCAGCTCTGTCAACTTTTCCCCTAGGACTTTGGCTTGTTGTGCAAGGTGCTTTTCTTCATTCTGGGAGAATAGTGCTTTCCCAAGAGCATCCAAGCCCCAACTCTGTCACAGTCCTGTTCTTACATGAACTTTTAACTTGAACATAAACAGCAAAAGAAAGTCACTTATAAAAACAAGAAAATGTCCAAAATCACTTCGGAAATATATTTCACAGGAAAAAATAAAATATTTTTTATCAGACCTCCAAAATTTCTTTATGAAAAGCATGGTCCTTAAACATATTTCCAAAATATATTTTTCTCCTCACCTTATACTTAGTTCACTGAGCACTTTCAGGTTCAGAAGGAAAAGGAATTTTTCTTTGACCCTCCCTGTTATTTTTGTTTTCACCACTTCACTAAAGAAAAATGCACACCTAGATTAAATTAGTTTTAAATCCACACAGAGTTTAAATTAAAGTTAATTCCTAAACAATTTACCTTTTGTGAAGGAAGTTAAAAGAAAAAAAAAAAAGAAATATTACACAAATTCCAGCCTTCCAGGACATTATAATCTTTCATGGGACCTAAAAGACATTTCCACACATTACTACAGTGAAAGGAAATGATAAATGAGAGGCACAGACTTAAATGGCATAAAAATTGGTAAAAAGGAGTGATCCCTTCCCCTCAGGTGATCATGAAAAGCTTCCTTAAGAACTTGGAAAATTAGCTGAGATTGAAAGGAGGGGTAGAATTTCCATAGGTGGAGACAGATGAATGGGTGCTCTACAAGTGGCAAGAGCAGCATACACAGGGCAATGATGGAGATGTGGTTATGGCAAGTAAGGCCGTCAGGCTGCAATTGAGAGGCTGTATATGGAATCCAGAAACAATCTAGAAAGGTGGTGGGATCAAACTGTGGAAGACTTTGAATGCTGGTTAACAAAGATGAGCCCAATATTGTGACCACTGGGGATGCTATGCAAGAGAGTGTTGTTATGAAGGAAGTGTATGAGGTAATTTAAGTGTATTTGGCTGAAATTGACCAAAATGGGGAAATACTAAAGACAAAGAGTCCAATCATAGAATTAATTGGAATTATTTAGAAGGAAGATAATGATGGTGCGAGATGCTTATAGAAGCAATTGGAGGAAACACATCACAGAGTGGAATGTTGTGGAGAGACAAGAGTAGGAAGCCAAAGAAAATTCTCTGGGATTTTCCATGAGGATCAAGAGCATTAATTAACAAACTGATAAGGAAGGGAGTGATAGGAAGGATAGGTGAGTAGGAAACTAAGAGAGTAGAAATGTTCAAAAAGAAACTGACAAGGCCCTTCATGTCTCCTATTTAGCTCTTAGACTTTCTCTTTCACCACTTCATACTTCACATACTTTGTTCCATAAAACCCCCCAAGGCACAGGATTTAGGAGGGAATGTTATTCCCTTTCCCCTAAAGTTGGGTTCTTTCCTCCACAAAATAGATAGATTGTTGATCCTAATCTCAGCCCCAACTTGATCCCTAGAACAGGCACCTTTATGCACTTTACAAACTACAGATTATCTTTAGTCATCATGAATGACCCAAATATGGGATAGAGCAGAAATTGCAATGCTACTTTTGTGTAACAGACTTTTGTATCACAATTAATTATTAACTTCTGACCTTTCATCTGACCTTGGCTAAATTCATGTCTCGTATAGAAGTAGATTAGTTCCCATAAAGAAAGACTGAATTACACAAGGCTTCTCTTCCAAGGAAGGTGGACTCAATGCCTCAAAATTTAATTTTATTATACATTATGTTAATATATTATATAAATTAGTTAATAGCACTTATTTATTCAATAGTATATATCATTCTAGAATTAATATTTTGCAGATTTTCCTTATTTTTGTAATTTATTTTACCTGTTTAAAAAATAGTATTTGTTAAAAATTCAATATTTTGTCTCATTAATGTGAATTAATAATGCAATTCTTTCCAGAAAGTGTTCATTCCATACATCCTTAATATAGCCTTCTCCAGGTTGATGAAGACAATTTTTGTGCTTTGCATATACTATGTTCTTTAATTCATTTACAAAGAAATATTTAGTGAGCCCCTACCATGTGCCAGGTACCCTGCCATCCATCATACAGAGCAAAGATGTTTAAGACACAGCTTCCATCCTGAAGAGGTTTATAAGCCAGTGCATGGATGGTCACAAGTAACTAGCACCGAGCTTCACGCTATATTTGCAAAAGCAGAGTCCCTAACTCTGCCATCGATTTCTTCTATATTTCATAATTGAGGGTTGTAGCTACTGCTAAACTGCTATGCATTTTTTCATGGTGCTGCTGTAAGAAATTTTAAACTAACCTAAAGCATTTTAAAAGAATTTCAATGGATTCCTTCACTGGGCTACTTTAAGGGAGTTGAAAGACACTCAAAAGTAAGCATATAAAGTAACAAATTAATTTTAAAAAGATCAGTTGTAAAATGTATGCATTCAAGTGAATGATGTCCATAAAGGAACTAAACTGTACGAGGTTGCATCCAGAGTTCAGCCATGCTGCTATTGCAATAACCCTCTTTTGAAATTTCTCCTTCCCAGTAACTTTAAGGGTCAATTTATGAGCAACAAAAGAAACTCCACATTATTTCTTATAATTAAAGGGCACTCTTCTTTGATCCAAATATATTTTTATTGTGGTAAAATACATATAACATAAAAGTTACCAATTTAATCATTTAAAATGTACAATTAAATGGCATGTAAGATACTCACAATGTTTTGCAAACGTGACTACGATCTAGATTCAGAACATATTTATCACCCCAAAAGGAAGCCCTCTACCTATTTAGTAGTCATGTCACATTCTTTATTTCCTCAGCCCCTGGCAACCACCAAGCTACTTTCTGTCTCTATGGATTTGCCTATTTTGGATATTTCATATAATCAGAATCACATTGTATGTAACCTTTTTCTTCTTTTACTTAGCGTAATGCTTCTGAGGTTCATCAATGTTGTAGCATACATTAGTACTTCATTCCTTTTCATGACTGAATAATATTCCGTGTGTGGATAAACTACATTTCCTTTATCCATTCATCAGCTGAACATTTAGGTTGTTTCTACCTTTTGGCTATTGTGAATAGTGCTGTGATAAACATTCAGGAACAAGGTTTTGTGTGAACATATATTTTAATTTCATTTGAGTATTTACCTAGGAATAGAATTACTGGGTACTGTGACAAGTAGGTTTTATCTTTTGATTTTGAGGAACTGTTAGACCACTTTCTAAAGTGACTGCACCATTTTACATTCTCCTCAGCAATGGATAGGGTTTCTATTTCTTCACATCCTTGCTAACACTTATTATTTTCTGTGTTTTTTTTTTTTATTCTAGTCATTCGATGGGTGTGAAGTGGGTTTTCACTGTGACTTTGATTTGCATTTCTCCAGTAACTAATGACATTGAGCATTTTTTTCATATGTTTATTGGCCATTTGTATATTTTCTTTGATGAAATGTCTATTCAAGTCCTTTGCTCATTTTAAAATTAGGTTGCCAGTCTATTTGTTGTTGAATTTTAGTATCTTTTGATGCACAGAAGTGTTTAATTTTTATGAAGTCCAATTTATCTATTTTTGGTGTTATTGTTGATTATGCTTTTGTAATCATAGCTAAGAAAACACTGCTAAATCCAAGATCAGAAACATTTATCCCTATGTTTTCTCCTAAGAAATCAGAGTTTTATTGTTTTATATAATGCAGTTTTTATAGTTTTAGCTCTTCTACTTAAATGTCTGACTTATTTTGATTGCTTAAAATATGGAGTGAGATGAGGGTTCAAATTAATTCTTTTACATATGAATATCCAATTATCCTGGCACCATTTATTGAGACTATTCTTTCCCCACTGAATAATCTTGGTACCCTTATCAAAAATCAATTGACTACGGATGTATGGAGTTTATTCTGGACTCTCAATTCTATTTACATTGATCTCTTTGTCTATCCATGACAATACTATTCTTTTTTTTTTTTTTTAACTGTCATTTTGTAGTAAGTTTTGAAATAGGGAAGTCTTAGCTTCAGTTTTGTTCTTTTTCAAGATTGTTTTGGCAATTCTGGGTCTGTTGCAACTCAATGTGAATTTTAGGATCAGCTTTTTTATTTCTGCAATAGCAACAAAAAGCTGTTAGGATTTTAGTGGAACTGCATTGAATCTGTAGATCACCTTGGGGAATATTGCTATCTTTACAATATTACATCTTTCAGTCCATGAATACAGAATGTCTTTGCATTTATTTACATATTCTTGAATTTCTTTCAGCCATGCTTTCTTTGTTCAGTGTACAACTCTTATACCTCTTTGGTTAAATTTGTACTTAAATATTTTATTCATTTTGATGCTATTGTAAATGGAACTGTTTCCTTAATTTTCTTTGTGGATTGTTTATTGCTAGTGTATAGAAATATCACTGATTTTTGTGTGTTGATCCTGTATCATGTGGAATTGCTAAATTCATGTATTAGCTTTAATAGTTTTAAACAAATTTTTAAGAATTTTTCTACACATAAGTTCATGCCATCTGTGAATAAAGTTTTACTTCTTTTTTTCTAAGTTAGATATCTTTTATTTCTTGTTCTTGCCTGTTTGCTCTGGCTAGAATTTTCAGTTTAATGTTAAATGGAAATGGCAAAAGCAAGGATCCATGTCTTGTTCCTGTTCTTAGGGGGAAAGCTCTAAGCCTTTCACCATTGAATATGATGTTGGCTATAAAATTTTTATAAACCAAGTATTTTTTACTCTTACCTACTCCCCCCCTATGTATTTTTTCATGTTTTATTCAGCTTGGTTTCCCCAAGCTTAACTTCTATCTGTCCTTCCTCAGTTGTCAAAGCATATTAAAGGCCTCTTTCGGGGAACAGGGAAGAGAGATGAAGCTCTGAATATTCCCAGAAAATCACTAGGAAGTCAGTTAGTTGTTTGCTGTTTTTCCTCTAAACAAACTGTGAACTATTAAGAAGTGTTTAATTGCCTAAGCACCACAAACATAACTTCAAGAAATTGTAATGAACAAAAGTAAAGAAGAGAAAAATGGGAAAAAGAGAAAAAAAAAACAACAAAGAAGGACAAGCAATCACAGAGCTATTCGCAACTATAGGTATTCACTTTATAATTTTTTCAATATTTCAGTGGTCTACTTTTGGACTTATCAAATAAATTTTATAATCCCTAAAGTCAAAAACAATAACTTTTACTATCTATTTCTCTACTCTCCTCTATCTCACTCACCTCAAACGCACACATACACACACATATGTACACACTGGCACATAACAATCTGTGAGGTGTAGCAGATTTCAGATGTGCTATAGGAGTTGGCTTTCTAACATAATCACTTGAGAAACTGAACCCCCCTCTTCCTGGAAACATTATAAGAAAAATATCAGATGGTCTAGGTGTTGAGAACTCACCTGTCACATAAAGAGTTGTTGAGTGGCTTTCAATGAGATTAGACTGAAAATTTGCAGAACAGCGGTATGACCCATTGTCATTAGGAAGCACTGGTTCAAAATGTAGAATGAAAAATGAAATGTTCTTCTCTTCCTTCCAACTTGTTTGTCTATCTTCAAGTTTTACACATGTTGTTCCATTGAGCTTGCACCAAGTCACATGAGGCCTGTTAGCACAGTATTTCACAGGGCATTCTAGTTCAAAGGGATCTCCTGCTAAGATGGAGTGTTCAGATTGTCTCTTTATATAAAGCTGTACATCACATGATTCTTTCCCTAAAAGATAAAAACAAAACTAAAATCAAATATGTTCTTCTGGAAGTACCATATATATGTGACTTCAATAGTTCTCAAGCATTATTTGGTAATTTTCAAAAACAACCCCCCAATTTCTAGTAATTAAGCCTTACTAGCAGAATGTCTCATACATATTAGGCATATAATAAATATGTTTAAAAAATGAAATAAATCATTTAATCCTCTGTCTGTCAGGCCTTTGAGCCCAAGCTAAGCCATCATATACCCTGTGACCTGCACGTATACATCCAGATGGCCTGAAGCAACTGAAGATCCACAAAAGAAGTGAAAATAGCCTTAACTGATGACATTCCACCATTGTGATTTGTTTCTTCCCCACCCTAACTGATCAATGTACTTTGTAATCTCCCCCACCCTTAAGAAGTTTCTTTGTAATTCTCCCCACCCTTGAGAATGTATTTTGTGAGATCCACCCCCTGCCCCCAAAACATTGCTCTTAACTCCACTGCCTATCCCAAAACCTATAAGTACTAATGATAATCTCACCATCATTTGCTGACTCTCTTTTTGGACTCAGCCCGCCTGCAAGGTGAAATAAACAGCCTTGTTGCTCACACAAAGCCTGTTTGGTGGTCTCTACACACGGACACATGAGACACTGTCTTAGTCTGTTTTCTGCTAGTATAACAGAATACCTGAGATTGGATAATTTTTGAATCACAGAAGTTTTATTTGGCTCATGGCTCTGTAGGCTGGGAAGTCCAAGAGCATGGTGCCAGCATCTAGCAAAGGCCTTTGTGCTGCATTATCTCATGGCAGAAAGCAGAAAGTGGAAGGGAGCACACAAGACAGAGAAAAATGGGGGCCAAAATTTATCCTTTTATCAGGTGCCTACTCCCGTGATAACGAATCCATTCCTACAATAAGGGCATTAATACATTCATAACCTCTGATCTCTTAAAGGTTCCACCTCACAAAACTGTTACAATAGCAATAAAATTTCAACATGAATTTTGGAGGGGGCATTCAAACCATAGCATTCTGCCCCTGGTCCCCCAAAACTCATGTTCTTTTCACATACAAAATACATTCATTCCATCTCAATAGCCCCAAAAGTTTTAATTTATTGCAGAATCAATTCAAAACACTAAATTCAGAGTCTTATCTAAACCAGATATGGGTAAGATTCAAGGCACGATTCATTATGAAGCAAATTCCCTCCAACTATGATCATGTAAATCAAAACAAGTTATCTACTTCCAAAATATAGTGGTAGGACAGATATAAGATAGATATTCCCATTCCAAAAGGGAGAAATAGGCAAAAATGAGAAAGTAACAGTTCCTAAGTAAGTCCAAAACCCAACAGAGAAATAAAATGGCATTGCTGGGCTTGGTTGATGCTTCAGCACTCACAAGTTGGAGACTCCTACCTGCAGCTCTCCCAGGCTAATGCTTCAGGCTAATAGCTCCACAGTTCTGGGGTCTCAGTGGCAGTCCACTCCCATGGCTCTACTAGGCACTGACATGGGAGTGGACTCTTCCTGGGCCCTCAGGCTGTCCACAACATCCTTTGAAATCTACATGGAGGAAGTTGTGTTCCACACCTCTTGCATTCTGCTAGCCTGCACACTTAGCAAGTGGGTGCCACCAAGGCTTACCAATTGCACCTTATGGAGTGGTGGGTTGAACTGCACCTGGGCTCACTTGAGCCATGGCTGGAGCAGCTAAGGAGCACTGTGCTGGAATTCAGAGAACAGAAACCTGAGGCAGATCTGGGCAGCAAGCCTGTAAAGGGCATTCTAGTTTCCCCTGAAATCAATTTGCCCTCTGAGCTCTGAGCCTATGATGGGAGGGGCAGCCTCAAAGGCTTTGAAATGCCTTCAGGGCCTTTTTCTCAACTTCTTGAATAGTACTTCACTCCCTTCTATCCATATTAATCTCTTTAACAATGGTCACTAGGCCACACCCTTAGTATTTTCTCCCATTCATGCCTTTTCACTTTTTATATGGCTAGGCAGTGAATTTTCCAAATCTTTCTATTCTGCTTCTCTTTTAATTATAAATTCCATTTTTAAGTCATTTTTTTCCCTCCTGCCTCTTACTGTATGCAGTTAAAAGTAGCCACACAGCAGCCTAAATGCTTTGCGGCTTAGATATTTCTTCCACCAGATATCCTGAATTATTGCTCTTAATTTCTGCTTTCCGTAAAGTCCTAAGACATAGATACATTTCCACCAAGTTCTTAGCAACTGTATGACAAGAATGGCCTTTACTCCAGTTTCCAATGGCTTGTTTCTCATTTCCTTTTAGTTATGCACTTGGTGTTGATTTGTATTTTTTTATTTTCCAGTAAAGTTAAGGCTAAGCACGTGATCCTAAAAGTATTTTCTTTTAAATTATTTTTTTCTCCACTCTTACAGTTCTTTCTTAGCCTTTCTTTCTATGTTTTGAACTACCGTCTCTCTTAGCAATGTCTAGTTCATCTCCTTCATTTATTTATTTCACTCATTTTCATGCATTCTTCTGAATAGATGTACAGTATCATACATTAGAATGACATAAGTGTAACAGAGATGATAGCCAAAACTCTCTTTTAAATACAAAGACAGCTAAAGGCCTTGCCTGTGATCACACAGCTTGTCAGATGTTGAACCAAGGAGCAAATTTTGACCCTGAGTTTCTCATACATGTCTATCCAGAACAAGGTTTCACCTTATTTCTACACCCTTGCCAGCATAAATATTCTCATTTTATCTATTTCCTCACACCTAATACACCTTTCACTCACATCCTACTTAAAAACCCTTCCTGCTCACATCTCATGAATCTCTGCTCAGAATAATAGAAACCTGATTGAGTTTCCAGGAATCAGAGTGAGAAAAAGGACCTGCAGACAACTTTTAGAACCTCTTAATATTTATTTATTTATAATTGCTTTGAGACCTCAAGCAAGTTCACTTTAAGACTTCTTAATTCAGTTGCTTCCAAAAGTTTAGAACTAAAATGAAACCAAACTGAAAGGTAAGTTATAAGGATGAGGTTTTCAAAAAAATGAAGAGAAAGGGTAAAATATTTTACCAAAAGGAAGTGTACCTGAATGTGGTTAGACTTAGGACAAAAAAAGTAAGAAGGCCAGAGGCAGAAAGGTCAAGTGAAACTCTTGTTTCCAGAAGTCCGTTCCTCTCCCTGAAGTTAATAGACTCCCTCAGCCTCCTAACTTCCCTTTTCATTTTCTTGGATAAGTCAATAATGGTTTATGGAGCCTCTAAGTCTGTGCTAGAATTATAAAAAACAATGAGATGGTTATAGACAAAGATCTTTTACCCTCAAAGAGTTTACCATTTAATTGGTAAGCCCCAGGAGTATCTAACAAAGAGGGCACCTTTCTTTTTTTTTTTTTTTTTTTTTTTTGAGACAAGAGTTTCACTCTTGTTGCACAGGCTGGAATGCAATGGCATGATCTCGGCTCACCGTAACCTCTGCCTCCCGGGTTTAAGCGATTCTCCTGCCTCAGCCTCCCGGGTAACTGGGATTACAGGCGCCCACCACCACGCCCAGCTGATTTTGTATTTTTAGTAAAGACGGGATTTCTTTATGTTGGTCAGGCTGGTCTTGAACTCCCAACCTGAGGTGATCAGCTCATCTCGGCCTCCCAAAGTGCTGGGATTACAGGCTTGAGCCACCACACCTGGCCAGAATCAATTTACCTTCTAGACACTTTTCTAGAATCAATTTACTATATACCAGTCTTTATTTCTTTCAGTTTACTGAGCTGAAAGCAAGCCTTGAGGGACGTTGCATGCTGGTTGTTAGGAAGCCTAGGAATAAATCAGATAGGATGTCTGCATTTGTGGAGCTTGCCTTCTAATGGGAAATAAAAATGAATGGCAATTGGGAGAGTGTTATATAACACTGTAAAGAGGTACAAACAAGGCCGGGCATGGTGGCTCACGCCTGTAATCCCAGCACTTTGGGAGGCCGAGGGAGGTGGATCACCTGAGGTCAGGAGTTTAAGACCAGCCTGACCAACATGGTGAAACACCGTCTTTACTAAAAATACAAAAATTAGCCAGGTGTGGTGGTGCGTGCCTGTAATCCCAGCTACTCAAGAGGCTGAGGCAGGAGAATTGCTTGAACCCAGGAACTGGAGGTTCCAGTGAGCTGAGATCATGCCACTGCACTCCAGCCTGGGCAACACAGTAAGACTCTGTCTCAAAAAAAAAAAAAAAGATACAAACAACTTTGCATGGGTCTGCAGAAGGTTAACTTCAGCCGGGGCAAAGCTTCATGGAAAGGCTATACTTGAGCTGAACCTTGGTGAATGAGTAGCCCTTTGGCAATCAGAGCAGTGCATGGGACAGAGGAGGTATTTTAAGAGTGAGGAAATGGAACGGAAAAGTCTTAGGGACCAGGAATCTCATGATAGATTTAGATCATTGATACACAACTGGATCATGGTTTTCTGACTTAGTGATATGGAGACCACTGGTTGTTTCAGAACAAATGGAATAAGCATTAGGCAGGAGTTTAAACTTTGCTTATCCACCATGAGAAAATACAATGCCTAATTTTGGGGGGATATTTATAAAGGGCACGGAAATAGCTACAAATGAGACTATTCATTTGAACATGTCTGTTTCAAATGCTAACACATTGAGCGAATTTGATAGTCCCCCAGTTTTGCTGGTCCTCAGTTTCTTCAAAATAAGATGAAAGGATTGAACTGTAAAAGTAGGAAAGTTCTAACTCACCATCCCCTGACCACACAAACACACACAACTTCACCTTCCTTAATGTGTGACTGAAACTACGAAACCACTTCTAGCCTGCAATTTCTATTCCTATCACAATATATTACCTTTCTATTTAGCCATAGGGCTATCACTTGATGTTAGTGGCACAATTAGACATCACTTCAAGTTCTGTCTTTTGTGACTGTATGCTCCGGAGCAGTGCGCAAAGTGGGTTAGGGGTGGAGAAAAGAGCTAGCTTTTTGTGTTGGTGGCATCACTGATTCACAATAGGATTATGGAAACATTGCAGTTCCTAAATATTCTTATCAGCAGGATAATGATCATTGACAACCACACTGACTGGCACAGGAATTTTTCTTGAATGGAGGAATGAACCGATGATGAATGTAGGCTTGCAAGCAGGCATTAGAAATCAAGAGTACTCCCTCTGTGCACAAACAAGGTATTATAATACCTCCTATCTCTCAGAGGCTAACACTGATGTTTGTAGTGTAAAAATGACACACTGAGACAAATAGCACAATTCTATTTTTTTTAATTAATTTATTTTTTTTGAGATGAAGTCTCGCTCTTGTTGCCCAGGCTGGAGTACAGTGATGCAATTTCGGCTCACTGCAGCCTCCGCCTCCCAGGTTCAAGCGATTCTCCTGCCTCAGCCTCCCCGGTGGCTGGGATTACAGGCACCCACAACCACGCCCGGCTAATTTTTGTATTTTTAGTAGGGACGGGGTTTCGCCATGTTAGCCAGGCTGATCTCGAACTCCTGACCTCAGGTGATCCACCCGCCTCTGCCTCACAAAGTGCTGGGATTACAGGAGTGAGCCACCGGCCTGGCCGACAAATAGCACAATTCTAATTGTCCATCTGACAAGCTTGTTAACACCCCTTTTCTGCCTGTTCTGAATTATGCATATCCATCTTATGATACTTAGGACACACAAAGCTATCCCCCAAAAGTTTGTCTTATCAAATAAATATTTCCCGAAGAGGAATAACTATCACAGTTGCTTTTGGCTGTTACTCAACTTCCAATTATCAGTTATTTGATTTCATTTTTTATTTATGTATTTTTTGAGACGGAGTTTTGCTCTTGTTGCCCAGGCTGGAGTGCAATGGAGCGATCTCGGTTCACTGCAACCTCCATCCCCGGGTTCAAGCGATTCTCCTGCCTCAGCCTCCCAAGTAGCCGGAACCATCAGTTATTTTTATTCCTGCTCTTATTATCTCTGCTGTTTTTCTCAAGCATTCATATCTGATGACAGGAAATTTTCAATGCTAAAAATGATTAAAATAAATACATGCAGTAAAAGAATAAAAACTTCTGGCCGGGCACGGTGGCTCACGCCTGTGGTCCCAGCACTTTGGGAGGCCGAGGCGAGTGGATCACGAGGTCAGGAGATAGAGACCATCCCGGCTAACACGGTGAAACCCCGTCTCTACTAAAAATACAAAACAAAAAATTAGCCGGGCGTGGTGGCGGGAGCCTGTAGTCCCAGCTGCTCGGCAGACTGAGGCAGGAGAATGGCGTGAACCCGCGAGGCGGAGCTTCCAATGAGCCTAGATCGCGCCACTGCACTCCAGCCTGGGTGACAGAGCGAGAGTCCATCTCAAAAAACAAACCAACAAACAAAGAATAAAAACTTCTACTCCCCCCCAGGCTCTTATATAATGAAATATCCCTTGTTAAGTCACTATAGGTTTAGAAATTCTTTCATGTTTAAAATTTTTATCAAAACCACTAGTGGTATATATATTCCACGATCAGGTGGTACCGATGATATTTTATTTTAGGTCTAGAGTACATCATTTGAGCAACCCCTTTCTCTATACATAAAAATATTTTCAGAAATAATCATGAGATAAAACAAGTAATAAAATGGCCAGAAAAGAAATATAGACAATGAATATTTTCTTGTGCTGAACTTCATGTATAAAACCATACAAATGAAAAAATGTTTTAAAAAAATTAAAATACAAAAAAAGAAAAATGCACAGGTATTTATTCAATCATTTTTATATCCACCTAAACAGTATGAACTTTGATTCTTTAGTTATAGTCTGATATAATAGTTTATGTAAATAGTTGTCCAATAACTAATAAATGGATTGTATTAAAACTGAAATTCTGCAAAGATACAATTTAGGTAACTACTAAATTGTAACACTAAAGTTTTATTTTCTAAAGTTAGTTTTAAAACAACATTAAAAAAATTTCAATTGTAAAAATATTAATCAATCTAACATTTTATGCATGAAATAAAGTTGCCAAGCCGAAGATTTTATATATCACAGTTTGTATCCTTTTCACTGTTTTAAATTTTAAACACAAATAAAAATTCAAGAAGTTTGCACCAAATGACAAAAATGAAACAGCTCCTGTTCTGCTTCTTTGTCTCAGCATTCTCTGTGGTATTATTGTTTATTTAAAATTGAATGTTGAAAGGCTGGAGTATGTAGTACCACAGAGATGAGGACACAAAGTGTCCTTGGAGGAAACTGGAGTGATCCTGGACTTTATAAATTTGCTATCAAAATGAACACAAGTAGCTGAATGGTATATGTCCAAGGCCAGCTGTATAACTGGGAAGTTCTCTGAGTTAACTTGCAAGTAGAATGCAATGTTTGTCAAATGATATATACTACAAATGTGCTAATTTGAAGTTTACATATATATCATAAAACTCAACAGTAACCATAGTATTTAGAACTTAGACCAAAAATATTTTGAAGGGTAAATATTTCACCTCTGACATTGTTCATGTTTGCTAGTATGTGGTGATAATTAAAAGGAAACCGGCCGGGCGTGGTGACTCATGCCTGTAATCCCAGCACTTTGGGAGGCCAGGGCGGGCGGATCACCAGAGGTCGGGAGTTTGAGACCAGCCTAACCAACATGGAGAAACCCTGTCTCTATTAAAAAATACAAAATTAGCTGGGTATGGTGGCGCATGCCTGTAATCCCAGCTACTCAGGAGGCTGAGGCAGGAGAATAGCTTGAACCCAGGAGGCGGAGGTTGCGGTGAGCTGAGATCGTGCCATTGCACTCCAGCCTGGGCAACAAGAGCGAAAATCTGTGTCAAAAAAAAAAAAAGGAAATCAACTTTTAGTTGTTTTTAAATTCAATACAGACAATGGAGCCACTTGTTCACACCCAGGAGTCTGGATATCCCACTGTCCTTGACACATTAGTAACGAGACAGTTTCTAGCACAAAGAAGAGGCTGAAAGTCTTACACCACTTTTCAATTTTGCCATTAGATTTTTGTTGTATTATTTTGGATATGATATAATCTCTCAGAGCTTTCAGATCCCTCAAGAGGAAGACAGTCTTTCTGGCTGGGTCAATCAGGAAAGGCTTCATGGGGGAAGATAAATCTCTTTCTTCCTCCAAGCCAACCCCCAGGCAAATTTGGTCCTCCTCTCATTATCACAGTATAATACCATCATCTACCTAATCACATTAGCCAGAACCTGGGGAGCCATCTTAGTCTCCTTCCTTGTCACCGTCCCATTCCATCAGCCATGAAGTTCAATTGATTCAGGATGGAAAATGTCTTCCATATTTGTTTCCATGACACTGCCTTAATTTGGATCTCATTCTGTTTCATGTGGATTATTGTCACAGCGTACCAAATGGTCTTCTACATTCCAAACTTGGCCTTGTTTCCCTCCCTCCACCTCAATTCTCCACATCACTGTCACAGTTTCCGTTTTCTTTTTTCTTTTTTTTTTTTTTTTTGAGACAGAGTCTCGCTCTGTCGCCCAGGCTGGAGTGCAGTGGCGCAATCTCCGCTCACTGCAAGCCTCCCGGGTTCACGCCATTCTCCTGCCTCAGCCTCCTGAGTAGCTGGGACTATAGGTGCCCACCACCACGCCCGGCTAATTTTTTGTATTTTTAGTAGAGACGGGGTTTTACCCGGTTAACCAGGATGGTCTCGATCTCCTGACCTCGTGATCCGCCCGCCTCGGGCTCCCAAAGTGCTGGGATTACAGGCGTGAGCCACCGCACTGGGCCTAGCCCAGTAAGTTTATGCAAACTTACCATACCCTCATATCCCCACTCCCTAGCAAATGTCTGATGCTATTTTGTGTGAGATGCATCACTCCTTTTTTGTTGTTGTTGTTGAGACGGAGTCTCGCTCTGTCACCCAGGCTGGAGTGCAGTGGCGCGATCTTAGCTCACTGCAACCTCCACCCACCGGGTTCAAGCAATTCTGCTGCCTCAGCCTCTGGAGCAGCTGGGAATACAGGCACCTGCCACTGCGCCCGGGGAATTTTTATATTTTTAGTAGAGATGGGGATTCACCATGTTGGCCAGGCTGGTCTTGAACTCCTGACCTTGTGATCCACCCGCCTTGGCCTCCCAAAGTGCTAGTATTACAGGCATGAGCCACCGCACCCAGCCGACATGCATCACTCTTTATAACTACATATGTGTTCATGTTTCTGTCTTCTATCTAGTCTGCTACTTCCTTGATGGTGTGTTACCTTTCTATGTAGTACTGGTTGCACAGCAGAGACAGCTAAGCCCTTAGAGAGGTGGGCTAAAAGGCACTGAGGTGAAGAACATATGCAGCTCAACATACCTTACAGTGGTTAAGTTATAACTACCAAAGAAAAGCTAGACTTTACAAGTATTCAGTTTGAAAAGGCCTGATTTATGTCCACTCAGGGGTGGATATTAAAAATATTTAACAAGTGACACTCCATGGCCATCCAGCTACACAGATCAGCTGATCAGAAAGGAGTGCCAGCCACAAACAACTGTATAGTCTCGTAACTCCCAGCTGAGCAAGTGTAGTTGCTGAGCTGAAGAGAGTAGGTAATTTTTGAAACCAATCAGCCATTTAAAAAAAAAGAGGGTTATGATTATGAATATTTTATAAAATATCATTATTTCTTATTTTTAAATACCATATGTTTTGATTATAACCATTATCATGAGGAAAATCTCACCTGAGTTTCACTATGTCTCCATTGAAAAATTCTTACAAATTTATGGAAACTTCAAAGTGGTTGCAACCATTCAAATAAATGAATGACTGTAATGAATGCAGATTGCCTTAACTTGAGCTAAGAAAGTGTCAGAGTTTAACATAGAAATTAAACAAATGATTTTTTGAGAAACTAAAATGATTACTAACGGTATAATAAACCAATAATTTTCTGTGACATCAACCAGGATTTTAGCTTCTATCAGAAAATACTATCACAGACAAACAACAAGCAAACCAAAACTTCAGACGCATGCTGGGGAGGCTACAGAAGGAATGAAGTCTTTACACTCAGGAGCAAAAAGGCATCCAGATGGTATGTTCTGCCTTACTTTAGAAGGCTGGAATGGTAGAGAGGAGGGGAGAGATGATGGCCACCAGGGAAGGGAAATAATCTGTCTCTCAAATCTTCCCTTGAAATTAGAGTTTAGGGATCCCATAAGGCAGTGGTTTGTACATAGTCAGGGCAAATCCACACACAGCAATAGCAGCCATGGAACCATACTTCAAGGATCTTGGGAGGACATTGACTTGCATACCTTGGGAAATCACACGGACGACATCAGAAAACCCAGGTAGCATACTTTCCCATCATAAACTAGCTCACATACACTCACAAAATCAGAAATGTGGTGACATGAGGTTAGGGTGGGGGAGTTCCACCTCATATAGAAAGTATTCATTTAATGTATTATGTAATGTCTATTAAAGGTATTACTTTAACTCTGTGGTAAATAAACCACTCCATAAGTCAGATATTCTCAGAAGTACTAGGAATACCTGGAGAAAATTAAGTAAGTATGACACACACAAACATATGTTAAAATCAGAGCTTCTTTTGTAAAAGTGACTATTGTTACTTTAAGGAAAACCCTGTGATTGTTCTCACGAGTACAGTGAAAACTGACTGGCCCTCAGTCCCTTCTGTAAAATGAAAGTTTATTTACATATGTCTTTCCTGAAAAACAACACTAAAGATACAGATCATAGACAATACAGATCACAGACAAGGATGTAGTATGCAATAGTAGATTTAACTTATTCTCTGTGGATATCACCTGATATTGCTCTTTAGACAAGAAGAGCCATTTTCTCCCTGGGTAAACACACACACACACACACACACACACACACACACACAATGTAAAATTTCCTTCACAAAAATGGAACTGGAAAGTATTAATGCCAAGAATACACAGGGCATAAATCTACATTTATGCCCATTATTTAAAAAAAAAAAGCAACCATGAAACAAGAAAATTGAGAGCATTTTCACAATCATCTTTTATTATTATTTCCTCTTAAAAATCCCCTTCTTATAAAAACATATCTTCTTATATTCATTTATGAAATTTTTCTTTAAGTTTACTTTCATATGGTATTAGCACACTTTAAAGCAATTTCTTCTACAGTTAGAATTTCTCATTGTTAGTGTAGTATGACTATTTGGCAAGTAAATTTGAAGACTGATCTCTTCAATGCAGTTGTATTGAGCCACTGAAGACTTTAAGCTCTGTATCTCTTGATTTTATCATGTTTGAAATAATTCTGAACTTGTTTTGTCTAAAATCAGTCATTCTAGTATTTGTCATTGCTTTTTCCGACATTTAGCAAAGCTTACAAAGTCCCCATGTCATTTCCTCTCCTTGAGATATTTAAGAGTAGAACAAGAAGAGAACCTTAGAGGTCATGAGGTCAGATGCCCAATGGAAAGTTTAAGTTACATTTAGGAGATCACCTCTAGAATCACTGCTACACATTCTTTGCCACTTGCCCACAGGTACACTCCACCTCACATTATCTATATACTGTAGACCCAACCTAGATCCATCTTAACACGAGGAAAAAAAGAATATGACTAATATTTTCAAAGTTCTTATTATGAGGTAGGCACTTTTAGATACCAAACATGTATTGTTTCATTTGACCCTCACAATGATTTTATGAGGGAATTACTATTATGGCCTTTATTTTTTTAAGTTGAGGAAACTGGGTATTAGAGAATATAAGCCACTTGCCCAAGATCACCAGCTGGTAGGAGGAAGAGTCAAGGCTAGGACTTTAACCCAGGTGTGGCTAACTCCAAAGCACAAGCTCTTATCCAGTAGGGTTGTTGTGAAAGCAAATGAGAACATATAGGAAATATTCTTAGCACTATGCTTGGCACATAACAACAACATAAAGTACCAGATATTATTATGTTTTCTGATAGGATGAATTTAGGGAAATCACACAGAAGTTGAGTCATTGTCCAGAGGTGTAAAGCCTATGAATGGTAAAGACAAGATGGAAACACAGAAGACTCTGCTGTGAAAAATTACCCCCAACAACCATTCTAGGGATCAGCAGTGGTGCATAATAACTAGTATATACACCAGGCAAAAATATATCTATATAATAGAGAGAAGAAAGGCAGCACATCCAATATAAGCATGCTCTTCTTTTATGTGGGAGAGGAAACTCTACAGAAATATATTAACCAGCAAGGCTTGCCTTGGTCAAAACTAGAATATTGAAAAAAACTTTGTCCTTTGATAATTTTCTAAGCTTGCTTTCAGGACTTCTTCATTACATCTCTGCCAAGTCACAAATGTCCCCTTGCAGATCTACCCTACTGGTCACTGACTTTGCTTCTCTAGGCCAGAGGATTCATATGCATTGCACTCCTTAGAGCCCTGTCTACTCTGTGTAACAAGGATGAGTTTCTGGTGGTTTTAGTTGGTCAACATGTAATTATCGCCCTTGAATAGTAAAAGCTTCTAGTCAACTTAATGAGTCCTAAAGAACAATGATTTAGAGAGACTTTGATTGCCTGTTACACATAGGCCCTGTCCTTCAGAGAGGCTAAATTTTCCACCTTTGTCACAGGGATTTCAGGAAGAAACATAGGGCAGCAAATGTAGACAGCATACCTGAGAAGCTGTTGACAGTAGCATCAGTGAGTGCCTCTGGCATTTGATCAGAAACCAACATGAGTATTTCTAAATATTGACTTCAGTGGAAGGATTGTTACTTGTGATGTTCAGATTAAGTGTGGCTTATGTATTATGATTGGAAAGGGAAAGTCCATCTCTACTTTCTTCCCAGATACTTCCTCACATCTCTAATACATTCTACCACAGACATCACACTGAGATTCACTGGCATTTTCAAAGCCCTTGAAGATACTAAACAATACTTATGTGGACAGAATCTGCTAAATGTCTTCCAATATTAATTCTCATCTTCTAATATTATAGAGGAAAATGAAGTGGGGCCATAACCCCCCAGATAAAAATCTCAATGCCCCAGCCTCCCTTGTAGCCAAATACTGGATAATAGGCCATTTGTGATGTGTGTGAGTTCCAGGTTGTGCTTATAAGATGAACATGGTTATCAAGAAGGCAGAAAAAAGAAATTAAAGAGCTCTGCCAGCTAAACTTGATGTTTTCCTGGGACTGATCTAACACTCTTCTGGACTCTGTTCTAAGTGAATCTCAAATTGTATGACACCTCTGCATGCATACACACAGACACATGCTGCACACAAGCCACTTCTTCCATTGAGATAAACATGTAAATCAGGTCCATAACCATGAGAGTATACCAGAAAGGTACAAAATATTGAGCTTATTTTGAGGTAAGAGAATGGAGAGTATTAGAAAAGTGAAGCAAATCGCATATGATACAATTCACTGACACAATACAACTCAAGCGCATGATTCTCAAGCACTATTAGCTTTTCTTGGTGACCAAGGATAAGAGTAGATAATGCTTTTGGCATTTTTCTCACAAAGTCTTCATGACATAAATGCCAAAAGCAATTGCAACAAACTGAAGAACTTCTGCACAGCAAAAGAAACTCTCATCAGAGCAAAAAGGCAACCTACAGAATGGGAGAAAATTTTTGCAATCTACCCATCTGAAAAAGGCCTAATATCCAGAATTTACAAGAAACTTAAATAAGTTTACA